>NC_000003.12:107644967-107947998 GCF_000001405.40 Homo sapiens
GACTGATATTATATTGATAGAGCCATAAGCCAGAAAGTGATATCCAGTTTCTACAGTGTGTAGCTTACAGATTTAGAAGAAATATATTGTCATAATCTGCCTAGAGCAGGGAATTGCTTCTTTTAGTTGAGTGTGGATTTAGTTTCACCACTGAAGCAGCCTAAATTTGTCTTACAAAGAAACATAAATGATAACTTTTGAATTCTTAGAAATGATATGGTTTAGGGATATATATTTGCAGTGTTATTAAAATAAAATATTCCATTTAATTTACATGTACACCATTTCACTGATTTTGATCTTATAATTACTTCATCCTTTATCCTTAAAAAATAAAAATTATTTTCTATTTGTCCCCCTCACCCCAGGCTGCTTTCTTGTTTGTTCGTTTTTACTATCTTGCCCTATTAACTTTAAAATATTTAAAAGGCAAATCATAAGTATTAATATCTGAATCACAGTTTATCTAGTTGAGTGGGGCCAGTCATTTAAAATAACTTGAATTTAGTTAGGGTGTCGATTTAACCCCATGTTTTTCCAGGGGATTTGCCTGTAATTCTACACTTAATTATAGCCAAAAGGCCAGGAAGTTATTGCCCGTGATTAATTCTTAGTATGTGTAACCTTAATCTCAGAATTTCCGTTGAATAATTTTAGTGACTGTCTTTTTGTTAAAATTGAAAATAAACACTTTAGGGCCACTTTCTCTAACTAGCATTGGCATAAGGATATTTGCCTCATGTTGATTGTTTGGCTGGTAATTCATTTTATTTGGAGATTATTTTGCTAAAGAGAATGAGTGTCAGCTTTAATTTGAAAGGCCTTCCTGGCTCACCATTTTAACTACTTTTCTATGGGTCCTTCACAGAATCCTGCTGCATCACAGAAGCTGGAAGTTCTGATGTTCCACTGAAATCACAATGGAAAGTCTTGACTTGACTGGTAAGAGCTGTTGTGAAGGTACATCTTACTTACTTACCTGGAAGCAGTGAGGCAGTCAAGAATTATGTGCTGTCAGAGCTGGTCTCAGCATGATCAAGGAAGTGTGATCATTGGATATTTTTTTCTTGTCAATTTTATTATTTTTTAAAGTGTGACTTTTATTGATCTCCATTATCAAGTAAGTTAAATTTTCTTTTAAAATCATGAAAGTGTTAAAACTAGCGGTTTCAAAATCTCTGATTCGTTTCTCCACAGTAGTGCATTATTGGTGAAAGTCAGTTTTCTAAAGTCCTAGATACTAAGAGGTTATATACCTAAATAGGTATTAAATTGATCTGTTCCCCAAAAGCTGTTTTTTGTACTGCTGTTGGCTTTAATTGAAAAATGAATCAGTATCGAAGCATTATGGAGTTTTTCTTACCTGTTAAAAATAATAGAGGTGGGTGTAGCTGCATCTTGAAATCACTTTATATATGAAAACCACATAATGAAGGAAAAAGTTGAGATTTTAAAATATATACATGTGCCAAATTATATAAAACTCTGAAACTCACAGATACTATAACTGTCCTTTTATATGTTAGTTATTTTCAAAGCTGTCGTTTTAGGGGAAAAATTTTTTTAACTTTAATGTATGGTAATAATATTTTAAAATTAGTTTTAATAATAATTACTTAAATGCCTAGAGTTTTCCCAATCTGGGAATCAGATGTGGGATTGCTTTACTGGTATCTGAATACTTTATGGTGAACTGTTGATTTATAAGACTGAAGAAACAGTTGTGAATTAAAATGAGCAAATATAGTAAATATTATTTAGTTATAGTTTTCAGGAAAGGAACTTATTCTTTAACTTTTTAATTAAGATTAATCCAAAACCTTTTCTATTTTAAAGTATATTTGGTAGCTTATTACATCTGTCTAGATTATGTGTCTACCTTCCCCTTTTGGTAACTATATCACTGAATATTGCTTCTATGATGTCAGTATAAATATAAGGCCTCTGAACGAGTCTCCTAAAAGTCATTGTCTAGGATTGTATACATAGTAAAATGTATATGATTTACTTGAATGTGTATTTATAATAGGTCATTTAAACAACAAAACCTTAATGCCAGTGAGAAGATTGGAATTTAATTATTGTTTTTCTTCTTCACTGTGCTATCCTTCAAGGCACACTTGTTACAAATATTAATACAAATTCTGAACTTAAGAATGTCAGCCAGAATACAGTTAATTATGGTTTTACTGAGTCAGGAGTATAGACTATGGAATTTTCAAAAATTGATACTGAAATTTCAAGTATGTTCTCATTTGCTAATCTAAAAGAGAGTTGAGTATGGTGAGGTTTAAAGAAAATGGAATTTGTGGCAGTATTCTGAATTTGCTAAATATGAATACATATACAAAAAGCAAAGCCGGACACTTTATCTGACCTGTTCAGAAAAACTAAGTAATGAACCAAGATTACCATGGCAGACTTCACTAAGTAGCCATCTGAGCAATGATTTCTGAATGTTAATCAGATTATTGCAATAGAGTGTTTTATTGACTATAAGCAGAAATTGACAGAAATTCACACTGCTGATAAAATTTAAAATGGAACCTTAATTGCAGATGGCTAAGACTGCATACTTTCTAGCTGACCTATATGCTTGTCTTAAATGCAGTATTAACTGAGAAATAGAAAAGATGCCATACAAAAACCAGGAGTAATTGAGGAAACAAATCCTAGAAGATGTTACTTGGCAAAAGGATGCCAGGGTTCAATAAATCTGGGAAACATATCAGTCAACTTAGTCAATTACATTTCAGTATCAGAAGAGCCTCCAAATCTTAGTGGTTTATGGCAATAAACATTTATTTCTCATTTATGTTCATGTCCCTGATTAGTCTCCTGCCACTCCGCTCCGTGTCCTCTTCATTCTTGGACCAAAGCTGAAGGAGCAGTCTTTCTGGCATGTACATGTCTTGCAGAGGAAAGAGGAAAGAGAAAAGTGATGGAACTATGACTCTTAACAAGGCTGCTTGGAAGTGGCACATGTCATTAACTCTCATATTTAATTGGCTAGAGCATGTCACAGGGTGAAAGCTGCATCATCTGAGAGAGTGGCCTTGTAAGAGGGGATAGGGAAAGACTGATAGGGAGAAACAGTACATATTTTAACTATTATATCTGCAAAATACTATCTGCTGCTTTTTTAGAGACAGAATGCACATAATGTATTAAAGATTCCAGGAAGTTCTTCGGTAAATTAATCTGTTTAACATGTCAAATTGTTTGACCATGAATCCTTTTGTTGTTATATGGAATATTGTCAGTGACAAGTTTTAAGGATACAATTCAAGAGTTTCTTGATGTTTTGAACCTTACAACTTTTCCTAAAACTTAGGAAAAGTTTCTAATATGTATAATAGACTTACATTATTCTTTTATAGGTAATTTTAAAGTGAATAAAAATTACTGCAAACTGGACCCTCTGTAATTTGCATACAGAATTAGAGAAAGGAAATATGATACTTAAAATAATTCTTTTACCTATGTATAATAGGTTACAGAACTTTGACAGATATTATCTAATTTGATATAGGATGAGAATGAGGAAATGGGTACTTCGCTTTTTCCAGTAGTAATATATTAATCGTACTAGATATAACGGGAGCCAAATACCTTTGTCTACTTAAGTTCAATTTCAAGAATCATTCTAGTGATGAAGAATGCAGACACCATAGGGAGCTTAACAGTTGCATCCGGGAGTTTTCTAAGATACTCTACCTGAGGTCACATTTACTATACAGTGACTTTTGCATTATTATTATCTCTTGAATCTTCTAGAAAATTGTTAGCACATAGAACTCCTCAGCCAATAGTGGTTTTATTCATCTCACAATATGAAAAAACATTATTATCAAACTTGTGTGGATTAAGATGATTGATTTAAAGATCCAATAGTATATAAACAATGCTTTGTGATAGTTTATAGTTCCTTAAGATTGGGAGTAAGGAACATGCTTAGACATCTGTATTAGTCTGTTCTTATGCTGCTAATAAAGACATACCCAAGACTGGGTAATTTATAAAGGAAAGAGGTTTAATGGACTCACCGTTTCACATGGCTGGGAGGCCTCACAATCATGGCAGAAGGTGAAGGAAGAGGAAAGGCACGTCTTACGTGGCAGCAGGCAGGAGAGCACGTGCACGGGGACTCCCCTTTATAAAACCATCTGATCTCTTGAGACTTAATCACCATTACAAGAATGGCATGGAAGCAAACCCACCCCCATGATTCAGTTACCTCCCACCAGGTCCGTCTCATGACATGGGGATTAGTACGATTTAAGATGAGATTTGGGTTGGGACACAGAGCCAAACTATATCAACATCTGCATATCTTAAAAAAAAATAAGGTTAGAAGGCAAGACACTATAGCAAAACATGGGTTTTGGATTCAGATAAATCCTAGTTTTGGCACTTTTTAATTGAAAGCATTTGGGTGATTATATTTGACCTCTCTGAAATGTTGTTTTCTCATTGTAGTATAGGGCTAATGATCTCTACCTTGTAGGATTGTGAGAATTAAATGAGATAATTGGGTTAATTGCCTGAAAAGAGTCCCTGGCACATAGAAGCACTCAAGAAGTAGTAGTTTGAAAAAGAAAGATGTGATCAAAGTTCAAGAATCTTGATACCCTGTACCATACCTCTGATAGACATCCGACAGTGCATATCTAAAATGTGTTTGTTTTTAAACACATATGTCCACACACCTGCCAAGGGTTTTTAAAAAATTGTCCTGAATGCATAAGAACTTAGGCATTCTTCTTTACTTCTACCGGAAATTGGAAGTGGCTTTATCCTTACTGCTGAGAGAAAGAGTGAGTCCTGTAGAAATATTCGTTACCGCATAATCTAATAATTAACTTCTTGCCACTGGGAATTTGCTTCTTGCCACTGGGAATTTGGAAGTCCCAAGGACAGAGTGATGGTCAAAAGTTCATATACTTTATGGCTTTTACTCTGTATATTAATAAGGTCAGCATTAAGTTGCAAAAAGTATCAAATTTTATATAATCTTTAGGCAAGGTACAAGAACAGAAAATGGTGCTACTGAAATTTTTTTCCTCATATAGAGGAAATACTGTTTGGTTTCAGAAGAAATAGACATTTCTATTTTAAGATTTTTATGGTGCTGTTCCCAGTGTGAAGGTTTAATTAATTTAGACTCCTTAAAGCAGGGGTCCCCGACTTCCTGGGCCTCGGACTGGTACTGGTCCATGGCCTGTTAGGAACCAGGTTGCACAGCAGGAGCTGAGCACCACCTGAGCTCTGCCTCCTGTCAGATCAGCAGCGGCATTAGATTCTCATAGGAACCTGAACCCTACTGTGGACTGCATATATGAGGGATCTAGGTTGCATGCTCCTTATGAGAATCTAATGCCTGATGATCTGAGGTGGAACAGTTTCATGCCCAAACCATCCCCCCCACCTCCCCTACCATTCGTGGAAAAATTGTCTTCCATGAAACTGGTCCCTGGTGCTAAAAAAAAAACATGGGGACCACTGCCTTAAAGAACTTCTCTATTGACGTTGTCCCCTTGTACTTTCAGAATCAAGTACAACATAGTAATATCTTTTATGATTCAAAGCCTTATGCTTTTTCTAAAATGACTACTTTGTTTAATTTTAAAATAGCACATGTATATAAAAATGGTTTTTTTGGGCCTGGATTAGTCTTCAAATTGTTCCAGGCTGTTCTCTTTATAAATGGAGTATTTTTGTAACTATTAGTTGCTTATTCACCTGGATTATTGGTAGAGTAAAACCACCTCAAAAAATATAAACTCTGCATCTTTAGAGGTTGTATTAGTTTGCTTGTGTTGCTGTAACACATAAAAAACAAGTGTCAGACTGGGTGGTTTAAACAACAGACATTTATTTTAAGTTGAAAGTTCTGGAGGCTAGAAGTCAGTGATTAAGATGCCGGAAAAGTCAGTTTCTAGTGAGGTCTGTCTTCCTGGCTTGTACCACCAGAAAGGGCTGCCTTTTTGCTATGTCCTTACATGGCCTTTCCTCTGTGTAGGCAGCGAGCTCTAGTGTCTCTTCCTCTTCTCATAAGTACATCAGTTCTTTGGGATTAGGGCCCCACCCATATGACCTTGCTTAACTTTTATTTCCTCTTTGTAGGCCCTGTCCCATCACATTGGGGACTGGGGCTTCAACATATGAATTTGGAGCGGGACACAATTTCATCTATAACATAGGTTTTTGTTTTTCTTTACCAAAGAATGAAGTAAAAGTGTTTTAAAAAATACTTTCTACGTGATTTAGTCTATAAACAAGATAATCTGGTTCGTTAACAGTCTTCTAAGATTCTAAAAATATCTTTGATACTTTTGAGGAGGGAGACGTTTGAAATTACTGAATTCCTGTTTCTTCCACTTTGAAGTCACCATCCATGAAAATAAGGTTCTTACAAGTGAAGGAATTAAGTCTAAGAACTTGAAAATTCAAGTGATTTATATGATGGAGGAATTACATCATTATAAAAATTGACTTCCATGTGTATTTATTGTTATCTAGGAATACTAGAAATGTATTTGAAAATTAAGTTGAACAAGATAATTACTCTTTTGGGTTATACCTGTTTCTGTTTACTTTATCAAGCCAATTCACATTTTGTAAGGCAATATTCTTTTACTTTGTGAATCAGTTGAGAATGCAAACAAGGAAATGGCATATACTTAAGATTTTTGGTAAACAGAAAAAAAAAAGATTGTGTATTTGAAATAATGCCAACAGAAGTCAGGGAGTCCTAAGTCTGATAGATCTACTTAATTATTGTCCTGTCTCCTTACCTGCCTTCTTTCTTTTTTCCCCTTTTTTCTCTGACATCAGCTTCTAAATTAGGTAATGGATGCTTGAATTTCTCAACCTGCCTTATTTTGTTGTTGTTGTTGTTATTTTGTTTTGTTTTAGGCTTTTAGCAGCCTGTAGCCATGGTTTTTAGTTTCTGTCTCTAGTAAGCAGAAAAGAGGGCTGAGGAAGGGGCTTTACTGGTTCAACCAGAAACAGAAACTAAGAACCCATGACTGAATTCTCTCCCTTGGACACCTAAGTGCAATGTCTGTATAGTACTTCTTTCTATTATATAGTCTTTTATAACCTGCTTAGTTTAATTTGCAGTTCTTTTTCTATTAGGTAAGTCAGTTGATGGGTGCTTGGGATTAGTGCTGAGTAAATAGTGCATTAACTTGTGGGATATTGATATAGGCTCAAATGAACTTTGTTTCTTTTTTGGACGATTTTTGTCTGTGTGTACATATGTGTTTCTGTGTGTTCTACATCACTAGAATAATTTTAGTTTCTAGTGATTTGGCATTTGTCTAAAAAATGTAATCAAAAAAGGAAACAAACCTTTTAGACAAATACTTTTATGTAAAAATAATTTTAAATTCATTTGTAAAATTTACCAGTTTTTCTGTGTACTTATAGACTAAAGGATATGCTATTCAGCAGTGATATAATTTTAATCAGTTTGTCAGTGTAATTGTTTTGTCCACTTTTGATTTCAGTCTTCCCTAAAAGCTATTTATGAAATGACTCAAACTCAAAAACCTTGTATATAAGGAATTTTACCTGTGTATTTCTTCTTAACATTAAGATCAATCTAATGATTGTGAAATTCACTAGTTGAGGACAGTATGAATATATTCAGGCATGGCTTCCTGCATTTAATGCTACTCTGAAAGGTGTTGGATCAATTAAGTATTTTTATATTGAAGTCTGTATTCCCTCTGATCTCTATTATAGAGAAGTGTGTTTTCCTAGGAAAATAAATGGATCTAAGGCGGGGAACTTGCTCATAACATTTCTCCTAGGATCTTCATATATTTTAGTGTAAAATATTCATTTACTGGATATTCTATATAAACACATAAACATATGTATATATGTATACATGTAATTCTTTCATAGAACCTCTTCAAGATGCTACAGGACTTGTTTATGCTAGAAAGTTTACTAGAAAGTCTATTTTGTGCATGTCTGTATTCCCAAAATTTAGAAATAGCATCTGGTACATAGAAGTTGCTCAGTAAACGTGATGAATTCGTATTACAGGAATTCACATTTCATTAACCTATATTCCACTGAACTTGGTGTTGATAAGCATCTCCTGGTCTACATGGAAATTTTTCCCAGACTTCGTTCAGGGAGAGGAGTGTTCTTCCAAATTACGGTCTCTTTGTGCCTTCAAGTTTGCCATTAGTTTTATAATCAATAAATATTAGTGGGCTGAGAGCTTAAAATGCAACCACAAAAAATTTCTCTATACCTGTTGGCTCATTTGTAGCTTACATTGAATCAGCAGGTGTTTGTTAAGATTTATTAGTCTTCTAACAAGTGCTTTTCCAACACTTCATCAGCGACCCTGTGAGTGGAGTACATGTGAAGGTTGTGAGATTTAAGGCAGGCACTTTGGTTCATGTTGGGCTTTAAGAGATGCAATGTGATACCTGGCTTCAGTTAATGTGTACCAGAAAGGTTGACTGAAGTCAACATTTAGGTGTTTTGTTCTGGGATGTATTTTTAGGATATTGCTATATTCAAATTGATCTATGAAGCTGATAGACAAGAATATTGTGTTTGTTTTGTATTATCTTGTATAACCTGCTTAATTTGCAGTTGTTCTGTCTCTGCTGTGGCTATATTACTATTCTTATAAAACGGATGAGTTATCTAATTGTTTCAGTGTTCTTAACATTTACCGTAAAGCAATTTATTACCAAGCGTCTCCTTATGACAGAAATGTTCTGTTTTAGAGTATCGAACATTACCATAGGCACTTAGAATGCCCTGGTTTCTGAGAGAGCCAGCCAGATGTGGAGGAACTGGCTTCCAAAGGGGCTTAGCAACCTACTGTTTATGTGGTGAGCACTGTCCTAATAAGTTGTGCCACAATAATTATACTGAAGAATTGCCAAATAAGAGAAAAATTAACACCTATCAAATGTGAGATGTATCCATGTGCAGAGTAGTATATACCCTCCTGTCCATGCAGGTAGCACCTGGATGGACATGAAACTCCGTCCATGCCTTCAATAGAGTTTTTGAATACCACTATGTTTTCAGCATTGTTAGAGTTACCAAATCATTAAATAGGTGTATTATAAAAGTTAATGAAGAAAAATTTGAAGTCAGCAGCTATTGTCAATCCCCTTAAATACCAAACCTCTTTTTATAGCAATCATTTTGTCAGGCCATTTGGAAGGACAGAAGCATACAGATCATCTTTCAATTCATTTGGTGAAGTGAACATTTAAATAAATCATAAAGTTTTCAGGTTTGAAAGTTTAGTTCCTGTTAAAATGCTGGGTGTTGCCTGTCTTTATTATTCACCTAGAGTTTCACTTTTTAGAGAACAAAAGATATATCTTTCTAATAAGGCTATTATATCTTATTGATAGTAGAAGTGTTTCAATCATGTCTCTTTTTATGAGTTTTTCCCTAATCAGCAAAATTATAGATTTTTTTTTTACTGGCTTTCTGCTATAATAGAATATTTTATACATTGGAGTTTATTATGTGCCTCTGAAAAAATATTTTAGAACTTTTACTTTCGAATACTTATAAAGATCTTGATTCTTACCTCTAGATTGTCAGCTCCAAAATGCTCACTATTGATTCCTGATATTAATATGGGTAGGCAGAAACTTAAGCGTTTCCTTATAGGAGACAGATCTAAATGGATCACTTAAAAAATATGTTTTTGTTTTGTTTTGTTTTTGTTTGTTTGTTTGTTTTTGACTGTAGGGTGATCTCTTAGAAACATGGGCTGTGGAGTCAGATAGACTCAAGACTAAACTAACTCAGCTGTTTACCGTAACTGGGATGTGGTAAAGTTACTTAGCTTTATGTGAAATGGGGCAAATACCTGCCATGTAAAGTTGTTAGAGGATTAAAGGTACTAGAGGGTATAATGTCAACCCAGCATATGGCAGGCACTATTAAGGAAATGTGTTCTTAAAATAGGCAGCAAGTAAAAAATGATCTATAACTTTTTTTGCTTCTTAACTGGTCCTTGAAATTTAATTTCATGTTTATTGCTATCTCTATTCACAGCAAGAGAAATGTCCGGCTTCAAACTGTACATTTTTACTATGTTGGGAAAATCTTTATTGAATACAAGATGGACTTGCTTTCCTGACGATTTCATTAGGAAAGAATAAATTAACATTTACTTTTATTGTTGGATTTCTTAAAATATTTTCTGTACAATTCTAAGTGATAGAAGTTTGATTTTATTTTAATTGTACCTCCCCCAATTTTGCAATTTTAGTAAAGCCCAAACGTATGAAAATACTAGGAAATAAGTCATTTGTCATTCAGTGGATTATAGTTATTTAAGAATATTATTGCTACCTGCTATTAGTATTAACAAGATTATCAGCCCAAACTATGTCAATTTTTTAAGCATAAGAACAAATTTATATAGTCTAGATAATTTTCTTCAAAGACTATAATTATTTGAACAAAACAAGGAGATATCGTATGATTCTTAATGAGAATTCACTAAGTATGGGAACTTAAAGTATGATAATTAATTTTTTTTTTTTTTTTTTTTTTTAAGAGATAAGGGCTCATTCTGTTTCCCAAGCTGGAGTGCAGTAGTTTCATCAGAGCTCACTACAGACTTGAACTACTGGGCTCAAGTGATCCTTCTGCCTTAGCCTCCCAATAGCCAGGACTTCAGGCGTGTGCCACCACACCTGGCTAAGTTTCTTTAAATTTATTTTATTTTTTTTTTTTTTGAGACGGAGTCTTGCTCTGTCCCCCAGGCTGGAATGCAGTGACACAATCTCAGCTCACTGCAAGCTCCACCTCCCGGATTCGCGCCATTCTCCTGCCTCAGCCTCCCAAGTAGCTGGGACTACAGGCGCCCACCACCATGCCCGGCTAATTTTTTGTATTTTTAGTGGAGATGGGGTTTCACCGTGTTAGCCAGGATGGTCTCGATCTCCTGACCTCGTGATCCGCCCATCTTGGCCTTCCAAAGTGCTGGGATTACAGGCGTGAGCCACCATGTCCAGCTAAGTGCTATTTTTTAAAAATATTACACACTGATAACTATATAAATATTTAAAAAATTTAAATAGCTCATTCAACCATGATCTTATTCTGTTATTTAATTCATAAACTTGAAAAGAGATGCAAAATTTTCCTTCATTTCAAGTTAGTGGTTTAACATTTCATAATTGGTCCAAGAGAAAAAAATATTTTTTCTCTATCTTCAGAAATGTTCTGTGAAAGTATTTATTTTCTAATAATTTTCATGCACATAAGCATAAAAGCCAGTACAGCTTGGTCTTTGTCCCGTGTATCAATAGCTATTTTGTATTAATTTTGAATATCTCTCAACAATTAATATATCTAAACTTGTTTTCAAGGTATTTTAGTACTATCTATGAAATACTTTGGTTCCTTCTAAAAGCTGCTTCTTATTTAGTGTGTATGTGTTAGGTGTTTGTGGTTCTTTTATAGCAATTTTCCCTTTTCCTTGTTGAGTATGTAAACATCCAAACCATAACCACCATGGATTTTATAGACTTTAATTGTATACTTTTAAAATTATTAATATATATTGAGAAATCTAAACCTTTCCAGACTGCTTGTGAGAGTTTGTGCTCTGGATCGTTATCCCTCTTTAATCTTTCTCCTGCTCTGTTCTGTTTCTTTTTAGAACCTGAACAACGTATAGTGGTCTCACTGGAAAAATGTTTTCTTTAAAGATAAATAATGTATTTTCTATTCCTCTGTATAGCTAACAAATATTTACTAATTATCATGTGCAAGGCAGTGCGTTACACACTGTCAAGATCAGGATGTGGTAATATAAGGCAATGTCTAGGCACAAAAGAGGGAGATATACAAATAAACTTCAAGTTCTGAGGAAGACCTTAAACCCCACTTAAGGATATCAGGGAAGACTTCACAAAGAAGAGGAAATAACAGAAGTATGGAAAGGTGAATAGACTACTTGGGCCAGTGGGATGGGATACATGTAAAGTTACGGTGGGAAACTTTGGTGTGAAGGCAGAGATGTAAAGAGGGTCTTGAATGTTAAGGTGAGTTTACTTTTTTTTCCCCTCAAAAGGCATATGGGCCACTGAAAACTTCTGAGCAATGGATATAAATGAGATGGAACAGAAGGAAAAAAAGGTAGACATTGGAAAGACTGGTTTAGGGGGCTTTACTATTATCCTAGGTAAGAAAACATTCATTCTTCTGTAGTGTGTTGACAGTTGTAAAAGGGGCTATTATGAGAGACATTATGAAGGTTATACTCTGGATCTTGAAATATTTTAGATTGAAGTATTCCAAGTTACAGAACTAGTCTTTCCCATTTACGGGGCAAAAGTTAATGGATACTCAGTTTTAAGGATTCCTTCAATGACAATTTTCTAAAACACTTGATTCCTACTACTATTTAGCCTCTGTTTTGTGTGTTTAGTTATCGTAAATTTAGCTTTCACTGTGTTTCTTGAATATGAAGTCTAGGTATCTGTCACCTGAATCAATTTAGAAACTATTAATCTACAGAACTTGACAATAGACTGAACTCATTTTGGGGATGTAGAGGGACAGAGAGGTTAGGAGGCAATGGAGGGTATTTAAAAGAAAGTCAAAGATAGGTTTTTAATTTAAGTGTGGGTGTTCACAAGAGTGCTAATATTGCCATCAGAAGTAAGGAGCTACTAGTATTACTGATTTGTGGGAGGGGGAGGTGAAGTTTGGGATGGATTGGATTTGAACACACAGGATATCCATGGCATTATATTTAGGATGTAGTTATAAATTTGAGATGAGGTTTGGTAGAGATTCAGACTGAACATAGGTTTAATAGAAGAGAGAGGTAAGAGCTGAAACTTTGAAAATTGGTGAAAGATAATATGCCTAAAGTGGAATTGTTGAAAATACCCATTCTTTGTTAAGGGAAGTCTAAAGGAAAGAAATCCAATCAGATCTGTGGTGGGAAAAGCAGAATAGTGCTGTGCAAGATGGGAAGACTTTCAAGATTGACAGTATTGAAAATTTAGGGATATCTAAATGCCTGAAAAAAGTTCCTTGAGTTAGTAATCCAGGGGTGAATAACCTTTGGAGAAAGCAGTTTTATAGAGCAGTCAAAGAAGTAGCCATGTTGTATAATCTTTCCAATATTCCTTCTTTGAGTGCCAAGTTCTTGATTTTCTTTTTAGCTGAAACTGTGTGTTGAGTCACTGTCTTCGTTGAGTAATCCATAATGATTTACAAATCCTCTCCCTCGGAGCATAGAACTCATCTTCTATAAATGTAGTTGTAATATTCTTTAAATATGTTACCTTAGACTATTTTAAATCAAAGCTCATCCAGGTATTAATATCATTTCCTCAAATGCACTGAAGTGATTTTCTTTAAAATGCCATCAGCAAACAAATACTTTCAAATGCCTTACTCATAAGTCTTATATTTATTATAATTGGCATTACAGAGGAATGAATAATAAATTTCCTGTCATTGTCGACTCTTCTTTCACACTTAGTGAAACTTAAAATAAGGCCTACTCTTTTAATAAAGATCCTTTAGAAAGCCCTTTGGAGTATTTGGGCCAACTGCATATGCAGTTCCTAGTCTTAAGAAACAGATACATAGCCACTTTGGTTTTCATCTTCAGAGAATGGTGGTAAAGATAAACAAGACTTGCCCTAGGTAGTAATGATGATTATGATTAAAAACTACAGCTGTTATTTGTCTTTTGTGTGCTAATTTCTTTGTTTGTGTGTGTGTGTGTGTATTTTTCTTCCTTGTCTTCACAGTGAGCCTTAAATGTAGGTGTCATTATTCCCATCTTATACAAGAGAGAACTGAGTCTCAGAACATTTAAATAGCTTGTCTGAGCTTCTTGACTTGTTAAAAACAGACCTGAGATTCAAATCCAGCTCATTCTTGCTTTCAAAGACTATATTCTTTGCATAGTCTGTGCAGTTTTATGATGTATCTGAAATTTGACCTGTAACACCTTTGATGGCAACTACTGACCCCAGTTTGGGAATTCAGTGCCTTATTACTTTCCTCCCCTTTTCTACCAACTTGAAAGAATAGATCACTACTTTCCATTTGTTTAAATAAATATATTGTCAAATGCCGTTATTAAGTCAGGCATTCTTCTTTATATTTAATAGTATTATATATATTTAATCTTCACATCAGTCTGATGAGAGGTAGGCATATTTTCCCCCAACATTTTATTATGAAACTCACATACTCTCCACCTAGATTTGGCCGTTAACATTTTATTATATTTATTTTATTACATATCTGTCATCTTTTCATCTCTCTATTCCTCATCAATTCAACTTAATTTTTGATGCATCTGAACATATAGATATCACTACAGCTCCCTAAATGCTTCAGCATTTATATTATATAATATTTATATTAACTAGAGTTCAATATTTATGTATAATTTTTTGATGTAAGTCTACATTCATTGGTAGCATACATCTTAAAAGTACATTTTCTGAATTTTGATAAATGCATACACCTGTGTAACCCAAATACCTATCAAAATATAACCCATTACTTAGTACTGGTAGGTGCTTCTTTTTCTTCTCATTTTTTAGATGGGGAAACTGAAGAACAGAGAGGTGAAATTATCTGCCCAAGGTTACGCTGCTAATAAGTGGCAAAGCTGGAATTCAAACTCAGGCTGTCTGGCTGCAGGGTTTGTTCTCCTAACCACACCACCACACTGCCTGTAGATTATCCTCACATGTTTGGGTATCCTTTTACATTCATGTGCATGAATGCACTGTTTATTTTTAACGTAAGTGTGTAGATACAGAAGTGGTACCCTGGGTTTAGTGAGACTAGAAATGCTGTTCTAGAAATGCATCAGTTCCTAGCAAGAGGTTTATGGCAGGATAAATTAAGAGGGACGTATAATATGACAGATTCCCTTCGTTGAAGTAGTAGGGTGAATCTCTATGTAATAGCTCTGTCTTAACTGGCATCCTTGATTAATGTTTCCACACATAGCAGTGAAGAGATAGTGAGTTTTCTAATGATGACACTGAGGTTCAGGAAAATCCTCAAGTACCACTTGAGCAATTAACCGTAAATTATGTTCAGTATAGCTTTGTATTAAGCATTTTTGCTCTTTTATAATTAGTAGAAAATTGTTCATCTGTGTGTGATATATATAGTATCACTCATCTAGATATCTCAGACTCTGAAATAATATAATTGACTAATTTGGAATTTATAAGTTAAATTTATAAGGTTTTTAACAAATATATTTGTAATGGAATTATTTGACTTTTCCAAATAAATTGCATAAAGATGTAAGGATTGCAACAGTTTATATTAAAATTTTTTTCTGGTTTGCAATACTTGGGTGGCCTGATGAAAAGAAATTCTTCAACTTTAGTCTCTTTCCTGCATTGTGTTCATACCACTCATATTTTAAAAGTTGACCAGTACTTTTTGTTCACTTCTTAAATGATGAAAAAGAAGCCATCATGTAATTTTTTTAAATCGTAAGTATTGTGCAAAAAGCATTAAAAAAAAAAAAAAAAAAAAAAGCATGTAGCTCACAAAACCTATCCAGTCACTAGAGGGCAGAGCAGTACTGTACTTTAGACCTTATTTGAAAATTTCTGGTTTAAAAATTGCTGAACATGATGGAAAATATATTGATACACAGTTGAATAGAAATTTCTTTGTGTTCTTATTGTCTTATTTTGCTGTAAAATCCAATAACATGCTTATACTTTTATCAAAGGAGCTTTTCTGGCAATTCCATTGAATGTTACTAAAAAGGCATGATTATTTAGAAGAGTTTAAGTGCCCCTCAAAAGAGAATACTCGTGCATACAAAGAGCAATACATTTTATAATTTCTACCCTATGAAGTACCCTGAAATTGGATTGCAGTGTAGACTTTAGGTGAGACATTTGAGAGAACAAGTAGTTTTGAGCACCGGTTCTTTACTAGTGCTTAGCTCTAAGAATTCATTGAAATGCAGAACATCAGTTTATCTTTCCAGTCAGCTGAAATGTGTTGAATCATTAAGACTGAAATTACAAAGTTGTAGAAGCAAATAAACTAATTCTAGCCCTTTTTAAAAATTTTTGTCAAGTGACTGTTCACTTAATTTCATTTCTGTTCTTAATTTTTTTATCATTCTGATATTTTTATGCAGATTTTTTTATGGTATATCTTAAAAATATCCTAGTGAGTAGTGTGAGTAATTCAGTGTCCCATAAGATAGAAAAATTTTATCCTTAATTATGTTTATTTGAATTTTATTTTACAAAACCAGTTTGGATTTCTTTAATATTCTACTAGGGACAATATAGGATACCAGAAAAAGCAGTGGATTTTGGAATCAGAAAATTTGGGGGCCTCGATTATCATTCATTTGCTTGTGTCTTGGGCAAGTCACATTACCTCTCTGACCTTCATTTTCTAAACTGGGAAAAATACTTCCTTATTTATAGCTGGGTTGTTTGGAGGATTGTGTGTGTAGATGTATCTCCAAAGATGAAACCCTGTGAAGATGAATTTTAATAGGTAAAGTTACAAGCTCAGAAAAACCATGGCAATAACTTCAAAATGGTTGACGGTATCACAGATTTAGTAACATGAGAGCACCTATTACATGAGTAAATAGAACCAGAAATGTGGTTTCAAAACCAAAACCCAAGTTCAGATTGCCAGCTTCCTCCCTGTCTGTGATTTCTCTGGCTGCTTAATCTCTCCATTAACTTCTGACTCTTTTGCTCCTCTCAACTCTTTATTTCTGTCCTCTGTTTATTTCCATGTTTCCTCTCTCTGTGTTTCTCCTGACTGTCTCTGGTCTCTGTGTTTTTCTTGTCCCAGGCACCCTCAGGAAGACCCCAAGCCTCTAGCAGTACCTGGTATCATCTCCAGCATGTTATAGATGTGGAGGATTCACTGGGATATTGAGAAATACCAGAGGCGAATTGTTCCACTGTAGTAAGTCATTCAGCATTTGTTAAGTGACTACTGTTCACGCAGCATAGTTGGTGGTCCTTTTGGGGAAGAAGAATTTGTTAGGACACAGGACAGAAGAAATAAATTTGTAAACTCTTGTCAGTGGTTCTTGCAGGCTAGACAAACATGCAAATGAAAAAAACAATGACAAATTAAAAAGCTGACAGATAATCATATAAACGAATTGTGTTTTATGTGTGCTGATGGGGCCTAGGGTTAATGGAGTAGAGAAAGCCAAGTGGTATTAATCAGATTTCCTGCATGAGTTTAAAATTAGGTTTTGAAGTACATTTGGAAGAGAGATGAGGAAAGAGAGAGTGGAAGTGAGTAATTTCTGTGGGGCTTGGCAAGCCTTTTTGCTTCCCTGTGAGTGAATCCCTGACGGTGGCGGGTAATGAAATGAAAGTGCTAAGTTTCAGTCTCCCAACAGCTAACTTTACTTCCAGTCTTAGAGAAATTCCAGTTATGAAAAGAAGTACAGCCAAGTTGAGACTTTCCATAAACATAATTGGTATCCGCTGCCAGTTTAGAATTTTTAGGGTTTAAGTGTAAATTGTGATTATATGAAGTAATAAAGAAGTACTGTGACATAAAATTGATACAGACCATTAGAACATGGTTCAGGGATGCATTCTGAATAACATAAACTGAAATAGTAAGCTGAAATATAACAAGTCTGGGTTTTTTTTTTTTTTTTTTTGCATTAGAAATTTATTTTTGCTGTTGTATTTTTAGACGGTCCTAGCTAGTAGATGCATGCTTTTCACGTTTGGATATCAGAGTTGGATATGGTTTGAATCCCAGCTGTACTAGCTTTTAAACGTTGGGCAATCTACTTCACAATGCTGAATCTCAATTTCCACATGTGTAAACTAACACCGGAAATATTTACCTCAAAGAGTCCTGAGTACGTGCTAGGTACTTGCTACTCGCGGATACTTAAAAATACCTTTAAAATTGTTTGTTAAATAAATATGTTATTTCTGAGAGCTTTTTAAAAGTAAGAATGCTATATATACAAGAATGTTTGTATATACAGAAAATGCTATAGATACAAGAATATTTATTGTGCATGGATATTAATGACCCTTTGTACCTTCTGCTAATAAAACATTAGAAAACTGTGTTTCACAGTAATAACAGGTATAATGTCACAATACTGAATTAAATATTAGAAATGGTGAATTAGACTCTCTGTATGTCCCTATGGTCTGCAAGCTGAATATGTGCCTTTAAACAAAAAATTTTATTAACTTGAGAAATAAGTTTGTGGCTATAGTCAGCACCCTATTATGCTACCTTCTCTACCATTGTCTGTGTTTATAATTCTGCAGTCATATCTTTAGAATCATGATGAATCTAAACTATGATAATTTTTTTTGCTACCCTACACAAAAATATTTATACTATGTAGATAAGGTACAAAGAATAACATTAACACGAATAACTGAGAACCTACCACTAGTTTAAGAATAGAACATTACCAGTTTCTTTGTAGCCCACAGTGTGCCCCACCCAGATTCCATTGCCTCTCTTTACCCCCTCATCACAATCCTTAATGTTGAGTTTATTACTTCTGTGTTTTTCTTGGTCGTTTTTCTCATACTTATGTACCCCCTACATTAAATTTTGCCTGTTTTTAAATTTTATATAAATAATACATACTACATGTTTTCTTCTGCAACAACTATTTTTCCTGCTCAACATCGTATTTGACTCATTCCTGCTTGTCTTTGTAATTCATTTATTGTCATATATGTATAATCTTTTATTGTATGAAAATACCATAGTTTATTTACTTTCTTTTAATGGCTATTTAGCTGTTTTTCTTTCTTTCTCTTTTTTTTCCTTTTTTTTTTTTGAGATGGAGCCTCACGCTCTCGCCCAGGCTGGAGTGCAGTGATGCCATCTCGGCTCACTGCAAGCTCTGCCTCCCGGGTTCACGCCATCCTCCTGCCTCAGTCTCCCAAGTAGTTGGGACTACAGGCACCTGCCACTGTGCCCAGCTAATTTTTTGTATTTTTAGTAGAGACGAGGTTTCACCGTGTTAGCCAGGATGGTCTCGATCTCCTGACCTTGTGATCCACCGGCCTCGGCCTCCCAAAATGCTGGGCTTACAAGTGTGAGCCACTGCGCCTGGCCTCTTTCTTTTTCTTTTTCTTTTCTTTTATTTTTGTCATTGGAAATAAAGCAGCAGAGGAAAAGTTCTTGAGTCCTGTATATGCCCTCTTTATGTACATATTACTTCTTCAGGATATATGTTCAGGAGTTGAATTGTTAGGTGATAGGATATGCCCAACCTGAAATTCCACAAGATAATGCCACGTGGATTTCCATAGAACTTGTTACATTTTATGCTCCCACTAACAGAATGTAAGTATTCTCTCTCTCTGGCTCCTATAGTTCTTTAAAATTACTAGATTTTTGTTTAATATGTTCACCATATCTTTAGGAATGATACTTTGCATGAATGTGACTATATCCGAGCAGAAGTTTAAAAATGGAAAAGATTTTTTAGTTTGCCTGTAAACATCATCTTAACAAAAACCCTGATGACCCTCATTTTTTAAAAGTTAGTTTTACTCTTTGTGGAAGCTGCTTTTATTTTTGTTTCCCAATTGTCACTCATACCTTTTCTCAAACTCATTTAAATCTAGACATCCTGAAATAGCTGGATATGTGTGCTCACTAAATGTTTTGCCTCCAGAAAACCTTATCATAAGAATAAATGTTCTCTTGCAATAAATGAAAACTGTCAGCTGTTTCTGACTTCTAAGAAATACAGTTTTTGCAGAGAATGTACATTTCTTTTCTTTTCCCCCTAATTCTTGTTGAGATAGAGAAAGAGTGACCCACAGAGGACTATTTGCAAGCTGCAGCGCTTTGATCAACCCATCTTTTGTTCTGTATTGCAAAAGTTCCAAAAGCTTGAGTAAATGACTCAGGTCCCCTTTTCTGTCCTTCGCCCTCTTTTGTTTTTGTTAGCCAATGATTCTTTTGGTATCTGATATTTGTACACACTGTTCCAATTTTAATATCAAAAGTTCCTCCTAATCTCGTAATGGGTACTTCGTGTTTTATAATTTTAATTGTCTGATCTCAATATTTTGCGTTTTGTCAAGCTTGCTGCCACTACTACATGTATCTTCTGCAGTTTCCCAGGAAATATACCAGGATCTATCCTATTTCCTGGTACTTATTCAATGGGTATTTATTGAATGTAGAAAGGAAAGATGTAAATACAGTCAGCACTGAAATACCTTTCCCCTGCTGAGCTACAATAATTTCCCTAAAAGCACTAGGCCGAAATCATGAATACCTTAAATAGTTTTGCTAGTAAGTAGCTTTATTAAACCATAGCCAGTCATTTCTTCTTGAGCTTTACTCTACTTTTTTTGAAAAATTAGAGTGGTAGACCAGTGAACTGTAAGATTCCTTTTGACGCCACAATTTTGTATTCTATCTTCTAATTGAAATGAAAAACGCTTTGTCACTGTCTGAGCACCACTACCAGAGTCTGAATCTATCTACCTTACTGAGCTTTAGGCCCATAACTGTGTCACAGCAACCTGCCAGTGATTGTCTCTCATAACCAAGCAAGTGGGGGCATACATTGAACTTCTCTTCCTCTCTTTGTTCTTTAGGGTTGATTTGTTCTAGTATAAAAAATGCCTTTGGCTTCCCGATTTCATTTATCAGGCAACCCAGGCATTGTTCTATGCTAATGTCTGAGTTCTGCCTTCTTGCTCCTTCTTCTCTTCCCTCAACCCGACAGCCATGCCCAGGGCAACTCGTCCTTACCTTTGTTATTTGCTATACAGCATAACCCCATGTCTTTTCTCACACTCTAGTTACCATCTTTGAGTCAGTATTGATTCTTTCTGTTGGGCTTTTCCTTGAAGTCGTTGAGTCTGTCTGTATCTGGTGCTGAAGGCAAGTTGTTTCTTCCTTTCTATTGTGGTTCCTCTGCTTGGGACACCTCAACTCCAGGTGAATGGTGAGTGACAGCCTGACTTCTTTCCTTGCACCTTCATGTAGTCTTTCCATTAACTATTGCAGGGAATTGCTAAACCACTTTCAAGGAGTTATTTGACTCCAGATTCTCACGTGACTAATATTTCCTAAATGTGTTGCTGGTCCTGGATTCATCTTGTGAGTACTTTTGAACTCTGCACCAGAGGCAAAAGATGCCAGAGATCAGGCTACAATGGGAAGGGGAACCAACTTCCTTTTAATTCTCTGTAGACTGTAACTAATCACTCCTGAGGGTCCTGGACAGAGAGCTATGTATTTGTTCTTTAACAAAGGTCAGGTATAGACTCTTCCTCACCTTTATTCAGCGATACAGAATGTGTACATTTCTGTTGTGCTTAGCCAGTGGACACATTACGCTCCTCATGATGTTAATAGATCTGGTTTGTGAACATTCCATTTAAGTCTTGCAACTTTTAGCATAAAATGAGAAGGCAGGAGAAAAATTTTACAACTAAAAAACAAGGAAAAGGGGGGAAACTTCTTTAGTGAAGGATTTATTTTTAATAACACTAACTGAATTCTGAATCAAATTTGGAAGCTTAAAAATTGTGAGTTTTTAATATGTCAAATTATTCATTATTTTTTTTGAGACGGAGTCTCGCTCTATTGGCAGACTGGAGTGCAGTGGCGCGATCTCGGCTCACTGCAACCTCTGCCTCCCGGTCCCGGATTCAAGCAATTCTCCTGCCTCAGCCTCCTGAGTAGCTGGGGCTACAGGTGCGTGCCACCACGCCCAGCTAATTTTTGTATTTTCAGTAGAGACGGGGTTTCACCACGTTGGCCGGGATGGTCTCAATCTCTTGACCTCATGATCCACCCGCCTCGGCCTCCCAAAGTGCTGGGATTACAGGGGCGAGCCACTGCACCCGGCCTAAAATATAAAATTATTTATTATTGAAAGCCTAGCTGTTAACCTCCTACCCCCAGCCTCCATACACATAAAACACTCAAGATTCACTGGGCTATACAGCCATGAGGCACAAGAAGCCAGACTATCTGTGAGAATTCACCCCTCCTAACTAACTGCTTACTTGACAAAACTGTTAAGGAAACGTATTATGCCCAATGTTCTGTTCAGAGAAGCAGTTAATACCACCCTATCTCAAGAAGAACAGATTACTTTTTGTTCCTCAGGAATTCAAGGAGAGAAACATTCTTTTATGCTTATCAGGGAAAAAATGGGAGAAATTACTGACATGAAAACTTTACTGATAGGAGAATGTTCATTCTGACTGTTATTATAATGTGTCTTTGATTAATGTAAAAGTCTTGACCTGTTAAGTATTCACATTAATATTTTAAATTATCAGTGATAAAAGTTTCTTTTGTAGTATTAATTCACTTAATATTTTATTAATTTAGACAGGCTTGAAAGTGCTTCATAAAACCTACAACACTCATTTAGTATTCTTATTTTAATTTAATGTCTTCTGAAAGCCATATATTCTCTAATGATTTAAGTTGCAACAAATATTAAAAATAAACTATATTATTAATAAAATAAGTTGGACCATCCTTAAGTACAGTAGAAAAATTTATAAATATATAAATATGTGATACAAAATTTTCTTTCTGATGATGCTAGGAAATGCATTTATGATAGATTCTGTATTGGATGGGCTTAATTTGGAAAAGGTTTTATAAATGCTAAATTAAGAATAAATTTTGAACTGCATATTTTTTACTCTTATTATCTATTATACAGTAAAGTTGGTAATAAATATAAAAGTAACTCAGCATTGAGGTTTATGTAATTATCCAAGGAAGTATTCTAAAAATAGATTTATCTATATTATTAGAAAGTATTTTATTAAAATAGTTTTGAATAGTTTCATTCAGATTCAGGTCTTGCTTGAATAACAATATTCATTTTGTCTCGTAGTTTGTATTTGAAATTTAAAAATTGAAATGTTTAAATGGATCTGTAATTTTGATGAAAAAGAAGTGAGCAATGAATCTGTTTTCTTGAATATTTTCTAGTATTTATCTTAGCTATAAAAATTTACATTTCCAAAAGCCTGACTAGGTTTTATTAAATTTGAAAAATAAGTCGCTGATTGTTTTTGTAAAAACAATGGAACAGAAAGTAGAGCAGCTGCACTTTAATATTGATATTTATTTTGAGGAATTGGGACCCTTCTAGGAAGCTCACCTACATATTATGTTGTTGAAAATTACTAAATATGGTTTTCTTCTTCTATGCAAGTGCCAAACTGTTTTCTCCCAGCAAATCTTAACTCAGAATCTGTGTGTTTCTTTTGTGCTCAGCCAGTGGACACTACTCCTTTTTCCTGTGCTAGCCAAGCACTGTGTCTCATTTGAATGATGACATTATTGCCCTTAGGTTAAGGTCTGTTTTGAACTTAGAGGATTCTTGGCTGCCCTTTTCATCCATTTATGGTTATTTCCTGTTAACTTAACCCCTACACAGCACGTATAGATGTGTGTTTCTTATAATCAGGTTGATGGCAGTATTATTTCTATGAGCCCGGAGCTGCTCAATAAACATTGGGCTTGCGTTTTCATCCCTTAGTAACCAGCTACCTGCTAAGAACCACTCTGGACCTAAGAAAGTTCATGCTCTGGAACTCTGAGTCAGAGAACTAATAGAGCTCTGTGCCAAGGCAGGAGTGGGTCTGATTTTCACTGAATGGAGTCATCCAGTCAGCTGTTTCTTCAAAATTAAAGCTCATGGAGACAGCCTTTCTTCTTCACTCATTGGAGCTTAATCAAGATTGATTTGAGTACGTTTCCTTTTCTTTCAATCTTTAAAAAATGTGCCGGAGACTTTTGTTGATTTGTTTGAAATTATTTGCATTTAAATGGCTTCCAAGACAGTTTTCACGCAAAGGTTCTGGCTCTTATTTTTTGTACTTACTATGGTTGACAAAATCATGATGGGACTGCGTTCTCCTTTTTCTTGATTTATGCTATTGTGGCAACTTCAAAGACAAATAAGGGAGACACCTACTTTTTCCCATCCCCCTCCCACATTCAGAGGTTAAAGTTAAGGATGAACCGTGGACAATGTTAACTTCAGAGATTTAAATCTGTGGTCTTCAATGGGAACTTTAAGACTCCCTGCCTGTAATTAAGAGGCTAGCGATGATGATGATGATGATGATGTGAATATTTCTGAGGTAGAGGTACAATAAGAGGCTGAGTCACAGATTTAAAATTATCATTTGAGATAATAATAGAATAGTGTCACAAGGCAGTTTATGGCTCATGCTGTAGAGAATTAAGAATTTAGAGGAAGGAGATGTTATTTTGCCTAGGATCATATTTGACTTGCATCAAGAGGAAGAGAGAAGGGCCGTTTTAAATAAGGGATCTCTGGACAAATGATAAGAGGCAAAAAAGCACTCCATTGCAGGGAGCTGGGCCTTGAATACATCTTCTGGGATATAGTAAAAGGCAAAGGAAGTTTGAGGCCAGGTTTTGAATATGTGGGTGGGGAGTGAGGTGGGAAGGGGCACAAAAAAGATGCGGAATACCAAACTAAGGAATTAAATTCTAGGAGTAGACCGTAAAGGGCCACTAAAGGGTTTGATTTCAGGGAGTGAAAACCTCAAAGCATGATTCTAAGTAAATCTGATACAGATTAGTTTGAATGGAGATTATCACTTAGAAACTGCTATAGTTATCTCTTGGGTTGAAGTGGTGCCAAAGGGTTTGAAGAGGGAAGGAAATATGCATTTTTAATAGTATAATAGTATGTATACAAGGCAGTATATATGAGGTACTCTAAAAGGGATTTTTCAGATTTATTATCTGTTTCCATTGTCACCATCCTGTGAAGTAGGCCCTAGTCTACTTTTACAGATTAATGAACAGAGGTCCTTAGGTTAGTGGTCAAAATTCATAGCCAGGCCTGACTGCCAAGTCGCCAAGCCTTTTAACACCCCTGCTCTGACTCATGAGCATGGAAATGGAAAACAGATAAACTTTTTAGTTTTTATTTTGAAAATATTACTTTATTAGGAATTATGAAATGGATCCAAATTAGGGTTATATTCATACATATTTTTATATATATTCTTTCATGTATATTAGTACACCTGAGTTTGAATCAGATGTTATGTATTAGACTTAGCTAATTAGATTTAACTATTTCTTATTCACAGCATTTGAGGAAATGCACTTTAAATTGAGAGAAAATGTCAGTTAACAAAATAGATCACTAATACATTTTATTAATGTATCAACTTAAAACATACAGTAAGAGAATACATTTTCTACCAAATAGTAATTTTAATATATTAAGAAATGAAACTGATGTCTTAATTTTCAAGAATAAAAATGAGATTTGTTAAAGGATATAAAATGACAGCTAAATAGCAGGAATAAGTTCTAGTGTAATACTGCTGTTGAATGACTGTAGTTAATAATAATATATAGTTTCAAATAGCTAGAAGGAAGATATTGAATGTTCCCAGCAGGGAGAAGTGATAAATGTTTAGGACAATGGATATGCAATAATTACCCTGATCTGATTACTATACATCGTATGTATTGAAATATCAACACCATAAATATGTATAGCTGTTATATGTCAATTAAAAAATAAAATAAAAATTTCAAAAAGAATAAAAATTATGGAATAAACAGGAATGTTTAGGAAAGAAGAGTTTAGGTTACTTTATTCATTGAAAGCTAGAAAACTTTTTAGTTTCATATTTGTGTTACAAATATAAAAATGTTGAATACACTTGACTGGATTAATAAGAAATAGTAGAGGGAAGCTTATTTTTTAATGAGAGGATCACTTTAATGAATAATAATTATTTTACAGATGTTTGAAGAAGTAGGTACTGACACCCAATTAATTGCCCACTACCAACACCAACAACATCTCTACCTCGGCACTCCCTGCACAAGACATTCTGGAAGGCTGGTGTTTGTTTTTAATTGATGCTAGCTTTTTATAATTTGTTGTTTTTTCCTAAAAACAATTTTAAAAAATATATGGCTAGTTGAGGAATGTCTGTTAGTTGTGTTCTGAGATTTACGTAGATCAGATTGCTGTTTTATCCTTAAACATGTTAAATGGATCCTTCCTGTTGAGCATTTTAAAAAAATTTTTTGGAGTATTCTGATTTTTTTTTTTTTCATTGTACAACCTGCGCTTCCTTCAGTGAAAATAGTTTTGGGTTCACAAACAAGAAGCAGCTGTCTTAAATATGTTCATTGACTCAGCCGAGTGTCTGCAGTTGCCCAACAAAAGTTATTTGATTTTGGGTAGTGCAAAGAAATCAAAATTAGCATTCAGATTATATTTTGGCTGCTGTAATAAGAGCTTCTGTCTGTAACTTGAAGTTCTGAAATCCACATGTAGTGTATTTTTGTCTTAAAATTTGTAGAGATTTGAGCCTAAACACCACTGAGACTATTAAGAGAACTTAACTGATAGAGCTCAGTATTTCTTTTGAATTATTTTTCTGATCCTCAGAGGAAAACATTGAGTCTTCATTTCAAGATTGACCTAACAAGGGCTACATCTCAATGTTATTCACAAGCTGAGAAAAAAAAGTCATAATTTTGTGTGTATTATTTGGTGAAATTAAGTGAATGCTTTAGTTCACTGAAGAAAGTCAATTCGAAGAATGACATGGACAAGGCCAGAAACATACAGAGAAACATATCTCAAAAAGACTTTTCAGAATTGTAAAATTGAGCGCTGCAGAATAAAACAATTCACACATTTTATTAGATCCGTATAGCACTGCAAACTCATTGCCTCCTTGAGAGACCATTGCTGTAAATATGTAGGGAGCAAAAGAGTGTTGATGAGTCTCTGACATAACTAAATATTCATAATGGAATAGCATGCTACAAGAATAATGACCACACGAATGCAGCCTAGTTTTACGATTCTGTTTTCTCAGATCCTTTTTGAAAAATCTTACATCTTCAAAGTCTCTACTTGTGATTCTTTATCTCAGACAACTACAGAAAGATCAACATGGTTTAGAAAAGTCCTAAACACCAAATTTTAATCGTTGATAAAATGAATTTTTGAAGTTTTGATATCCACATGTAGTGTATTTTATTTGAAACTTGGAGGCAAATTGGAAAAGGATATCTTCTGTTTCATAACTTTCTAATGAGGCATAATCTTATGTCTGGACTGTTAAATTGAGAATTAGAGCAGATGTATTAGAGTCACTTGTATGAGACCTTAAGTATCTCTTCACCTTAGCTCCCCAAGTGTAAAATAATTATGTTAATTATATAACTGTTAGTGCAGGTTATTTGAGAAAAATTGTTCTTATCTTCAAATCACAATCTACAAAGTACGTATTGAGAGGATTTGACCTATTAGGAGAAAGGTCCTGGCTATTTTATAACCCTGTGATACAAAGTGATATTTTGAGTTAAAGGGGATCTAGGATAACATGACTGCAGTGTTCAAGCATAAGTTGAGTATGGGATTTCATGAAAAGAACCTATGTTGGAAACATTTTGTAGTTCAGGTAGAAAGTGTGTATTTTTGAAGCTGTGTTGTACTATCGCCAGTTCCTCAAGATAACATCTCCTAAGTATAAGACATGAATTATTTAGAAGCTGAAGTAGGGAATGGTAAAAGAAAGCAACCAGAATAGAGGAAGAGTATCAAACTAGGGTATATTTTTATTAAGTAGAAGAGTCCATTGGAGTACAGTGTGCTGAAATATTAGGATCTTATGATAAGTATTTAGTTCTCATATATTGTTTTGCCTTTTGTTTTTAAAGGGCCTGGCACAGCTGTGGGTGCTCACTACATTCACTTTGAATGTGGAATGACTGTTGGTCATTTTAATGAAGTAAATTTTAATGAAGTGAAATTTTTATCCTTTGTGAAGAGTGTCACGATTTACTTTTTAAAAAATTAAATAAACTTTTGTTGGCTTTAGAATTGTTAGTCTTTCTCAGTGATAAATGAAAATGAAAAATTAACCCCATGGATGACTTTGTACTAGCCCCAGCTCTTTCATCTTGAACAGGTTCTAGGACCTTGAGCAAATTTCTTAATTTTGGCCTGAATTTTCTTGTCTTTCAATATGGGAGTTAAATTGGATAATCTCTGAAGTATGTTCTGACTTCTATAATTTTGTGATTTTGAATGAAGTAAAGTAGGAGTCCAAAATGAATAGAAGATTATTCCTAAATCAAGTTAGATGAAGTTAATAAGAGTTATTAATAAGAGTTTCACGTTAACAGACTTTTGATAATAAAGAAAAGAGAACAAGAGTTAGAGAAAACGTTCCTTGTAGTAGAAATGGTTTCAGGAGTTGCAAAACCTTTTATGGGGTGTAATGACAATTAGATATGTTTGATTAGGGCAAAGAGTTTTTCTTGGGGTATGGTAGTAAGTTTTCCTATTATGTTGATAAAGGCTCAACAATTTCTAATAAAATGGCCATTTAAAATCTGTTTTTAATAAAGCTTTAATCTACATTTTTTTAAACCCAGCATTTTGGCTTCTGTACCTACCTGCCCACCCCAAAAAACCTTCACAGGAATCATATTGTTTCCTTTTTAACAGTTGTATAATTCCCCAGAAAAATTCAGAGCATAGGCAAAAGGTAAACATTCTAAGACTCTCAAAGAATGAAAATAATACTGATTAAAAGTATGCCTCCTTACAATAAAGTTTTCTGTTTTATAAATTGCTGCTTATTAGAGACAACCGGATAATTATTATAGTAAGACCCACTTCAAGTTTTTTTTTAGAAATTTCTCTTATTCTGGATAACATTTGACTACTGTAAACTCTTGAAAATTATCATAAAATACTACATGTAGAACTATTTTTAAAATAAAGAAGCCCACTTGTTAGAAATACATTTCTTCATGTATAAACACATACCTTTTCCACATTTGGAAGTCTTGTTTCATGTAAAACACGCATAGAGCAGTTTGACAAAAGAGGCACTGTCCTCGTGACAGTCTTCAAGTATTTTATTTATGTTGGTGGACAGATGTGAACTGTTCTTTACAAGTGGTATGGCCACAAAATGTAAAATTAATCACTCTCTTTAGAAAAAAAATGCATTCAAACATATATGATAGAATTTGACGCAAACCATTAATAACACTTGTGATGATACATTTTTCAAGGGAAAAGAACGTGTCAGTAAATCATCTGTAGTCCCTTAAAAATTGGAAATACATGTCAGAGGAGCCTGAAAATTAGGCATTCACATGTAAATATCTTTGGAAATTCTGACTATGTAACTAATACCAAAAACTGCCTTTTGATTCTTCTTGATTCTTTTAGTAAGTACCGTAACGCCTTCGAGCCAGAAAGGTGTGTCTGAAAGTTCTAACACACACATTGTAGGATTCCTAAGTCATTGTCTCACTACCCTTCTAATTTTTCACAGATTATTCCAGGCGTTTAGTAGTAACATAAAAAGACCTCCTTTGTACTGATTTTAAACTTTTATATCACCTTGGAAGTTTTAGACTAGAAACCCTTGCGCTAGTAATGACTTTGGGACTCTGGACATTTAGCTGGATGACTGATCCCAGTGTATTGTTGCCAAGTGAAGGGAAGACATTGAGGCGTGCGATGCGTAGAATTGCTTTGACTCACTTCTTTCCCCTGGCAGCGGTTGCAGCCTGGCGGCAGCAGTACCAAATCTGTGTACTTGCATGTTTGAAAGCTGCTTTTCTTAGGCTCCCACAGCAGTTTGTATAGAAGAGGAGCCAAAGTAAGACATCTAAAGAGACTTTCTCAAAAGCAATTCACATGTGATCTTACAAAGAACTCCTTTTAGATTTGGTCCTATCACTACACTCCTCAGACTTCTGTTAAAGCCTTTGCTAAGAGGTAGTGTTAGGGCAAGGCCTGGTAAGTTCTATTGTGTTGAATTTGTTGCAGAGTGTTTTTAAGAAGTAACAGGCTTAGAGTAATTTAGAATGTAGGGGCCAGCCATCTCCAGACACGAAAGAGGGAACCTGAGATTGACAGGTTAGATGATTTAGCTAAGGCATGCTCCTGCTTACAGAGTCCAAGTTTTCAGACTTCCATTTATGTGTGCATTTATTATGTCAGAATATGGTTTATGAATTGTAAGAAATAAGTTGCAGAAGAAAGAAAGGACATTTTAACTATACCATAAATGGTGTCAACTGCCATTAATCTGATAGGAAGATCCAGATTAAAGTTTCAGACCCTGGAGACTGGAAAGGGTTCAGAGCTGAAAGAATGTATAGTGTATCTGTCCTTACTCTGTGATATGATGAGAGGCAAAAGATGGCAGTTTTGACGGAAATCAGAGCTTTTCTTCTCAGATACTGAGGGTTAGTTTGTGAACTTCTGTTTTTTGGCCATCATGTTTTGAGCACCTGCGGAGGAAATCGTGCTCCCTCAGCCTCAGCTAGTTTAAGGACTGTGCTGATGGGAAGCAGAAGCAGCTCCTTGTGCCCTCTTAGTAAACAACACAGATTCTCACTTCAATAACTGATGAGTCTGTTCTGTTGTCTCTCAGTCCCCTTGTCAAAACCACTGATCTGGATTGCTCTACAGAAGCTGCTTTGCCCCTCTCTTCTCATGATCATGGAGGAGCTCAGTTTTAATACCGTCGTTTGTGTCTGATACACTTAGGCAGCAGTTCCCTCATGGACCTTTTAGATCAAAAATGAAACTATAGTACCTTAAGAAGCTTTTAAAGGAGACATTCTGTTACTATTTGGGGAAGAATAAAAAGGCAGTATGATATAGCGGAAAGAGTTCTGATTTTGTGGTCAAGAGACCCAGAGCTTAACTCTGCCACTAATTGGTTTGGTGAACTTGAGCTAACCTTTAACTCCTGTGGGTCTTTTTATTGTCATCTGTGAATTGGGGGACAAGATGATCTCCAGGGGCTGGATTTGCAGTCCCTATCAAGTCTATATTGAAGGGTTTCATTTTTAGAAGAGTAGCTCTTTAAACTATCCTATAAATTAAATATGACACCAGAAATAGCAGTGACAAATGGAGAATTTTCCTAGGGAAGCCAGTTATGATAGGCTACAGAAAACTTTTTAAAATAAAAACTTTTTATTATCACACAGTAGGAATGCCCTCCAAATAAATTGATAATTTCTGTTTTACAATGTGGGAATCTGAAAATATCTAGAAAATTAGAAGCTTTTAAAAAAAATTATAGAATCTGCTTCCAAAGATCAAAAGAAAACAAAACAATGAGTCTATAACTAAGGTAATTTAGATAGATGTGGATTTCATCTGATTAAGTTTAATTATAAATTGTATCTGAATTATCATAGACTAATACTATAAATAAACATTTGGTTGGATATCAGTCTTCCATTTTGCCTTATGTATTTATGCTACATTAATTGGTTTCATTAATACCATTTAATTGATCATAACTTGTGTTACTGCCACCCTGATGGTAAAAGGAGCCTTTACAGCTGTGTACATGTAGGGACATGGTACCACTTTCACAGCTTTGCTGGAAACACTATACTGATTTCTAAATATCAGACATAGCTTATTTAGAACAAGTGAGTTTGTTTTCATAAAATGTAGGGCAGCAGTAACAGTAATTACTGTCCTGATATAATGATGCTAATCTTTTATCATCATCATCTGAAGTGAATGATAAAAGCATGTTAAATTGAATCTCCTTTCTAACTTGTGTTATGCAGCCATTATAGGTCCTGGACCACTTAGGAGATAACTGGGCTGTTCCTTATTCTTTGTGGTAGTGGCAGATATTCAACTTGAGATTTAAAATCAATATTACCAGTCAGAGTTGTGTGTGTTTAAAATATGTTGTCCACCAGCTCAGACCAGTAATTGGTGAGAAAGCGGTGTAAGGGATAGGTGTTTTTTCATGCAGAATAGCTTTTTAAAAGATCATTTCATCAAGATTTAAATGTAAGCAAGCAGAGAAATTTTATAAAAACATCCACTAGATGGCATCTTGTAATTGTGTTTAGCATTATCCTGAAGCATTCTTGACTAGAGGGTATAATTGGAACAGGTTTTTATTTTTTTCTCTGAAGGTTGGTTGTTCATGAATATATGGATTCATATATACTTTAAAATAATCTTAAGTGAAAAATTTTAACCAGTCATTTTGTCATACTGCCCACTCATCATAGGAAACGTTTCTAGAACATTCCTGATATGTTCTCAAACATAGCATGACATTGGTAACCTGTACTAATAACATTGGGAAACTTGCTTTCATAACCATTTTACATTCTTAATTTTATAAAAATATGGAAAGCATAGAAAACTGGTCCCCTGCTAGAATATCCATTAGTTAGAAAATAAGCTTTGGTATTTTGCTTTGGTAGGGCATTGTGCTTGTGGCAGAGATACAGATTATATTTCTGGTGTGGTTCCAAAGTTCTTTTAAAGTTCTAAGAACCACTGACCTTGATCCTCTGAAAAATTTCTTAGTGTTGAATTTATTTTTCAAATACAGATGCTCTTTGACTTAAAATGGGGCTACATCCTGATACACTCACTGTAAGTTGAAAATATCCTGTCAAAAAATGCGTTTAATACATCTAACCTTCCAAACATCATAACTTAGCTTAGCCTGCCTACATGCTCAGAACAGTTATATTAGCCTACAAGTGGGCAAAATCATCTAACAGAAAGCCTATTTTATGATAGTGTTGCATATCTTATGTAACTTATCGAATACTAAAAGTTTTTCAAGCATGTTTAAGCTAGGTTAGGCTATGATATTCAGTAACTTGGGTATATTAAAGACATTTTCCACTAATTATATTTTTAAGTTACTTGTAAGTTGAGAAACATCTGTATTAACAAGCTAACAATCTTATTCTTAAGTGCATACAAATTTACCAATGATTTGGTTAATCTCTTTAGCCTATTAGTATTTTTAAAAGCTTATTGTTTACGGAACTATAAGTATACCCCAACGTCTTCTTTTTTGATTTTTGAATTATTTGTATTTTAAGTTAAAGAAAAGCTAGAAAATAGAATTACCAAAAAGAAGAAAACCTCATCCATAATTTTATCACAGAGAAATAATGTCGTAAACAATTTAGCATTCATTCTTTCAGGCTTTTTTGGTTTATGTGTATATAAGCACATATTTATTATGTATTTTTTTAAAGGAATCAGGCTCTTATATTCTATGCAACCTTTTTTCCCACTTATCTTCAGTGTCTTTTTATGCCAATAAATGCATTTTCATGGAATTCTTAGTCACTATAAATTGTTACATTTTAACCAAGCTCCTGCTGTTTATATTTTGCCCCCCACCCCCATTTTTTCTCTACCCACAGATTTTTGACATGCAGAGATATTTCTTTACCTAAGGGTATTTAGTGAGGAGAGCACTGGATTAAAGCAGCATAGGTCAACCTAGCACAACATCTGGTTAATAGTAGGTTCTCAATAATATTGAATGAATTTTTTACTTTTTTTGGTTACATGAGTTTAATGGTTAGAAGTTATTATGGGCCTAGCATGGTGGCTCAAGCCTATAATCCCAGCACTTTGGGAGGCAAGCCGAAGCAGGAGGATTGTTTGAGCCCAGGAGTTTGAGATAAGCCTAGGCAACACAGTGAGACCTCGCTTCTGCAAAAATTTGAAACATTAGCTGGGTGTGGTGGTGCACGCCTGTAGTCTCAGCTACTCTAGAGACTGAGGTGGGAAGATCACTTGAGCCCAGAAGGTCAAGCTACAGCAGTGAGCTGTATTTGCACTACTGCACTTCAGCCTCGGCAAGAAGGGCAAGACCGTTTCTCAAGAAGAAAAAAAAAGTTGTTAATTGTAGTTTATTTCAAGTTGACTTGAATGTTTATAGTCCATGATTAATTATGATGATAATGATAGCAAATCTTCATTTGCACTTACTGCAAAGCACTATTCCAAGCAGTGTATGTGTATATAAAAATGGCTTAATCCTCACAATGAAATAGATACTGTTATTATCCTTCCTTTTACAAATGAGGATGCCAAGGCACAGGGAGGTTAGGTTTCTTGCCCAAGATTACACAGTTTGCAGCTAATAATTTATAGATGCGGGTTTACAAATTCAGGAAAAAAGAGAGTTCACAGTTAACATTTGTGTCAAATCGCATGAGATATGAAGCATAGACAAAGTGAAATTAAGCAGGATGGTCTAGGATTTCTTTCAAAGTCATATTTAAGGGCTTCATTAAAAAAAAAAAAAGCCAAAGATTTGTGTAGTTCTTTTGAAATGGCGTCTGTGCCATTTTCTTATTGAATATAAGATCGCAAGTTGTAAAGTTTGTAGTCTAGATAATAGAGATTACAGTTATGTTTGACACCGTACATATCTTACTTTGACACAGATGATACATAATTTTTAATTTGTATGGAATTTACATATCATGGTAATAATTTAATGCATATTACCCAAAATTCAGGCTCATAGAGTTTTCTGGGCTTGAGTCGCATATTTTCTCAGCTTTGTCCAGGTCCTGCTGTGCTGAATATGGAAGCTGTGTGGTTTCCCAGCAGCAGAGCCATTGATCTAATGAACATTTATTAAGCACCTAATATATGCCAGGCACAACAATAGCACTGGGCATACAAAGATAAATAAAATATCACCTCTTCAAGAAGACATAGTGTGTGGCTAGCAACATTGAAAAGATCCATCCCAGAAACAACAGGATTCTGTTAAAGTGCTTGCTTACTTGCTTTAGGATTGTTTCTTTATAAAATGGAAAAAATAAAACATGAACAAACAGAACCAGAAAGGGATTAGTACAGTCCAGGCTTTCTCTTTCCTCTGAACTTGTACTATGGGGGCTTTATAAAAAAGCCCCTCTCATCTTGATGTCGTAGTACCTAAAATTCCTTCATGAAGACTCATTAAAAATTACTCTTCCCCAAAGCCATATTTTAAAATGAGTTTTAATTTATTATGTTACTTAACCCTTGTTGTCTCATTGGGAAAGCCCAGCCTATGACAACCTGGAAGGACTCAGAACTGGCATTTTAAAACAGAAAGTCTATCAGCAATGAACAGCTTCAGTAAGAAAGCAGGGTCTGAGTCCCTGGGATCAGGGAAGGCTGGGAGGAACAAGTGTTCAGTGTGAATGTAATTCAGGATTTCAGATACTTCCTGCTGAGCCCATAAGTGTTACTGTGGCCAGAAGGCTGTCAGACTTTGACAAGTGAGCCCTATTTTTGGATGATGGAGAAGCAAGCCAAACCTTCCTTACTGGCCACATGGGGCTTTTTGGTTCTTAGGAATGTCTGGAAAAGCTCCTCACAGACCAAAGTCGAAGGATGGCATAAATGAACACATCTGGCTTCCCTGTTTTACCTAGAGCTACTCCTGAGTTGGACTTCTTTATCACCGCTTACGAGTACCTCTTTACAAAGCCAATATTCCAAAATCCAAATAGGATTTCAGAAGCCCCATATTTCTAAGAGGAGGCCAAGGGGTGTAAGTGGTAGTAGACATGCAGAAAGTAAGGGTGAAGTGGTTTCCAAGTAAAATGAGGTTGTTGATTGACTTGAAGAGGTGACAGAGCCAAATTTATGAAAGCATTAGGGTTTCCCATACCTGACAGTATGGCTTGTTGGAAAAAGGAGCAGAAAGAGGCTGAGTTTTCTGTCAGAAACCACTGAAACCACTATTTATGTAATATTTATGGGAGACCATGTGTGATTCAATTGAATTGCTCTGTCTCGCTATAGCAGTTTTTAAAAGCTTCTTCGATTGTTGACCGGTCCGTTAAGACATGCTGCCCATGTAGATAAGGAAGACACTCAAGTTTCAACATCCACACTAAGTGATCATGAAGTTCTTATGGTTTAAAAAAGTTCAGATTTACAATTCCATGTAACCTTTCATTAATTAAACAGATTGGATCTTTGTTACTCTTCTGAAAGTTTTAGAATTGCACTTCATGTTTTAGAAATGACTCATCAGCTTTGCATTGCTCTGCTGACTGGAAAGCCTAAACTTGCAGAAGTAGTGTTTTTCACTGGATTTTGGAGTGTGCCTCTTTACGTGTGTTGTACCATGGTGGCCCAGCATAGAGGGTATAGCGATTGACTCCCTTCCTGTAATGCTTTTCAAAATGACACCTGAATGGTGGAAGCCCTGATGGTAGTGCTGATAAATAATGCTTTAGAAACCTGTTTTAACAAAATTAAGCCAATTTGGATAGCTTATAAGTAATCAACACAAATAGACACAGAAATATTAATGGAAGGTTTATGATATCAGGATTGTTAGCAACCAGAGGTCACGTAGAAAATATTTACGTCCACCAAGGATGCCTTAAGCATATAGTAGATGAGTCTTGTATGTTCCTGGAAATAGATGGGGAAAGGTTTAGTTAATAATGGTGTTATGAAACGTCTTTTTTAAGGAGTCTTAAATTATTTTTAAAATTCAAATTTATATAGTGCAGTGATTTTCAACTAGGGATCAATTTAGAGCAGTGATTTTCAACTAGGGATCCCACAACCCTACAAGGAGTGTTTAGAAATTCGTGGGACATTATTTGGGGAAATGCCACAGTCTGGGAGTGGGTGTAGGGGTCAAAGGGCAGGGAAGAGCCTAGATATATGTTAACTCAGCAGGAAGTGAAACAGCCTTGCCAAGTAAGGAACTATCTCACTCAAGATGCCAAAAGCTTCCTCACTGAGAAATGCTGATTTTAGAGTACCGGATATTACTGTAAGTTAAGCCTAACCAGAGAAGTAATTGGAAGTGTCCGCCCTTTGGACTCTGAAGATGCATATCATATACTGAGAGAATAAAGTAGAATTTCCTGTAGAAATTCTGGAGATTTCCACACTTACTATTTTATTAAGGTGAACTACCTTGTGGATAGTTTTACTCAGTTGCTTAACTGAGGGTAAATTTTATTTCTCCCTGTCAGTAAAGCTAGCAACAGGGGGGCTATAAATATAAATTTCCAGAATCTTACACCTGCTGACCATAAAAGTCAGTCTAGATCACTGGGGAAGCTGCACCAAAAGCATGTTTTCAGCAGCTACTGATAAAGCTAACATGAAATAAAATCACACACATTCAACGTGCTTCATAACAGTGCAGTGTAATGAAATCCAGAGGCCAATTGATAGTAAAAATCAGGTGTTGTAAAAGTGTACTTCACATAAAACTAATTTGATTACTCTTTTTAATAGCAGATGTAGAATAAATTCATGAAGATGTTAGGAACATGGGTAGGGTGAGTGAGGTTCGAGGAAGGAAAGACGACTTAAGTTGTTGGGAACTTTTCTTATGGAAAGAACATTTAATAGTTTTTCCAGTGTTATTGAGGTTATGGATGATTCACTATGATTTCTTAAGCTGTCTCTGACATTTTCCCCAAGTTATTTCTAAGACAGTTCACTCGTTCATTCATCACTAAGAATTTGTTCTTTGTAGTAGGTATGCTTCTATTAAGTGTGGAAGACAAACCTGCAAACAATAAAACCCCTGTCGAAGGTGATAATGTCACAGTAGCTGTGTAGATAAAATACTGTGGGACCGAAGGGTCTACTCCAGCAAACCAACTCCAGCTTCTGATCATAATGGGGCAATCACTTAAGATACCTAGAAATGAGATAAAACAGTATTTCTGCTCTCCCACTAGATTCCATAACATTGGTTAATAAGCTAGGATGACTCTGGTATAAACAAACAATAGAAATTTAAAGTTCATTCTTAATTAAGATATGATATGTTGAGAGTCTATTTTATTCCCATGTATGTAGTCAAGTAAATGCTTCACTTCTAAATACTGAAACTATAAGATGTCCCACAGTAATTGAATTACAGACAAAAAGGCTCATTTGCTGCAGTTGCAGTAATTATGTGGTGAAGCAGTTAATTTTGAACAAGTGTGAAAAGATGTCACGTTGTCACAGAAAGGATCAGAAAGAGAAAATCACTTTCCACTGCAGCATATTGATCTGATACCTCAGAAGCCTGATACTTTGTCCTCCATTAAATCATGTTTAAAATATTTGATTTTAAAATAACTTATTGACTTTCTTTTTTGTTTGTAAAATAAGACATGTTGAATGAGAATAACACCAAAATGCATGGAGACAAAAATATCAGTCAATGCATATACCACTCCATATCTGTTGTGAACATTTTATTGTTTGTCATTTCAGCATGTTTACTAGGCATAAACATAGTTGAACAGTTTCTTTTCTTTTTAATTAGAATTATGGTACATAAATGTTACTGTAAATGCATTTAATGGAAAATATTTTTATTGATTGATTTTGCCATCAAATTCCTATGCCTGCCCTTGTTAGAGGTCCCCCCTGCTTCCGATTTTAGTGTTTTATTTGATTTCACAAAGATGGTGGGATTCAAGGTGTGATGTGGTGTAAACTTGTACTTTTTAGAAATAGATACTTCCTCATATGTTTGCCATGTATCATAAAATTACTGCCCTTTAGTAGGATGGGAAGCATAGTTTTCTTTTTCAGGGAAAAGAAAATAGCTATTTTGCTAGAGAAGGAAAACTTCAGGGTATTATAAGGATTTATTTGTGATCACATTTGCCTGATGCTGATAGATGCAATGGTATACACATTGCTTGTTTAGATTGTCGTTCTTTTATTCTGCTTTCTTAACTTTGCTGCAGATGCTCTTAGTCACTGCATGTTCACATACTGGAGTGGTTAATGCTCCTTTTAGAAGCTAAGTTATCAGGCTGTCAGTCAAGAATGTACTAACTGCTGACTTTATGGATGCGTCCCAAAAGTTAGATTTGGCGTTAGAGGTCACATTCATACAAAACTCTGTTTTATGAGAGCAACGAATACTTTATGGTCCAAGTGCTGTTGGCAATTTTCCAGTTTCTATCTATGTGTCTATCAGCTCTACACTTTGTAGAAAGTAGGCATGCATGTGCCTGCACATGTGTTAACCTTAAAAGCATAGTTCTTTTCCATGAAAGCTGCTTTATTTTTTCTTACCCAGAAAGATTCTATTGTGGTAATGGTAACTTCTAACCCAGGATTATACATCTTCCTTAGGCTTCAGTTAAATCCTACTGTTGCTCTCTACTAACTGAACTTTAAGTTATCAAAAATAAGAGCCTTCCCATTATTTTACTATGTCAATATCTGTTGTTACCTCCCTGCATTAAAAGACCCCAGATGGAAAATTGTCTTTCTAAATTCCCTTCAGCAATACCTATTGCAGGTAAGAAACTATTTTTTAACAAATATTATAATGTGGTTGCTATTTATCTTCTCTAACTGTTTAACATGAACCATGGAGATGACGGATATTTTATTGTTTTAAAATAAGCTTGTTTCATTCTACATATCATCATTAGACTTTTGCCTTAGCAGTAAGTATGAAAGGTTAAGAAATAGATTCCATTTTTAAATAAAAAACTTAAACTATGTTTCAGTTTAAGGTCTTCAAAATTTTTCCCATAGTTGCGATATTTTTTTTCTGAGGTAATAAGCCCTGTCCAAGGAGATGCTGAATAACTCTCTAATAATGTCCAACAATGTCTGACATCACAGAGAAGGAATTGAGAGGGTCTCCCAGGTAGTCAAATGGATGCTGTTGCTATGGTAAGTTCCTACGTCACCATGACAAGCAGAAATATCCAAGGAAGCAGCAGTGGCGGAGCAAAGGCAGCCACTTCTAGCCTGGCAACTAAAAGCTGAAAACTCACATGACTGAATTTCAGGGAACAGTTTTCCCATAGTTGAGAGTGGGGTGCCTAACTGAATCATCAATGTCAGCTATGAACAGTAAGAAAAATGCCTTTGTAAGATCAAAGATAGATACTGTATTTGGAATTTGTTCAGGAAGAGTAACTTTGCAATTGCAAATATACTTTTAACTGCAGTATTTGTTATCTGTCTTCGAAGGAGAGCTGCATGTTGATAGGCCACTTCCTGCCTTTCATCTTTTTTTTCTGATTGTAGGCAAAGTGGGTGCGGGGAAGCAGCACCGTAGAAGTGCCAGTCCTTTTTTAAGAGCTGTTTTAAAACATGGACAACTGAATTACATATTTTAGAAAGTAGAGTTGGTTCTGAAGAAATGCAATTTTGTGGTAATTTTGTGGTAGGGTCACTATGAATGGCTTCCAAGAGACTTCTGCCAAATAATAGCAGAGGTCAACAGTATAATCTATAGAGAAACTAGAGAACAGAAAATAAGAATGTATTAGTTTTAGGAGCCAGGGTGTTATATAGACTGACAGGAGGCTGCCAGGATCAAGAAACAAGTTTTAAGAGAATAGGAAGCCCATCTGATAGGAGACAGTATCCATGAGAGTAGACACTGATTTGTCAGTTTGACAGGTTCTTGTTCGTGGAATCAGCATAAAGTTACCTTGATCCACTTTAACTTGAGGGTGTTTAATCAGGTGTTTGGTATAACGAATGTTGAGGGTAGTAATTTGGGGCCACATTAGGCTATTTGCAAAGTCACACTTGAATAGCCTTAACCAAGATGATTTTTCTAAATGAAATTGAAGGAAGCAAAGGGGAGGAAACTCATCAAAGGTTGCTGAAAATTACATGTAGAAGATACGCTATTCCCTTTCCTTCTCAGCCTTCATTTTTCTTCATCAGCTCTCGCCAGTGATGCATCTGTGAGAGGATAATGCAGGCTATCCTGCCATGAGTAATGGACCTTGATTTCCACTTTTCTGATTGCTTGCTATCTGCTGTAAGTAATGCCTTACAGGCATTCTCCCTGTGTCCTAGAGCATTTTAACTAATACTCTATTTGGGCAGAAGTCCCAATAACCACATAATTTTTCATTCAACTTTTCTAATTTTTGTCTTTATTGATTTCCAGTAAAACTCTCAGTGCAGATTTTTGCACGTTTGTTTTGTAACCACAAGGTTTTTTGTTGGTATGTACCTTTTCTTTGTGATATTCTTTCCTTTGAGAATAGCAAGGAACCCTGAGAATTGTTAGATTGTTCTCAAAATAGATCACTTCTTGTCTGCTCCATTCGGCTGTGACTTCTCTCATTAGGATAATAGAATAAAATTGCCCTTAAGAAGCTTTTCCTTTATTGATCCAGTTCATTTCAGAGGCGGAAAGTGAAGAAGAAACTAAGAGTCCTTTTTATTATCTTATTGTAAATAAACCTGGCCATTTTTACTCTTAAAAACAATACTGTACTCATTTTACTCATACTAATAGTACAAATTCAAGTAATCTCAGTTTTATAATTTAATAGGAAAATACGTAAATATGTGTGTGTGTTTATGTGCAAAATGTTTAGTTTTAACTTACCCTCTTGTGGATTCACTTTTACAGATCATTAAATTGGTGAGTTTAGATCAGTTCTAACATTGTACAGTTTTATCTGTGATTCCCAATGTATGCTTCATAAAATCTCAGATCTAGAAATAACCATAAGAGAAACCTTCTGGTTTTCCTTTGTCTGTTTGAGCAGTAGTAGATTTAATATAAGAAGAGCTGTCTGTGTTTTTTGTTGTTCTTGTTTTTTGTTTTTTTTTTTCTTCTGGTGAATTTCTAAGACTATAAACCTGTGGTGATTTTTAAGTAGGAAAGTTTTTAAAACTGTTTTGGAAGATAGTTGAAATAGTGACAGTAGTTGTCTGGACTTTGCAGTATCAATAATTTAGCACTTTTAATGGTCAAGGACAGACCCCTCTTTCCACTAGTCATGTCTAGGGGCACTTGAACTCCCCATTGATTTTTTCATCATGGAGGAGCCTCTCAGTGTTCCAGGTAGTTCTTCCCTGAGCACACGAATGGTTGGATTGATGTGAGGAGGCCCACAATTTAAAGGCCCAGGTTTGGCCATGTTTATTACTTGTCTGAGCTGCAGACAGTTGTGGTGTTCACATTTTCTAGTGTCATAGGCAGTTTTGCTCCAGATTCTGAATAAATGCAAAAGTAGGGCTAAGGTGGTTTAGTCCTAACCAACCCGTTAAAGGTCCAGATCTCCTAATTTCTGAAAGTTTAACATCTCCATAATAAATTATGCACTGAATTGTGTCTAAAATAAAAAATTTATATTTATTAAGGGCCTCTATGGCTTTGCTTTGAGGACATTAGAAATTGACTTTTTTTAAGGAAAAAAATGTTTTTCAATATACTTTCTAAATAGATGTTGGGAATTCTTATTAAAATGTTGGAGAAGTTATTTTTTCCTTAGTACAGAATTCTAAGAAAGCACATCAGAAATGTTTAAAATGTCAGAAGTTAAAAAACAACTTAGTGACGGCTTACAAAATTCAGCTTTAAGCCAATTTTCAAATCATAGAATCCAGCGTTAATTAATAATGGAGGGCAGTTTGCATAAACTGGGAAAAACAGGGAGTGAGACAAATATACAAAACAGCTGTTACAGTTTTTCTTAAGACTCAGCTACACAGTTAAGTTTCTTTTTTTTTTTTTTAACGAGTATAAAGGCTCTGTGAAGGCCCGCATAGCTGATATATTGTGTCTTTATTTTTCTTGTAGAGAATGGAGAGGGGGGAATGGAGAACTTATAGACAGAGAAGCGGGGAATGCAGGACAGCCTGGCCCCTGCTGGAGATAAGGAGGTAAAATCATAGCATACAGTGGTAATAACAGGCCTTCATGGTCATCTAGCCCAACTTTTTGATGCTTGAAGACTCTCCACAGTTTTTCAGCTTCATCAGTTGCTAATTTTGTCTTGAACCGGCCTGACATTGGATCTATTTTTCCTTTTGTGAGGTGAAAGCCAGGACTAGACACTGGTCATTTTTACTCTGTCTGGTACCATTATTGGTCCCATAGTTCACTACCCAAAAAGTGCTCTACAAGCAACAGAAAATGAATATGGAAAGTACAAAATGGTCCGGGCACGGTGGCTCACACCTGTAATCCCAGCACTTTGGGAGGCCAAGGTGGGAGGATCACCTGAGGTCAGGAGTTCGAGACCAGCTTGGCCAACATGGCGAAACCCCATCTCTACTAAAAATACAAAAATCAGCAGGGCATGGTGGCACACATCTGTAATCCCAGCTACTCTGGAGGCTGAGGCAGGAGAATCACTTGAACCCGGGAGGCGGAGGTTGCAGTGAGCTGAGATTGCACCACAGCACTCTAGCCTGCGTGATGAGCGAAACTCCATCTGAAAAAAAAAGAAGAAAAATACAAAATGTTATTTACACTTTATTACATTTTATATCTGTTCCCAGATTATCTTTGACCATTTCTGTATGAATGCCACAAAATTCCAGTTCTGTTCTCTCTTCAGCATTACTTTCCTATAAAGGCCCAGCCAGTTCTTCTAGGTCAATCCTGAGGTTCCAGGAATGGCCAGTTACCTGACCTATTTCCTGTGATCACATCCCTTGAAAGTTGCTGAACCTACTTAGTCCTAAATAATAGCACAACAAATAACTGAACAGTTCTTTTCAGACTCTTTTCAATGTGTTGTTGATGCCCAAAGTAAGAGAATCCAGGTCACAGTTGGCAAAGTTTGCAGTGGCAGGAAGCTCTTGGGGAACCCAGGGTTCCTTCTTGACCGTGTCTTTGGCAGTGTGGATAAATTTAGCCATTAGTTAAGGGGTTAATAATGGGACAAATTGAGATCATCAGAGGGAGTAAAGAGAATTGTCTGAATTCTCCAATGGCTTTTATAATTGCCAAGTGTCCAGTGCTGAGAATGTTATATTATTATATATTATCTATTCCCTAATGATTTGGACCACATTTGTTGCACTCTATTACCTGCTGCCTAGTTTCCAAATGGTTTTATTATTATATAGGTTTTATCTCACCAACAAGTTCTTTATTGTTCCAACTCATATTTTATAATCACTGTCATCTCTCTTAATGCTAGTCCATTAATAGGTCCTCAAAAGGTTGATTTGGGATCAGAAGGTCTCCCTAGAGGAGTTATATATAAGAGCTATGAAAGAATTTGCCCACCTTTTAGTACAGATTTGGCAGTCATCAAAGCAAATGGCTGGGAGAGCTCAGCAAGCAGAATTCTCCTTTGACTCCTCAGTGAGCCCCTACCTTTCAGTTCAAGGGAAGCTATAATGTGATATAAAATATGTCTGATATTTGCTGTTAGATTGTGATTTTTGGTACACAGCAGACAACGACAGGTTTTCCTTATTTTTTTCCCCCTAGAATCAGGGCGATCAAGTATATTTTATTTTCTCCAGTTGGTTCTTTTTCAAATTTTCGCCTAAACTTTTATTCTTAAGCCGTATAGTAGTACATATTTTAAAATCTAGCAATACTTGGACATTTGTGAAGACCTTTATTTGGTACAAAATGTCTTTTGAATTTTTGCTTGTACTTAAAAATATTTACAATAAACACAGGAAGTTGTATGCTACTCTGAGATTATAGGGGAGGTTTGTAGAGTGCCCTTCCCTTACGTGCTGTGTTGCTTATGAAAATGACAAGCTTTCATAATATCTGTTAAACTGTAACCTGCCTATTGTGTTCAGTACAGAATGCTGAATTTAGTTAAAATGTTAAGATATGTTTGTTCCACTTCTGCCTCAGAAAAATTAGATGGAGATGTGTGTGCTCTCCATCAATAAAGCGTATTTGTTTTGAAAGATGCAGCACTCACGGGCTGTCAGTCATAACGACTTCTGAGAGTACTTTAAGAGCTGCAGCATCAATATTTACAAAATACAAAGTGAAGAAAAGTACATTGCGTCACAGACATGTGCTGTCTTGTTCCGATTCCCTCCCTCCTCAGTGTATTTAGTATAGTTAAGTCTATATGGAGGAGTATTTGAGATACGAATGGAAGTTTGGGATTCCTCTAAAGTAATTACTGAGAGGTATGAATGAAATACCAACAAGGCTTGTAAAATGGAATTACTTTTCCTCCCAAAGTAAATGTATTGATTAAAAACTAAAATCAGTGATACAATCAGATGGAAGAAAGTACCTGTGTTTAAAGTCCAGAGCCTTTATAGGCTGTGTTCCTAGTTTGCTTCTTAATGACATTATAAAGATTATGTAAATCTCTCTGAGGCGCCTCTCAAATGGGCATAATTTTACCCATTTCATGGGATTTTGTAATAATAAATGTGTGCAATAAAGGCTTTGTAAGTTATAAAGTGGTACATAGTTGGAAAGCAGCAAATAAGGTAGCCTAGGGTTTTTTAATGGCAGTACTAGCTTTTTGTATAAGAAAATATATTTGGAACTTATTAATGAAATGTACTCAAGTTGTATATTATAAAGTGCTTTATCATAAAAAATTAAAACGAATGTATTAGATATGTCAGAACAATGACTTTATTATTATATTATAATCTATCTTTGAAAAAAACTAAAAGCAGCATGGGCTCACTTTTAGCATATAGTCTCTCTTATTTATCCTGTATTCTGCCACTAACTCTTGTGGCCTGGTAAATTACTAAGTGAAAGCATTCTCTCCCTCTTGTTTCCCCAACATAATGCCATTGTGTAAATATGGAAAGGCTTGGTTAGACACTTATCACAAAGTACGTTGGAGATTCCAATTAGAAATGGACTAAATTAATGAGAAATGGTTTTAGCAGGGTTAAGAATCTTGCTTAGGGGAAAAATGATATTGTATTTGAAAATTCTTGGGTTTAACTCAATATGTGGATGGTTACCTATCCCTAAAATCAGCAAACACAATGCCTTAATGATATAAAGAGCTTCTTCAGTGATTTCCCAGGTTTATATGGTTTATGATTATTTTACAGAGTAGCTTTTTTTTGGTATTATAAAGCATTACCTTTATATTTAAATAGGATGCTAGAAAATAAAAATTTGGCCAGCAGAGGGAGCAGACTTATGTAAATTGGGCTGTAAGGAAGATACTCTAGGGTACTTCAGTAAACGTGTATCTTGTGGGTAGTGATTTACAACATTCTTGTACTGTGCATTGAGAAGAAAATTAAAGGAAGGAACTTCAGTCATATTAAAACCAGTTCTTTATGTTCTCACTTTGATGCCCCCCCCCCTTTTTTTTTTTTTTTTTTTTTTTTTGAGAAAGAGTCTCATTCTGTTACCCAGGCTGAAGTGCAATAGCATGATCACAGCTCATTGCACCCTCTACCTCCTGGCTCCAAGGCTCAGGGGATTCTCCCACCTCAACCTCCTAAGTAGCTAGGACCACCGGTGTGCACCACCATGCCTGGTTAATTATTAAATTTTTTGTAGAGACAGAGTCTGATTATGTTGCCTAGGCTGGTCTCAAACCCCTAGGCTCAAACGATTACTCCTGCCTTGACCTAACATAGTGCTGGGATTACAGACATGAGCCATGGCACCTGGCCACTCTCGTACTTTTTAAAAGAGAAAAAAGGCGAGCAAATAATACACGAATAGGAACTGTGTTTTGTTATTGTTGTTATTCTTAGACATGAAGAATCTTTTGTAAATAAATGTCATCAATTTAGTAAATTTACTGGATAAAAATAAGGTTTTAGTACTTGGCTCTGGTTGGAGCACATTCATTCTAAACACATAAAAGGAATATAAATAACACCTGAAAGAAATATAAAAGGAATTGTTAATGTTCTAAACAGAGCACTGTTATGACTGAATCATCAAGTAAGCACTTACATTTTGTATCATATATATTAAATCAGGAAAATGGAAAATATTTAACATAAAAATTTCACCCAGCATGACGCAAGTATAAAACAAACGGTTTTCTGCTCAACACTAGTTATATAGAAATTAATCAATGATAGCATCCTATGCATTCTAATTAATTTCCTTGGCAAATGTGCAGGCTGATATAAGATGATTGGATTCATGCATTTACAAGTACTATTTATTAAATACGTATATTCAAGGCAGTATTCTAAGCATTTGGGAAGGTAAAGGTAAACCACACCTACCTTTATGTAATTTGTAATTTAGTAAATGGTGAGTCTAATTCTAGTGTACCAAAGTGAAAGTAGGTGGGCGTTGCAGCAGCTAGGATAAGCAACTTCGCTAAACACTATACTACTTAAAATAAGAAATACGTATTCTTTTTTTGCTTTTGAGAAAAATATTTTTGTTTTGCAACCATTAAGATTGAGAAGTTTTGCTTTATGAAGTGAAGTCGATTTGACTGTTACTTAAGTTATTCACCATCTTTCTTACAGTAAAGAACAGTAGCTAAGGAAAAAGATTTCCAATCAGTGATACAGACTATTGATTCTTAACTAAATCATTGTTTCTGCATTGTTTTTTAAAATTATAATTAGATATCAGGATGATAGAAAACATCCAGATTTTTTAATTATTTTATTTATTTATTTATTTATTTATTTATTTATTATTATTATACTTTAAGTTTTAGGGTACATGTGCACAATGTGCAGGTTAGTTACATATGTATACATGTGCCATGCTGGTGCGCTGCACCTACTAACTCGTCATCTAGCATTACGTATACCTCTCAATGCTATCCCTCCCCCCTCACCCCACCCCACAACAGTCCCCGGTGTGTGATGTTCCCCTTCCTGTGTCCATGTGTTCTCATTGTTCAATTCCCACCTATGAGTGAGAACATGCGGTGTTTGGTTTTTGTCCTTGCAATAGTTTGCTAAGAATGATGGTTTTCAGTTTCATCCATGTCCCTACAAAGGACATGAACTCATCATTTTTTATGGCTGCATAGTAGTATTCTATGGTGTATATGTGCCACATTTTCTTAATCCAGTCTATCATTGTTGGACATTTGGGTTGGTTCCAAGTCTTTGCTATTGTGAATAGTGCCACAATAAACATACGTGTGCATGTGTCTTTATAGCAGCATGATTTATAATCCTTTGGGTATATACCCAGTAATGGGATGGCTGGGTCAAATGGTATTTCTAGTTCTAGATCCCTGAGGAATCGCCACGCTGACTTCCACAATGGTTGAACTAGTTTACAGTCCCACCAACAGTGTAAAAGTGTTCCTATTTCTCCACATCCTCTCCAGCACCTGTTGTTTCCTGACTTTTTAATGATTGCCATTCTAACTGGTGTGAGATGGTATCTCGTTGTGGTTTTGATTTGCATTTCTCTGATGGCCAGTGATGGTGAGCATTTTTTCATGTGTTTTTTGGCTGCATAAATGTCTTCTTTTGAGAAGTGTCTGTTCATGTCCTTTGCCCACTTTTTGATGGGGTTGTTTGTTTTTTTCTTGTAAATTTGTTTGAGTTCATTGTAGATTCTGGATATTAGCCCTTTGTCAGATGAGTAGGTTGTGAAAATTTTCTCCCATTTTGTAGGTTGCCTGTTCACTCTGATGGTAGTTTCTTTTGCTGTGCAGAAGCTCTTTAGTTTAATTAGATCCCATTTGACAATTTTGGCTTTTGTTGCCATTGCTGTTGGTGTTTTAGACATGAAGTCCTTGTCCATGCCTATGTCCTGAATGGTAATGCCTAGGTTTTCTTCTAGGGTTTTTATGGTTTTAGGTCTAACGTTTAAGTCTTTAGTCCATCTTGAATTGACTTTTGTATAAGGTGTAAGGAAGGGATCCAGTTTCAGCTTTCTACATATGGCTAGCCAGTTTTCCCAGCACCATTTATTAAATAGGGAATCCTTTCCCCATTGCTTGTTTTTCTCAGGTTTGTCAAAGATCAGATAGTTGTAGATATGCGGCGTTATTTCTGAGGGCTCTGTTCTGTTCCATTGATCTGTATCTCTGTTTTGGTACCAGTACCATGCTGTTTTGGTTACTGTAGCCTTGTAGTATAGTTTGAAGTCAGGTAGTGTGATGCCTCCGGCTTTGTTCTTTTGGCTCAGGATTGACTTGGCGATGCGGGCTCTTTTTTGGTTCCATATGAACTTTAAAGTGGTTCTTTCCAATTCTGTGAAGAAAGTCATGGTAGCTTGATGGGGATGGCACTGAATCTGTAAATTACCTTGGGTGGTATGGCCATTTTCACGATATTGATTCTTCCTACCCATGAGCATGGAATGTTCTTCCATTTGTTTGTATCCTCTTTTATTTCCTTGAGCAGTGGTTTGTAGTTCTCCTTGAAGAGGTCCTTCACATCCCTTGTAAGTTGGATTGCTAGGTATTTTATTCTCTTTGAAGCAGTTGTGAATGGGAGTTCACTCATGATTTGGCTCTCTGTCTGTTGTTGGTGTATAAGAATGCTTGTGATTTTTGTACATTGATTTTGTATCCTGAGACTTTGCTGAAGTTGCTTATCAGCTTAAGGAGATTTTGGGCTGAGACAATGGGGTTTTCTAGATATACAATCATGTCGTCTGCAAACAGGGACAATTTGACTTCCTCTTTTCCTAATTGAATACCCTTTATTTCCTTCTCCTGCCTAATTGCCCTGGCCAGAACTTCCAACACTATGTTGAATAGGAGTGGTGAGAGAGGGCATCCCTGTCTTGTGCCAGTTTTCAAAGGGAATGCTTCCAGTTTTTGCCCATTCAGTATGATATTGGCTGTGGGTTTGTCATAGATAGCTCTTATTATTTTGAGATACGTCCCATCAATACCTAATTTATTGAGAGTTTTTAGCATGAAGGGTTGTTGAATTTTGTCAAAGGCCTTTTCTGCATCTTTTGAGATAATCATGTGGTTTTTGTCTTTGGTTCTGTTTATATGCTGGATTACATTTATTGATTTGCGTATATTGAACCAGCCTTGCATCCCAGGGATGAAGCCCACTTGATCATGGTGGATAAGCTTTTTGATGTGCTGCTGGATTCAGTTTGCCAGTATTTTATTGAGGATTTTTGCATCAATGTTCATCAAGGATATTGGTCTAAAATTCTCTTTTTTGGTTGTGTCTCTGCCTGGCTTTGGTATCAGGATGATGCTGGCCTCATAAAATGAGTTAGGGAGGATTCCCTCTTTTTCTATTGATTGGAATAGTTTCAGAAGGAATGGTACCAATTCCTCCTTGTACCTCTGATATAATTCAGCTGTGAATCCATCTGGTCCTGGACTCTTTTTGGTTGGTAAGCTATTGATTATTGCCACAATTTCAGCTCCTGTTATTGGTCTATTCAGAGATTCAACTTCTTCCTGGTTTAGTCTTGGGAGGGTGTATGTGTCGAGGAATTTATTCATTTCTTCTATATTTTCTAGTTTATTTGTGTAGAGGTGTTTGTAGTATTCTCTGATGGTAGTTTGTATTTCTGTGGGATCGGTGGTGATATCCCCTTTATCATTTTTTATTGTGTCTATTTGATTCTTCTCTCTTTTTTTCTTTATTAGTCTTGCTAGCGGTCTATCAATTTTGTTGATCCTTTCAAAAAACCAGCTCCTGGATTCATTAATTTTTTGAAGGGTTTTTTGTGTCTCTATTTCCTTCAGTTCTGCTCTGATTTTAGTTATTTCTTGCCTTCTGCTAGCTTTTGAATGTGTTTGCTCTTGCTTTTCTAGTTCTTTTAATTGTGATGTTAGGGTGTCAATTTTGGATCTTTCCTGCTTTCTCTTGTGGGCATTTAGTGCTATAAATTTCCCTCTACACACTGCTTTGAATGAGTCCCAGAGATTCTGGTATGTTGTGTCTTTGTTCTCATTGGTTTCAAAGAACATCTTTATTTCTGCCTTCATTTCGTTATGTACCCAGTAGTCATTCAGGAGCAGGTTGTTCAGTTTCCATGTAGTTGAGCGGTTTTGAGTGAGATTCTTAATCCTGAATTCTAGTTTGATTGCACTGTGGTCTGAGAGAGAGTTTGTTATAATTTCTGTTCTTTTACATTTGCTGAGGAGAGCTTTACTTCCAACTATGTGATCAATTTTGGAATAGGTGTGGTGTGGTGCTGAAAAAAATGTGTATTCTGTTGATTTGGGGTGGAGAGTTCTGTAGATGTCTATTAGGTCCGCTTGGTGCAGAGCTGAGTTCAATTCCTGGGTATCCTTGTTGACTTTCTGTCTTGTTGATCTGTCTAATGTTGACAGTGGGGTGTTAAAGTCTCCCATTATTAATGTGTGGGAGTCTAAGTCTCTTTGTAGGTCACTCAGGACTTGCTTTATGAAACTGGGTGCTCCTGTGTTGGGTGCATATATATTTAGGATAGTTAGCTCTTCTTGTTGAATTGATCCGTTTACCATTAAGTAATGGCCTTCTTTGTCTCTTTTTATCTTTGTTGGTTTAAAGTCTGTTTTATCAGAGACTAGGATTGCAACCCCTGCCTTTTTTTGTCTTCCATTGGCTTGGTAGATCTTCCTCCATCCTTTTATTTTGAGCCTATGTGTGTCTCTGCCCGTGAGATGGGTTTCCTGAATATAGCACACTGATGGGTCTTGACTCTTTATCCAATTTGCCAGTCTGTGTCTTTTAATTGGAGCATTTAGTCCATTTACATTTAAAGTTAATATTGTTATGTGTGAATTTGATCCTGTCATTGTGATGTTAGCTGGTTATTTTGCTCGTTAGTTGATCGCAGTTTCTTCCTAGTCTCAATGGTCTTTACATTTTGGCATGATTTTGCAGTGGCTGGTACCGGTTGTTCCTTTCCATGTTTAGTGCTTCCTTCAGGAGGTCTTTTAGGGCAGGCCTGGTGGTGACAAAATCTCTCAGCATTTGCTTGTCTGTAAAGTATTTTATTTCTCCTTCACTTATGAAGCTTAGTTTGGCTGGATATGAAATTCTGGGTTGAAAATTCTTTTCTTTAAGAATGTTGAATACTGGCCCCCACTCTCTTCTGGCTTCTAGAGTTTCTGCCAAGAGATCCGCTGTTAGTCTGATAGGCTTCCCTTTGAGGGTAATCCGAACTTTCTCTCTGGCTGCCCTTAACATTTTTTCCTTCATTTCACCTTTGGTGAATCTGACAGTTGTGTATCTTGGTGTTGCTCTTCTCGAGGAGTATCTTTGTGGCGTTCTCTGTATTTCCTGAATCTGAATGTTGGCCTGCCTTGCTAGATTGGGGAAGTTCTCCTGGATAATATCCTGCAGAGTGTTTTCCAACTTGGTTCCATTCTCCCCGTCACTTTCAGGTACACCAATCAGACATAGATTTGGTCTTTTCACATAGTCCCATATTTCTTGGAGGCTTTGGTCGTTTCTTTTTATTCTTTTTTCTCTAAACTTCCCTTCTTGCTTCATTTCATTCATTTCATCTTCCATCACTGATACCCTTTCTTCCATTTGATCGCATCAGCTCCTGAGACTTCTGCATTCTTCACGTAGTTCTCGAGCCTTGGTTTTCAGCTCCATCAGCTCCTTTAAGCACTTCTCTGTATTGGTTATTCTAGTTATACATTCTTCTAAATTTTTTTCAAAGTTTTCAACTTCTTTGCCTTTGGTGTGAATGTCCTCCCGTAGCTCGGAGTAATTTGATCGTCTGAAGCCTTCTTCTCTCAGCTCGTCAAAGTCATTCTCCGTCCAGCTTTGTTCTGTTGCTGGTGAGGAACTGTGTTCCTTTCGAGGAGGAGAGGCGCTCTGCTGTTTAGAGTTTCCAGTTTTTCTGCTCTGTTTTTTCCCCATCTTTGTGGTTTTATCTACTTTTGGTCTTTGATGATGGTGATGTACAGATGGGTTTTTGGTGTGGATGTCCTTTCTGTTGGTTAGTTTTCCTTCTAACAGACAGGACCCTCAGCTGCAGGTCTGTTGGAGTACCTGGCCTTGTGAGGTGTCAGTCTGCCCCTGCTGGGGGTGCCTCCCAGTTAGGCTGCTCGGGGGTCAGGGGTCAGGGACCCACTTGAGGAGGCAGTCTGCCCGTTCTCAGATCTCCAGCCGCGTGCTGGGAGAACCGCTGCTCTCTTCAAAGCTGTCAGACAGGGACATTTAAGTCTGAGGAGGTTACTGCTGTCTTTTTGTTTGTCTGTGCCCTGCCCCCAGAGGTGGAGCCTACAGAGGCAGGCAGGCCTCCTTGAGCTGTGGTGGGCTCCACCCAGTTCGAGCTTCCTGGCTGCTTTGTTTACCTAAGCAAGCCTGGGCAATGGCGGGCGCCCCTCCCCCAGCCTCGCTGCCACCTTGCAGTTTGATCTCAGACTGCTGTGCTAGCAATCAGGGAGACTCCGTGGGCGTACGACCCTCCGAGCCAGGTGTGGGTTATAATCTGCTGCTGCGCCATTTTTTAAGCTCGTCAGAAAAGCGCAGTATTCGGGTGGGAGTGACCCGATTTTCCAGGGGCCGTCTGTCACCACTTTCTTTGATTAGGAAGGGAACTCCCTGACCCCTTGCGCTTCCCGAGTGAGGCAATGCCTCGCCCTGCTTTGGCTCGTGCACGGTGCGCGCACCCACTGACCTGCGCCCACTGAATGGCACTCCCTAGTGAGATGAACCCGGTACCTCAGATGGAAATGCAGAAATCACCCGTCTTCTGGGTCGCTCACACTGGGAGCTGTAGACCAGAGCTGTTCCTATTCGGCCATCTTGGCTCCTCCCGCCTTTTAATTATTTTAAACTAAAACAACGACTAAGTCATATGAAAGAAAAATTACCTTTTAAACTTTTACCATTTTAGATGAAATTTAATATATATATATGTTTTTTTTAAAAAAAATGTATGATTGCTCTTAAAATTCAAAGAGCTAGGCCAGATGCGGTGGTTCACACCTGTAATCCCAGCACTTTGGGAGGCTGAAGCGGGCGGCTCACAAGGTCAGGAGTTTGACATCAGCCTGGCCAATATGGTGAAACCCCATCTCTACTAAAAATAACAAAAATTAGTCAGGTGTGATGGCATACTCCTGTAGTCCCAGAAACTTAGGAGGCTGAGGCAGAAGAATTGCTTGAACCTGGCAGGTGGAGGTTGCAGTGAGCCGAGATTGTGCCACTGCACTCCAGCCTGGGTGACAGAGCGAGACTCCATCTCAAAAAAAAAAAAAAATTCCAAGGGCTCTGTGTAACCTGGAGCATGGAAGATTAAAAATCAGTGTTCGGTGATTGATACAGGAGAAAAGGGAATGGATAATTATTTCTCTTCTGAGGTCAAAATTACAAATAGAGAGTCATTTTTTCTCTCTTCAGATCTGCAATACTTAGAAACTATTTCTAAGTAAATAAAATCACCAGGTGTTTTAGTTTGGCAGTTTGAATATGCTATTTGAGTAATTGTTAGGAATGTCTGAAACAGAGGGTCACAGAGCAGGGCATGGCAAGGACGGATTAGAAAAGAAGGATGGTGAACAAGGAAAAGGACTATGGGCAGGAGGAATGGACTTCAGGGAACAGTCCTAGAACTCATTCATTCATTCATTTGCCTGCAGTGCGCCCGGCTCTGTGTCAAGCCCTGGAGACACACCATGGTGAACACGATGCAGCCCCTGTTCTCTGTCACAGTTGAGTGTGATATAAAGAAGGAAACAGGTCATTTCAGTGTAGCCTATTAAGTGTAGGGTGCTGTGGAGACACCTCTCTCAGACTTGAAAGGACCAGAAGTGGCGTGAGGTGAGATCCAAGCTAAGCCCCGAAGCAGGGATAAGAGTTCCACCGGAAGGAAACAGCAGCCAGGTTCCAGGAGGTGGGAGTGCATGGCAAGCTCCGGGTGATGGCATGTGGCTCAATATGGGTAGAACTTTGAAAGTGAGAATGAGCAAAGAAACATCAGCTGTAAAGGCAAGCTGGACTAGGTCAGGAAGAGTCTTACATGTTTATGTGAAGGAAGGAATTTGGAATTTTTCATTAATACATTGAGGGACTATTAAAGAGACTCCCTTTAGGAGAAGGACATGAGCAGATATTTGTTGAAAATTAAAGTCAGCAAAGCTATAGGTAAGAAGATCAGACAGCTGAACCAACCTTGTGGGGCTGGAGAGGAGTAGACTCTTTGTAAGAGGTAGAAGGGACAGATTTTTGAGAGATTAGATGTCAGGGTGAACAGCTGATTGCAGTGATTTCAGTTTATGAAGAGAAACTTGCAAAGAAAGATAGGCTTTCCAGATGCTTATGTGAAGGGAAGGGATGTCTAGTTTCTATTCACCAGGCTCTGACATAACTCCACAAGGGTATGGTGGAGGCAGAGGCCTGGCCCAGACAAGATATTTTCTCGAGAGGATAGAAATTAAAGACATGTGAGTCATAGTGAGGTAGAGAAGCCAGAGGTGATAGACATGTTGGAACAATTTGTAAGTTCTTTCTAGGAAACTAATCCTGAGGTTTAGAAGCAAGAATATTAGGAACCAGGTCACTTAGTGAAGCACATCGTTGGGTGTGGAGGCTGTGAACAAATGACACTATCAAGCAGCCTGGTTCTTGGATCCTAGCTGCATTAGGCAGTACCATAGCCTAAGGGCTAGAGGCCAGTTTGTACAAAGAAAGAGGACTAGCTAAAGGAGAGTGAGAATTCAGGCAGGTCTTTAGACTTGAGATTGTGTATAGACTGAAGGAGTAGAATAAACTATTGACAGTTCATCAAAGTAACTAAAAGACTAATGGCTCAGGATAACTGGAGGGAAACATATAGATTGGGAGTGTGGTGAGGGAAGGAGTTGACCTTGAATCTCTACCTTTGAAAGAAAACAGAAGAAGAAAATAAACTTTGAAAGTGGCAGGGAAGATGAGAATTTGGGAGGGTTCAGGAAAATTAACACCTTCTTGCTAGTTAAGCAGGAGGCAAAGGTATTTTCTTTCATCATCATTATTATTATTATTATTATTATTATTATTATTATTATTATACTTTAAGTTTTAGGGTACATGTGCACAACGTCCAGGTTTGTTACGTATGTATACATGTGCCATGTTGGTGTGCTGCACCCATTAACTCGTCATTTAGCATTAGGTATATCTCCTAATGCTATCCCTTCCCCCTCCCCCCACCCCACAACAGTCCCCGGTGTGTGATGTTCCCCTTCCTGTGTCCATGTGTTCTCATTGTTCAATTCCCACCTATGAGTGAGAACATGCGGTGTTTGGTTTTTGTCCTTGCGATAGTTTGCTGAGAATGATGGTTTCCAGCTTCATCCACGTCCCTACAAAGGACATGAACTCATCATTTTTTATGGCTGCATAGTAGTATTCTATGGTGTATATGTGCCACATTTTCTTAATCCAGTCGATCATTGTTGGACATTTGGGTTGGTTCCAAGTCTTTGCTATTGTGAATAGTGCCGCAATAAACATACGTGTGCATGTGTCTTTATAGCAGCATGATTTATAATCCTTTGGGTATATACCCAGTAATGGGATGGCTGGGTCAAATGGTATTTCTAGTTCTAGATCCCTGAGGGATCGCCACACTGACTTCCACAATGGTTGTACTAGTTTACAGTCCCACCAACAGTGTAAAAGTGTTCCTATTTCTCCACATCCTCTCCAGCATCTGTTGTTTCCTGACTTTTTAATGATCACCATTCTAACTGGTGTGAGATGGTATCTCGTTGTGGTTTTGATTTGCATTTCTCTGATGGCCAGTGATGATGAGCATTTTTTCATGTGTTTTCTTAGAGTGACAAGGATTGCAGGGGAAGGGCAGTATGGGGACATGATTGAAAGCTCAGGCTCTAGGGAACGGAAGACCTTGTTTTCATTCCTGGTCCCATCATGTGCTGGCAGAGTGGCCTTGGGCATGCTGCTTAAGGTTTGTCATTCTCAGTTGCTTTATACTTAAGGTATATTCATTGTAGGATCTTTCGCCTAGAGTTGTATTAAGGATTAAAGAAATTAATTCATGTAAAGTGTTTAGCATGTAGCAAATGTTCAATAAAATTTGTGATGATGAAGCAATATTGTATAATGGTCAAGAACCAGACTGTGAAGCCAGACCGCTGAGTTCAAATATTAGCTTCACCAATTTCATGCTAGTAGTGTGATTTATAAACATAATTCATAGCTCACCAAGTGCTCAGTAAATATGTATTCAACTGCATTGACAATAAATATGGAGACTCCATGAACTTGTCTTCCTGTGCTTTGAGTTCTTGCCAATGTCATGCTTATGTTCTACCCATTTGACGAATGGATACAGTAAAAACCTTTGTTAATTTATACACTAAAGGAAGCAAAATATGTTATCTCTGCCTCAGGTTTCTCATCTGTAAAAAAAAAAAGGGGATAATAGTACCTACCTTTTAGGCTTATTGTAAGTTAAGAGAGTTAATAGATATAATCTCTTAGCTCTGGTACATAGGAAGCATTATATATGTCTAGCTAGCATTGTCACATTTATCCCTGCTCACCATCATCAGTAGGAGTTGAGAAACAGAATTTATAATGGGCACGGTGGGATTGACTATGTAACTGAGTAAGACAAGTAAAAAGGATAAAAGTAAAGAACAAGTGATAAAGCACTTAGGACCAACCTGAGATTGAAAACTTTTGTAGTAGGGTCAGAACACAGGAGCAGCCAGAAACCTGGGGATAGACCTGAGAAGAAAAATGGTTGGAGAAGTTTAGAGTTAGGGTTTATTACTGGACCATTTGTGAAACTATAAGAGAGCCAGTGAGCTGAAGGTATAATAGTACGCTGTTTTGAGAGAATAATGAAAGTCATTGACAAATAACCAGAGAAAGGAATAAAGGAACATGTTTTAGACAGCTGTTTGAAAGTGACTTTGATTTTATTGTATTTATTACATTGCCTTGTCAATTTGCTTGTTTCTTTTCTCTCTCCTTTCCCATCCAAACAACCTTTCCTGGCTTCTTATTTCTTCTTCTCTGCATATTTCAAGCCTTTTGTCCATTCTGCCTTGTAGCAAAACAACATAAAGAAACGCATAATAAGAAAACAGAGAAGTATTGTTTCTATGTTCAATTCTCCACATATTCACTGAACATCTATTCCCTGTCTAGCACAGAAATCTTTGCTCTGACAGATCCAAAAAAAGCATCTGGCATGTTCATTACCCTCAAGGGTCTCTGTGGGAGGAATTCACATGAAATCATTATACATACATTGTACAGGAAAATGATAATTGTCATACAATCAAGTGTCAAAAATTATGGCACAGCCATTAAGTGTTGCAGTGATCAAAAAAGGTGCTCAGAAAGGAGAGAGACATGAGCTGAGGCAAACACAGCCTTTTAGAAATGGATGTTCAGAGAGGCCTTTCATAGAGAGGGAGAATGGGGGTGTGGGGGACGGTGTGCAGGCCTGGGAGAGCAGAGAAAGGACTGCGCAGAAGCATGTGGCGGGTGTGGAGAGCAGGTCAGGCACCAGCCCAGCAGGAGGTGAGTTGAATGGGAGGTAAGACTGGACACTTAACCCTTCCAGAGCATAGCTCAGCAGGTGATCAATACGTATGTGTTCAGCTGCATTGAGAGTAAAGGAGGAGGAGACACCCATGAGCTAATCTTCTTGTGTTTCAGCTTCTTGTCAATGTGATCATTATGTCCTAGCCATGTAATAAGTGCATATAATAAAAACCTTTGTGAATTTGTAAACTGAAAGAGGCAAATACTGTTTTGTTAGGTCCACTGAAGAATAGAAATTTGGTGACTTTTTGATTAAGAATGTAAACACCTCTGTAAAATTATAGGAAAACAGAAGGTTGCATTTTTGGAAGGTGTGGTGGGGAACATAGTCCTAGCTTGCTACTGACTTCTCTATGTATATAGCTTTTCCTCCTCAAGCCACCTCTTTGGATGCCTTGTCTCTTTCAAGGTAGCTTTCGTCTCTGTTTGTAGCCTAGAACAGCATTCCATTTGAGAACCATGTTAAGCTGTCCCAAGGCTAAGTGTCGTGGAGTGCAGGTATTAGAGATCTTAAAACTACATATTTCTTTATGAGTTAAAGGCAGAGGGACCAGAACTGCCAGTACAGCTAAGCCCTTCTTTGAATAGTGGGTGCCTTATTAGTATTCATGAAGAGCATATCGATAACATCTTGACAGAGTTAAAGTTTCAACTTGAAGAGCTACTGCTTTTCAATAAGGAGCATATTTAAAGACACTTTTTGCATGACTAGTGAGTGAATTGCTTCTAAAATGAGAGTATTACTTTATTGAATGAGATATTTTTCATGTACTTTGTCTACAGTTTAGAATTGTCATTAGAATTACAAGAAATAATAATGATTAGCACTTGTAGGGCTTTTATCTTCAAAGAGTTTTAGAGTTAATCTAATTTAATTGTCACTTGGCATCATCAGAGATGTGTATTTGCTTTTCTACCATGAAAAGTGGTGTTCCCTTACCAGCCCCTTAATGCTTCCTTTTGGTATTTTCATGGTCTATGAGCTGTTTGTTCTATAGGAAATAGAGAGTTGGCAGATTGAAGAGCTTTGTATTATAGCTCTTTTTCCCAGGTAAGCATTTGGGTTCTTTGAGCTGGGTTTCCTGGGTCCAGTTCTGGTTCCTCTACTTGCCATGTTATCCTGTGCATGTTACTTAACCCTGTTGCTTTAAGTGGAATTCATCACAGTAACTGCATCAGAGTGTTTTTGTGAGGATTAAATGAGAAGGTAAATATGTAGCAGTTAAATATTTAATAAATGTTAGTTGCATATCAGAATTTTAAAAAAAATTTAGGAGCATGTCATTCTGAGAAGTCATATGTGGTTAAGTGTTAGATGAGGAAATTATAAGCCAATAAATACCCTTTCCAGAAACTACTGTGCAGTAGGCTCCGTGCTAGGCACTGAGACCAAAAAGGTAGTGATGGCACCTGCACTCTGAAGGTCACAACCTTTTGTGGACGTGGAGATGTCTTAATCCATTTTATGTTGCTATAACAATACCACAAACTGAGTAATTTATAATGAACAAAAGTTTATTTGGCTCACAGTTCTGGAGGCTGGGAATTACAAGAGCATGGGGCCAATATTTGGGGAAGGCTTTTGTGCATCATTATTCCATGGCAGAAGAGCAAGAGAGGATGAGAGTAAGAAGAGGCTAAACTTGCTTTAATAACAAACCCACTCTGGTGATGACTAATTCACTCCTACAATCACAACATTAATCCAGTCACGAGGGCAGATCCCCCATGACTGCATTGCCTCTTGTTAGGCCCTACTTCCCAACACTGTTACTCTGGGGATTACCTTTGGAGGACACATTTCAATCAAAGCAGGGTGCAGGGGAGTTGTCAAAACACTATGATAAGTGCTTGACCTAACAGAATCAAGTACAATCAAAGCTCATAGCAGAGTGATGGACTTTGACTTAGGGCTTTCAGATAAAAGAAGAGATATTTGACCCGGGTCTTGGAGGATGAGAAGGACTTTCAGAGAAAATGGGAGACTTTTAAGGTGAGAAGGAGAAAGGCTTCAAATTTGGAGTATTTGCTGTTTTCTGTGGCAGCAGGACCCCTTGAAAGACTGAAAGCAAGGTGTGATTTGAAAGTCCCAGAACTCTTTAGAAAGAATGAAAGCAGGTGGGTCCAATTTGTGTGGAAGTACTAGAGTTTCCACTATGTTACAGTGTCTTTGGGCTGGTTTTTCCTCTCCTCCGTAGACTCTGGAGAAGGCCGTGCGGTTTTGTAGTCTTAATTGGACCCAGAAGAGGCCCTATTTGTGGTTAGAATATGTGGTTGTCTAGCAGTGGTATTTAATGGGCCTCCCATACTCTCCTGTTTCACTGGGCGTGAATTTTAATGACCAGGATTTGAGTGGAATTTCATTGGACTTTTAGGAAACAGTTTAAAATACCACCGTGACACAGTTCAGTGTATACTAATGTTTTAATGATTAAAGTGTAACTGATTGCCTAAATTGTAAGACAAGACAATAGATGAGAGGATCTTATTCACAAAATTTATGACGGTGCCAAGGCACTGTTTCTGACTGTGTATCACTCAGACAAAGGAAAGGAAACTCTCCATCTTTCTTTTTCAGTTTCTGAGGCTGCAGATTATATCATCTGGGCAGCATATGGATCACTATCAAATGGGAGACATCTATGCTCCCTTTTGAATGACATCTTAGGATGAGTTTAAGTGAGCAGATGCTGCCTGTTAATCCCATGCTTCCCAGTCTAAAAAGCTTGTTGAGTAAAGGGTGGATTTGCCAACAGTGAACGAGAATCTTCTAGACACTGTGCTGGGTATTACATGTGTTCTCACAGTAGAGCTATTATTATTTAGTTTTAACATGAGGAAAGATCAGCACAAGTATTAACTTTCCAACAGGTAGTTTGTGGTAGAGGCAGGATTCTAAAGGAAGCCTATCAGGCTCCAGTGTCCTTTTTTTTTCTTCTTCTTTTAATAAATATGGCATTTGCTTTGTACTCTTTCCTTCTAAAATCTTTCTTCTTTAAGTTTCTCATGAAGTCTGACCTCAGTAAACGTCCTTCATGAATGAGCTTGCTACTTTTTTTTTTTTTTTTTTTGATACAGAGTCTCACTCTGTAGCCAGACTGGAGTGCAGTGGCATAATCTCGGCTCACTACAACCTCTGTCTCCTGGGTTCAAGCGATTCTCCTGCCCCAGCCTCGCGAGTAGCTGGGACTACAAGTGCATGCCACCAACAACCAGTTAATTTTTGTATTGTTAGTAGAAACAGGGTTTCACCATGTTGGCCAGGATGGCACAATCTCTTAACCTCGTGATCCACCCGCCTTGGCCTCCCAAAATGCTGGGAGATTACAGACGTGAGCCACCACGCCCGGTTTGGCTTGCTACATTTGAAGAATATAATTAAATGAAATTTTTCCTAATCTGTCAATTTACATTGAATTCAGTACAATGAATGTCAATTTAGGGTCACCTGTCCTGCCATACACAGAAAGGGGGCAAAGGGGGTACACATGGGTTGGTTTTTTTTTCACAAGGTAAATTTTGGTAGGGGGCTTTATATCATCATTTGACAGTCTCAGCAGCATAATTTGATGATGTTTAGTTTTTCAAGTACAGAGTCCATTGATAGTTAAATAACCTGATTTCAATTATTCTAAAATTGCAATGCAGAATGGAAGAATAACGTCTTTTGAATAAAGTCCAACATTTGCTTCATTTACTGCATAGAGGTTATTAGCTTAATTTGCTCTTGTTCTAAGACCAAGAAACCAAACTTTAAAATGTGTGGGCTTTTTAGTGGCAAAATAATGACAAGATTAGTCCTCTGTCACTTCAAAAATTAACAATTTTACCTCCTCCTCATTGTTGAAGTAAGATGAGTGATAACATTGTCTCAAAATTATGCTTTCTTTGCCCTTGTCTTTCCCACTTTTTTTCATCTTTTTAAAATGATTCTCTCTTGCTTTCTCATTACTTCTGAATCATAATCAGGAACATCATTTCCCTTCACTGTTTTGCCTTCTTTCAATAATTTGAACATAGATCCATAAGGAATTAAGAAAGAATTAGATAACTATAAATTATTAAAGTGCACAGTTTATACTTTGAGGTATTTCATAGTTATTAGATCAATTACAGTACATTTTTCTTGATTTTTCATCTGAGGTATACCATTTCCAATTCACTTACTGTTTTATTCATCTTCTGTACCTGCTAAAAATGTACCTACTTTGTTCCAGGCCCTGTACTAGGGGTTGCCAGCCTTATTTCTCCCCAAGCCTGTGCATCTGGTGGTTCTCAGACATCACATGCCACCTTGGTCTGTGTGTCTGAGCTGTGCACAGTTTTCAATTCCCTTTGTTTCCCACTTAGAAAAGAATATCTGAATTCAGGAAAGTGTAAGAAATTGTAGTTAATCTTGAAGCTATCCTGGAGAATATAAATAGTGAATCATCATCACAATTTGGCACAGGAGTTTGTGTCATTGTTTGTGACAATCCTCACAACTAACTGATCTTAATGATCTGATGTGCCAGGATGTTTCTGAGTATAGTCTTGGACCATTAAGAAAAAGGCCTAGCAATGGAGGTATGATGTATCTAAATAATTATAATTGAAGGGAAAATGTGGTAAGTGCCATTAGCAATGTAGAGTCTTTCTAATGTATTTCTGGGTGAGAAAGATTAATTTCTGGAGTATCAGAAAAGACATTTTCTCCAAAGTGGTATGTGAGCTACGTGGGAAGAATTAGAAATGAGGGAGGACTGAATGCGATTATTTTGAACCCAGAAAGAAGCCACATATAACCCTCATTAATTTGATTCTTGAGACCCTGTTTTTCTCTTTGAATATTGAAATTACATGTATATACACAAAGGTGCACACATATCCACACATATATATACATTCACACATAGTTAAATAATAATTTAATTCAAAATTTTGGGGGCTAAAGATTTATTTTTCTCTTGGCAGTGGCAATCACTTTACCCTCTCCAACTGATAGAAGTTGCCTTACTTACAGTTTCCCACTGATTTCTTTTACTGTTTAAAATATTAGACCCTTAAATGGGTTTAACTACCACTCAAGCAACTCATCCTGAAGTGATTACTATGTCACAGAAACAACCATTTCCTCTTCTTTCTATACAGCATTGGCATTTCTGGAAATTGAGTTACCTGTGCCAACTTTTATTTGTAGATAGAATGGGAATTGTTAAATGGACTATCAATTCACAAGAAATCTTCTCTTATTAAGAGCACACCAGATACCTAATTCCATTTAGTTTTCAATAACTTCTTGTATTATTGAGTCAGCCACACAAGTCATGTAATTGCTTCAGATATTCCAGCATGAGCTTCTTGCTAAGAATGCCACAAGAACATGTTTTTCTTTTCCCCCTTTCTTTTTCTTGACTGGACATAGCTTTTAATAAATTAATGAAGGCCGGGCGTGGTGGCTCACACCTGTAATCCCAGCACTTTGGGAGGCTGAGGTGGGCAGATCACAAGGTCAGGAGTTCAAGACCAGACTGGCCAATATGGTGAAACCCCGTCTCTACTAAAAATGCAAAAATTAGCCGGTTGTGGTGGCGGGCGCCCGTAGTCCCAGCTACTCAGGAGGCTGAGGCAGAAGAATTGCTTGAACCGGGGAGGCAGAGGTTGCAGTGAGCTGAGATCGCACCACTGCACTCCAACCTAGGCAACATAGCAAGACTCCGTCTCAAAAAAAAAAAAAAAAATTAATCAGAACTTTTATTAAAAATGAAGATTTTTTTAGAAAATGATTTTATTAAAATGAGTTATTGTAGCATAATAATCTTTTCATCAATAGTAGACTCAGTAAATTGTGATACATTCATGTTTTAGAATATAACACAATTATTTTAGAATTAGAACAATCGACATATATTTACCTACATAGAAGAGTATGATATATGCAGCTTAAATTTTTTAATGGCTGTTTATTGATATATTTGTATATTTAAAAAGATGTAGAATGATATAGTCCCTAAGGACATTGAAATTGGTCAAAGGATAGGCAAGCAGTTGGAGGGAGGTTATTAACAGAAGAGAATCCAGAAATAGGCTCATATACATGTGATAATTTAATATAGGATAGAAGGAATAATGAAAAGCTGGATTATTTAATAAATGGTATTGGTATAGTTGGCTAGCTATTTTTTTTTAAAAAAGAAGCTAGATCCTTACCTCACTTATTTTATCAAAATGAATCCCAGATTAATCAAGTATTTAAATGTTTAAGTTGAAGTTGTACAAGTTCTAGGAGAAAACATTGGTGAATAATTTTTTGAAGTAAGGAAGACCTAGGCATGACCCAGAATCCAGAAATAAGGAAGACAGATAACCTATACCATATTCTCTGAACGGCTTGAGAACTAGATGAATCTTTATATTATGTGTTCATTAATCCCAGTTTCTGTTTTAACATCGTGTTAAAAGTTTAATGGTACCACTTCTCAAGCATTTGGACTAATGCAAACATACTGAGCAAATAGGCTGCTACCTGGTAATTTTAGCAACTGTACTTGTGTTTGTATTGTCAGCATTCATGAACCATTTAAACCAATGGCATTTAATTGTATTGTTTGAGTTTTTCCATGACAGTAATTTCTATTTTAACATTACTTTGAATGAGTGAATGAATGAATGAGAAGTAACATCAGAAAAAAAGTTGTGAGAAAACATACAGGAAACTAACATGCAGTTACCTCTGGACCATGGTGCAGGACATGATGGAGAGGGCAAACCTCGTTTTATGCTATTTTCACCTGTTTAATAGAAATATGTATTGCTTTTATCATGGAGAAGAACTTTTTTTTACATCAATGAAAAGTAATTCAGAATTTTAGGCTTCTAAAAGATTTTTGTCACGTTTATAGCTTGGCCATTGCTTGGCCATTTCTTAGCTTAGCCAACTGCCCAAATCTAAAATGTTGGATTCTTACAAATTACTCATTTTATTTAGTAATATTGTAAGCACAGATTTAACATGGTATAGAATGCAAAATTCATGTAAATCATTATAGTAAAATAGCCATCAGAGAATGCCTGGGGGGCAAGCCCCTGTGAACTCTTCAACTCTCTTGGGAGGCATCCTTCATGTTCTTCTGATGGGAAATTGAGAAACGCTTCCCTGAGTAAATACACACAGGTGAAGACAACTGGTAACATCCTTAAGCTTACTGGGGTTTTAGGTTCAGAAGCTATGGAGAGGAGGGAAGTAGATTTCACAAAACGCAAATTTTATTAGCTCCATTTAGCCCACTAAAATGAATGTTTCATTATGTATTTTGGATTCATTATGTATTATGTATTTATCTACCAGTAAATGAGCTGATAGTATAGTCATTAAAATTATAATCTAATTAATCCTAAAGGGAGCTAAATAAACTAATTGTAATCAAATTTACTTTGATTTATCTCGGTGTCTCTCTTTCTCTCCCTGTTTCCCTGTTTCTCTCTCTCTCTTCCTATTACAGGTCACAGTAATGAAAGGCAGTAATAGAAATAAGGATCATTCAGCAGAAGGAGAAGGGGTTGGAAAACGACCAAAACGAAAGTGTCTTCAGTGGCATCCATTGCTAGCAAAGAAACTTCTTGATTTTTCAGAAGAGGAAGAAGAGGAAGACGAAGAGGAGGATATTGATAAGGTAAGTCCTATATTTACCATAGAAGTTTCAAGTTTATTAGAGCAAATCATAATCTAGAAACAATAGTGAACATGAATGATATTACAAAAGTGTTTCCAAAAGCCTGTATAGCTTGAATCCTATTCAATTACTTAGTTTACATTTTTATTCCAATTCTTGATTGCTCTTAAAGTATTTGTACTTCCTAATAGTGTAGACTGAGACACATCCTTTTAAATACGATTTTTGTCACCTAACTAATGATTTGTGGGTAATGTTCAAATACATTGAGATGGGGATGTTCCTAAAACTTGATGTGCTCATCTGACGTTCTACCCTGTGGCTCTTCTGGCCTCTCTGTCTTGGCTTCTGGCCTCGCCCTGCTACCATTGGCAGTCTTAGAACTGCTCTCTTTGTCTCTATCCGTGGCCTTCACAGCTTCTGGCTGCACTTGCCCCCAGTCTTTGTGATGACTCATTCCTCCTAGTCCTTTCTCTGGCATCAGGCCTCAGCAGCTGGCTCTTCAGTCACATAACCATGCAGGTGACTTAAGAAATCGTCTCAAGTGTTCGTCCCACCCAACTCATTCAAAGTCAAAAGATTTTCTTCATGGCACTTATTGCTATTTGCCATGTATTTAGCTGTATACTTATTTATGTCTGTCTTCTCTCAGACCAGAATAGAAGCTCAGTATAAGAACAGGGGCCTTGCCTGTCTCGTCCTTTCCTCTTGCCTCAGAAATGAGAATGGTGCCTGGCACATAGTAGGTATTAAATATAGATGTATGCTGAATGAAAGAATAAATGAGTACATATTTTGTGTCACTACGAATTTTATAAACATGTTTTTAATATTTTTCAGGCCTTTGACATCCATTCAGTCTCTCTTGGCTTTCATCAGGAATTAAAAACAATTTTACTCTTTTTCAGACATCATCTGGATACCCTCTAAGGTCTCTCTTACTAATGACCTTTTCTCCTTTTTCACAGAGAAAATAGAGGCCACCAGAAGTTACTCTTTTAGCTTCCTGTACACATCTATGTAATTGTCTCACTCCTTACTAATCTTTCCTTCCACCTTTCCTGTTTCAGAGAAACAGGTTTTATTCTTCTTACTTGAGGGTATTATCAAGCTTGTACTTAATTTCATTTTTTAAACACATTTGCATGTGTTGATCACTTGGTCATTGAAGCAGTCTCCTGTTTCCATGAGGGCACCCACTCCTGTTTCTCTTCCTTCTTTCCTTTGGCCACCCACACCTGTTTCTATTTATCCTTTCTTTTTTTTTTAGAAAGGGTCTCACTGTATTGCCCAGGCTATAGTACAGTGGCACCATTTCAGCTCACTGTAGCTTCCATCCACCTCCCAGGCTCAAGCAGTCTTCCCACTTCAGCTCCCTGAATAGTTGGGACCACAGGCACACACCACTAAGCCCAGCTAATTTTGTTTATATTTTGTAAAGACAGAGTCTGACTATGTTGCCCAGGCTGGTCTGGAACTCATGGCTTCAAGCAATCCTCCCTTCTCAACCTTTCAAAGTGCTGGGATTATAGGCACAAGCCACCATGTCTGGCCCCTCTTTCTATTTCTACCTTCCCCACTGTTCCTTCCTAGTTTCTTTCAGTTAATGTCCCTGCATTATTTACCCTTCAAATGATTGTGTTCTCTAGGCCTCCAATCTTAATTTCTACCTCCATCCTGGACTTTTCTTCTGAACTCTGGACTCATATTTCTATTTACTTGGTATATCCATTAGTTATCAACTAGAAATCTCAGTTTGAATGAATTCAAAATTAAGCTTTTGCTTTTCTTCTCCCAACCTTCTCCTGCATCTTCCCTTTCTCAGTAAAGGGCAACTGCAACATTCCCATTTGTCCGACCTGAGACCTTGTAGTTCATACTTTGCTGCTTTATTTTGCTCAAACTTCACATCCATCCATTAGCAAATCCTCTCAGACTCTACCTTCAAGATATGTTCACAGTTTTGTTGCCCTTTTAACAGTTCCTTCCTGTACCACCTTGATCCAAGCCACCACCATTTCTAGCAGAGATTATTGTATCTACCTCCCTCTCTCCCGGCCTCTGCTCTTGCCCTCCTGCAGTCCATTCTCAACAAAGCAGCCAGAGGAATCCCTTCAAAATGTAAGGCCAGTTGTGCGGCTCCTGTTTCTGTGAGGGCAGGGACTCTGTGTGCTCACTGCTCTCTGTGCTCACTGTGTGCTCACAGCACCTAGAAGAGTGGCTGGCTCATAGCAGGAACCCAGTAAATATTTATTGGGGGAGGGATTAAAGTCATTGAGTCCTCTTCTCTTTTCACTCACACTCAGTGGTCTAGTCCATACTTTTAGTCTTAGCACCTTCTGCATATTGGTATCTCATATTATTATCCTGCAGACATAGGTATCCACACAGCATTCCCCATAGCCACTTCAAATTCAGCCTGCCCAGCACTGATCTTTCTACTCTCCACCTGGCTGATTTCTCTCATTTGAGAACAATTATTTTTTGTTGTATATGAAGAAACTTTGCCACCCAAGCCAGAATCACTCTTCCTTTTTCTGCCTTCAGATCCAATTAGTTACCAGCCACTCTTGTTTCTGCCTCATAAATATTGTCCCTGTTCTCACTTCTCTGTTCCCATTACTGCTGCCTAGATTTCAGCCCTATCCCTTTTTTGCCTGGACAGCTGGAATACATTTTTAACTGGGTTTTCTAGTTTGGGTTGCTTCTAGTTTTACTCTTAAAATTCATGCTGTTGTTAGAAGTTATCTCCTTAAAATACAATCTAATGATGTCCCTCCACTGCTTAAAGTCACTCATGGCTCTCCATTACATCAATCCAGCTGTGGGAACTAGTGTTGATTTTTCTTAGAAAATATTAATGAGCTCCTGGGGAAAGAAAAATAAGTTCTAAACTCTAAGAGCGTTTTTATTTGTATTTTGTTATTCATGTATTTATGTATTTACTTTTTGATTAATAAAATAATTACATTAAATAGCAATTAAAACATTTTTCGATGTTCATAGTTGGCAGAATGAAAAGTTGACAAACTGTGTCAAATCAAATGTTTTTATTGGTCCATACAGTTCCAAACTGCTGGTTTACAGGATCAAATGCATGCGTTTAAATATGGCAGAGCACATTCTTCATGAAGTGGCACAGATCATCTTCTTCATCCTTGTCTCCTGAAGCCCTGTTCTCTTTTACATACCAGTGTTGTCGAACTGCAAGTTAATGTTCAGATAAACCAGCAAGACTTAATCCCTGTTAGTTCCCCATGTCTCTCCATTGACGACCTGACACATTCTGATTTGTTTCTCCTTTTTTTAATTTGTAATTTTTTAATTTTTTTAATAATTTTTTTCTTTTTTTTTTTTTTTTTTTTTTTTTTGAGACAGAGTCTTGCTCTGTTGCCCAGGCTGGAGTGCAGTAGTGTGATCTTGGCTCACTGCAGCCTCCTCCTCCCAGGTTCAGGTGATTCTCCTGCCTCAGCCTCCAGAGGAGCTGGGATTACAGGTGTCCACCACCACTCCTGGCTAACTTTTGTGTTTGTAGTAGAGACTGGGTTTCACCATGTTGGTCAAACTGGTCTTGAACTCCTGACCTTAGGTGATCCGCACCCCACCTTGGCCTCCCAAAGTGCTGAGATTAGAGCCACCACACCCAACCTGATTTGTTTCTCACAATGTAGCTCAGGCAACCTTTTCCAGGGAGGCCTTCTTGCGCTTCTTCCCATCCACTAGTGCTTTGTTATCTTGCTGGTTTCTTGTTGCAGTCAGCACACTGCTTTTAAATTTATGTTTATATGGTTTTTCCCCCTCCCAAAACATGAGGTCCTTTGTCCATCTGTTACACGTTGAATTTTATAATTTAATAACTGAATGAAAAGTTACTCTTTTCTGAAGGGGAAATATAATTGCTTCTTCATCTTATATATTAATAGTACACTTTTTAGTTTTTTTTAGCTTCCTAGTTTCAGAATGCTAAATAAAACTCGCTTGAAAAATGCAAATTATTGTTACCATTATATACATAATGAGGAAGATAAATATGTAGGCTTCACCCCAATAATAATTCCTAACATATTTCCAAATTAGATGGCTATGACCTCAAGATTTTTTCTGTACTCTTTGTGTTTGAAGATAATTAATGGTTAATTGATTGCATTTGAAATACTTAACGGCAAAAGACTTTTTTTTTTTGAGACGGAGTCTTGCTCTGTCACCAGGCTGGAGTGTAGTGGTGTGATCTTGGCTTACTGCAACCTCCGCCTCCTGGGTTCAAGCAATTCTCCTGCCTCAGTCTCCCAAGTAGCTGGGACTACAGGCACGCGCCACCATGCCCAGCTAATTTTTGTATTTTTAGTAGAGACAGGGCTTCACCATGTTCACCAGGATCGTCTCAATCTCTTGACCTCATGATCCTCCCACCTTGGCCTCCCAAAGTGCTGGGATTACAGGCATGAGCCACCCGCCTGGCCAAGACTTTTTAAAAATACCAGTTGGATTAAGCAGGTGATTAGTCCTAAAGTATCTGCTTGTAACAATTGCCCAATAAACATTGTAATAAAAGAACATGGTTGCCTTAAAGTTGTGGTTCTCAGAGAGTGATCCTCAAACCAGTAATATCAGCATCACCTGGGAACTTGTTAGAGATACAAATTCTCAGGACCCACTCCATACCTCAGAATTGGAAACTCTGGGAATGGGATTTAGAACCTGTGTTTTAACAGAACCTCCAGGGATTCCAATGCATACTCAAGTTTAAGAATTAACCACTCTGCTGCATAATGCAGACTAATGGTTACAAGTTGAGTATCCCTAATCCAAAAATTCGAAACACTTCTGGTCCCAAGCATTTTAGATAAGGGATACTTAACCTGCAATTTGTCCTTCTTGATTTTAATTTTGAAACCAGAAATTAAGGAAATGGGTTTAGTAAACATTGTGGACTTCTGTTTATAGTTACATTGTTTCTAAGAAACATTATAGAATCATTTTTTCCTTAGAAAATATTTTACAATCATAATATGTTCTGAGATTCTGTAATCAGAGATGGGCTTTAAGAAAGTTAACCTGGCAGCCATGTGCAAGAAGTATTGTAAAGAAGATGAAAAACGGGAAGACTAGGCGTAGGCCAAAGTGGTACTAGGGCAGTGGGAATGAGAATCACCCAGATGGAATGGACAGATTCGGAGCTTTGTAGAAGTCCTCGAAGACCTTGAACAATGATTGAATGAAGTGTAGGATAAAAGAGGATTCAAAATTGATTTTGAAGGTTTAAGCCTAGAGGAGTTTATTCCTATCACCAGAGCATTTCACTAAACAAGAAAGCTTGAGATTTACAAGTTTGAAGATTTATTGTGTAGTTCTTCTTTCAAATAATCATGTTAAATATCGATTTTGATTTTTTTACACAAGACTCTACTTGTGATGCTTGCAGAAACATTGAGTAGTCTATATTACCTTTTTATGTCTTACTTTCATGTTAAATAGTCTCATATTATTAGTTGTAGAAAAAGGCACTTTTCAAAGCAGAGAAAGACAAAGGTACTATTCATATATTTTATGTGGATGTTGTTAATCTTGATGCCCATTAACCATAGAATGGGTTTATTCATTCATTCCACAATTAATTAAGTACTAATATTATATCAGACATTGAGCTAGGCACTATGGTTGTAAAGGTGAATAAGAGCTTTTGTCCTCAAAGAGCTCACTGTTTAGTGAGAGAGAAAAAAATGTAAGCAATTATAACACAATGTAATATATGCTGTAATAGAGACATGCACAGGTTGCTATAGAAACTAAGCAGAAGGATACATCATAAGTTAGTTACCAACCATGAACAGTGGTTGTTGATTTTTTAAAATTATATTTTTTTCAATGTGTAAGTTGTTTAAATGGAGCTAAGAAAAAAATACAATTTGCAAACCAAGACTAACTGTTAAATCAAAATTATCCAAAATATGTTAAAGATCTGGCTTTGTTTTTGGTGGTAATAGGTTCAACTTCTTGGGGCCGATGGCCTAGAGCAAGATGTTGGTGAAACTGAAGATGATGAATCACCAGAGCAGCGAGCCCGGAGACCAATGAATGCATTTCTTTTATTTTGCAAACGCCATCGCTCTCTTGTACGTCAGGAACACCCCAGGCTTGATAACCGAGGTGCTACCAAGATACTAGCTGATTGGTGGGCTGTTCTTGATCCAAAGGAAAAGCAGAAATACACAGACATGGCCAAGGAGGTAGGTTACAATGACAAGGTATTCTGATAGCTAAAAGCAACCAGTCCTGAAACTCCCAGTCAACAAATATGAAGCACCTGTTGAAGGTCTAGCAATGAGAAGGTGAATCATAAATGAGATGTTAAGTAAAAACATAACCGCTTTCTTTGTATGACTTGTTCCTGTTCCTGTGTTCCAAGTCCATGTAGAAATGCTGGTGGAGGTGCCAAGAACAATATATTAACAAAAAGTTTTTTCTCATTGTCTATACCCCACTGATTGATATAAGGGATTGATTTATTGTGAAGGTTTATTATGAATGGTTTACAGTGAATGGTGATTTGTTTATTTATCATGGTAATTTATTGTGAATGGTGATTTTTTTCTTTTTTAAGTTTTTCTAGAAACTCTACTTTTATTGTCAGAGAATGCCCATGGTAAAGTTGACAATCTTAGGTTACTGTAGTTATATCATGGGAAAGAGCCTTGATCTAGTTCTGCTGCTAAATAGCTTTGTGGCCATATCCATAAGTCAACATCTGCATCTCAGCTTCTTTTTTTTTCTTTCCTAATGTTATTGGAATGAGAAAGTTGGACAAAGATTTGTATCTTTTCTAGTGCTAACATTTTTTGATTTTGTAATAAAATTGTCAAGAAATATGCTTTGACTTGTTTCTGTTCTGTAGGTAGTGCTGCATGAATATTTAAAACCAATAAATGATTGAATACCAGTGGAACAGGATGTACTGCAAGGTGTACATGCCTGTAAATACTGTGTAGGCGGTGGTTAGTGGGAAGCATTTCCATGTAGGAAGGCTATTCAGAAAGGTGGGACATTAATCACTTCCAGAATGATAGCAGTTACTAAATTTCTTCAAAAGTTGTATCATGGTTCTTTTACTATATTTGGAATTAATGTGAGACCATTATACACTTAAATGTATTGTGATGGATTTAGCTCCAAGTAAGGGATAAGCAAAGCAATATTACTGTGGCTAAACTTGAAAGGAATAATTCTAACATTATTTCCTCAGCGTTGCAACTTGCAAAAAGATCTTGATTCATGAAAACCCCTGTCACCCAAACACTTGGTTAAGTTTTATCAAAAAATGAACCAGCAGGGGACAAAATACAGAGTTTCAAGACATTTTATTAGACATCTCGGTATGTGAAAAAATAATTCTTCCAGGTGCTATGCCTTTATTGAGTTAATTAGCTAAAAACATAAACATTAAACATAAAAATTTAAAAAAATACCACGTAAAAATTTCTTAAGAAAGTTTCATGGAAATTTGAATCTAAATTATTAGCATAGTTGCTACTAAAAATTATTAATAATTATATTACCATAATTATTAATTATATTAGTATTTATAATTATATTAGTATAATTATTAATTTTATTAGTGTTAATATAACTATTATAATAGTATTAATGATTATAATATGATTGTTAATTATAATAGTATTAATATAATTATAATAATTATATAATTAATCATACAAGACTTCAAAAATTGACTGTTAAAGACAGGATTTTAACTATATAGGGCCTGTGGAAAATTTGAAATCAATTACAGTAACCTACATGATTTTAAATATTTCATTAGATTTCCATAGCGTAACAGTAATTAACAGTAAAACTTTCCCATTAAATAGCCTTACATTTTTCATAGTCATGCTTATATAGTAAAATAAATAATTATCTGAAACCTCATAGGGAAATGCATAAGCTTCCTATAATTAAATACTTGAGTTTGTTTTAGATTGCTGTTTTTGGATAACATGCAGCCTGTCCCCAGAATATTGTTTGTTTTTTCTTAAAAACTCCTAATTTACAAACCCAATAGGTGGCCACTTTTAAGAAAAGGAAGTATTAGTTTCATACAGGAAATCCCTTACTAATTACTTAATTAGGTTCACAATATTTGCCAATGTGGCACTAAAATGAAATCTGTTAAGGTAGCCCAGTGCAGTCTAAGTGTGGAGACTATAACTGGATGTTCCACGTTATAATTTGCCTTGTTTGTAGTTGCTGTTAGGAAATGTTGCCTCATTTCTACTGCAAAGTGTAGAAGATTCGGCTACTTTCAAAATTATTACACAATTGATCTCTAGTCGTAAGTGATTCCTACTTGTTTCATCTTACTTTCTAAATGGTTTTGCAGTTACGTTAAAGGGCAGGTAATTGTGCTGGTGCTTTTTGTGTTAATATTGCAGCCTTAACTGGAATGTTAGTTCAGTGAACAAATACTTAATAAGTGCCTTCAATTTAACCAGGTTTTGTGATAGTTGCTAGTGATACAAGGCTGTTGATAAATATGGTCTGTTTTTCAAGGCTCCCCCAACACACAATCATTTTTAAAACTCTTTTTAGATGTGTAACGTTTAAATTTTAAACCTCAAATTTTAGACGTTGTCCATTAGGGTGCAAGACAGATTCTTTCAGCATAGTGTGTGGATGTGGATGTGAATGCTTAGGTGGTATTTGCCAGTATCTGTCCTGCCATTATCAGTTGAGTGAGAAATGTTTCCTTTTTCTTGTTGTTTTTAAAAGAAGTATATTTTAAAAGCAAGAGTGAGTAATAATACAATTTTGAAAGGATTGTTTGTTTACCTGTTCATGAAAATTTCCTCTGACCCCTTTCCTTCCTCCTGATTATCTTATTGCATCTGGTAAGACAAAGCACCTGTTCTGGGATTTGTTTTTAGTTTCTTAAATTATTGCCCAGTGCTAATTTGCATTGCTGGAAAAAAAGGCTGATTGCACATTTTGTGTTCTCTGATGAACCTTACTAGAGCAATAATTCATTAGTAAATTTTAAAAGACTATTCTAAGAATACAACCTGGGTTGCTTTCTTAAATTCAGTAATGTACATGATGTGCAATGTTGTGGATGTTCACAGGTTCTAATTTTTGAATGTGTGACTGCCCGTTAGGAGATACAAAACAATTATATCTTTCCTTTTAACATCTTCATGTATGTGCTCTTACAGGAATACAAATCTCTGCATTTTTGCCTGCAATACTGCTGGAACCTTCTATTTGTCATTTAAACTAATTATCATAATGAATTGAGGATAAATTGAGAGGATCACACATCTTGAACTTCAGCTAGAACAGAGTACAAAGAGGAGGGGAGGATTTGGAAAGCTTAAACAATTTGAATGACCTTTATCATACCCACTGTTTTAGCATCAGAGGCATGAGGCAGAATGTGTGCATTTATTGATTGATTGGTCCTTTTTGTGCTTAGCATATAAAGTAAGCACCAACCTGTAAAGTGAGTTATGATTATTCCCATTCTTCAGAGCAGGAATCTAAGGCTCTGAAGGAGTTAGTGTCTTGACCAACCATACATTCAGTATACAGTGGAGCTGGGTTATTCTTTCCCATTTGACTCCTGTGTGTTCTTCTAATACGTATAGCAACCTACCCACTTTAGATGCCTGAAAGAGAAGTATATTTGGGTAATTATGGCAAGAATGATAACAATAAAATGTCATGAGTCTTACAGGAAGAATCTGCTTGTGCTGGGGAGGGAAGTGGGTGGAAGTGGATCAGGAAAGCCTTTATAAAGTAGGCAGAATTTGGCCTGGGTTTTTGTATAAGGATTCAGAGAGAAGGAAAAGGGTAAGAGTAGAAGTGGGAAACTGAAATCAATTTCAGGAACCAGATAGTTTGTTTCACCTGGAGCCTAGGTTATACATAGAAGAGTAACAGAAAATGATGATACAAAGGTAAATAAGGCAAAAACCACGAGAGACCAGACTTAAAAGTTTGGAGGTTCAGCTGTATGCCAATAAAACAGCTATGGAATTAAATGTAATAAAATGCAACTTGAAGGTGAACTATAATGGCCCTTTGAAAGTGTTGGTATCTATTTTTGTCAATACTCTGGGAAAGGTTTTCACTGCCACAAAACTCCATGGGTTTTTTATTGACTAGTTCTTTCATATTTCTTCAAGACAAAATGAATCTATTTTTGATTATTTATTTTCAGCTGGGATAATTTTTGTAAAGACCATTCATTCCCTTATTTTGGGTTCATCAGATATGGACTCTTTTCCAAAGAAAATACTCTCTCATTTACTCTTCTGTTATAATCTGGAGAACTTTTCTTAACTGTTATGCATCATGCTTAACAAATAGTATAATTTGTATTCTTGCAAGCATGCTATATAGCACTTTGCCTACTATTAGAGTAGCACCTCATTTATCCAGCATTCTGAGAAACAGCTGCTATACCTAAGTGATTTCCACATAGATGAAACTTTACTCTTCTTTTAAAAACTTTTATTTTATATATTTATCCTAGAAATTTCATTAAAATTTTGTTTACATACTTTCTCAAAGCATTCAGAACATCTTTTGACTGTTTTTTGAAACCTTTAACACACTATTTCCACAGGAATCACTTTATGATCTGTGACTTTGTGAGACTTTTGTGAATAATGTTTTGTCTATATAGTAATTCTCAACTATTTTATTCCTTGAATTTCCTCTCTGCTTTTCCATAGTTGTTTTGTTTTTTGTTTTGTTTTGTTTTTTTTGCAGGGGTTGGGGGTTCCACCCTCAGCTAGCACTTGCCATTTCTCTCCTCCGTCAGCCCCTTTTGGCTACTTCTAATCAAATGGCTTACACTTTTTGAGTATGGTTTAATTAGGGGCCCCACCACATTTGTGGAATATAGATAGTAAACCTAAAGATGTGTGGTTTGTGTTTCACAACATTCCTTGCTTCTGAGACCTTTTCCATTCCTGTGTTCCAGATATTAGAACTTTCTTACTGTGTTTAAAGAAATATTCAGATGTTTGCTTTTGGAATGATAATAACTTTGTGAATATTGCTGTATCATGTCCAGGTTCTTTTATAAACATTTAAATGTTTATAAACTCATTTTATTAAGTTAAATTATTAAATTCTAACTCATTTAACCTCCCTTCTCATACTGTTTTGAATTGCCACATCTGTAAAATGGCAATTAAGATGCCTGCCCTCACAGAGTTTATGTAAGATACAAATAAGGAAATATATGTACAAGCATTACATAAAGTTTAAAACTCTATACAAATGTTGGTTTTAGGGTTATTTCTGATAAGCAGCTTTATGTTGGTTTCTGTTTCATACTTCTCTATCTAAATGATTATTATTTTTATTATGAACTGTTAATACATTGAAGGGCTACTAAAATGCAAAATCAGTCTTTGAAACACAAAAATGAACAAAACTAAAAATATCATTTGCCCAATTTGGCCAATACTGTCCAGTGTTATTAATAGCCTCTAGCAACATAGATGTTAATTAAGTGAACTATTTGATTTTGAAATATTAGTCCATTTGCCAATTGTTAAGTAAACACTTGTATTTAAATATTCAAATAAATTTATAAAGACTATAAAAACTCCATAACTAGGGAATAATAAATTGAGAATTTAAACTGCGTCTCTCAAAACTCATTTTGGTATTTGGTTTCAGATGTTAATTTTTAGATTGACAGATCTTAGTAGACAGATCACTGTCCACCTTTTTAAAAGTAGTAAAATTATATTTTTAAATAAATTCTGAAATTTCAGCTTTTAAAATTAGTGCACACTGATTAAACTGACTCTTCTGGTAATTACTCAAATTAAAGAGTAAAATTATACTTGTAAAAAAACTACTATTGCCATAATAATTTTCGCCCTTATAGCCAAATGAAGTAGCCAGTTTCCTTGCTTTCAAATTTTCATTTATGACATTTCCACAACACAACAAGCAAATAATTTCCTGGTCACATATTCAAACCACTTTTTCAAGTGTATAATTTCTGTTGGAGTGGCTTTATTATGAAAGTTTTGCAGGTTTAATGTAGAACTTAAAATATTGTTCAGTCAAACCATAAATTTAATTCAATTTTCTGTCAGTGAAATAGTCTAATTTTTTTTCTGTTAAAAACAGCTAGCAAGAATAATTCAGATCAGATAATGCATTGAGTTATATTATCCTAACGATAATTTTTAAATTTTTATGAAGGAAAGGTCCTCAAACTAAGGAAGTAACAGATTAGTACCACTTATCAGATAATTCCTTCTCTTCTTCCACCCTTGTATAATGTAATTTCTGCTCGTGGATGGGAAGAGAAACAGCTGTCTCAGAATTTATTATGCTAGATATTCACTTAGCCCTCTATTGCATATATGATTATACAGTAAAACATTTGTTATATCTCTTTCTAAAAAATCCAATAATTTTCTAGTTTAATCTCTTTTTCACAATTTTGGTAGATGATACTTCATATATTTGCACCAGAGTCGTCTATCTTTATTAATTATACAGACATTCTCTGGGTCCCTCCTGACTGAATCTCACTAGGGTTGCCACTTCTCTTTCACCCTATTGAAAAGATCTAGACTGTAATAATAACTGGAAATACTAGTGGACTTTTAGATAGCACCTCCTCCCAGTTAAAAACAGGCAAACGGAGAACAGTTGGTAAGTCTATCTTTTATTAAAATTAAAGTGCTTTTGTTCATCAAATTTGCATTTTTTTGTAAATGATCTGGAAAAGTAATGTTGAGACTCCATTTTTATTTTATTTTTTTAATTTTTTTTATTATACTTTAAGTTCTAGTGTACATGTGCACAATGTGCAGGTTTGTTACATATGTATACATGTGTCATGTTGGTGTGCTGCACCCATTAACTTGTCATTTACATTAGGTATATCTCCTAATGCTATCCCTCCTGCCTCTCCCCACCCCACAACAGGCCCCGGTGTGTGATGTTCCCCTTCCTGTTTCCAAGTGTTCTCATTGTTCAATTCTCACCTATGAGTGAGAACATGAGGTATTTGTTTTTTTGTCCTTGTGATAGTTTGCTGAGAATGATGGTTTCCAGCTTCATCCATGTCCCTACAAAGGACATGAACTCATCCTTTTTTATGGCTGCATAGTATTCCATGGTGTATATGTGCCACATTTTCTTAATCCAGACTATCATTGTTGGACATTTGGGTTGGTTCCAAGTCTTTGCTATTGTGAGTATTGCCGCAATAAACATATGTGTGCATGTGTCTTTATAGCAGCACGATTTATATTCCTTTGGGTATATACCCAGTAATGGGATGGCTGGGTCAAATGGTATTTCCAGTTCTAGATCCTTGAGGAATCGCCACACTGTCTTCCACAATGGATGAACTAGTTTACAGTCCCACCAACAGTGTAAAAGTGTTCCTATTTCTCCATATCCTATCCAGCACCTGTTGTTTCCTGACTTTTTAATGATTGCCATTGTAACTGGTGTGAGATGGTATCTCATTGTGGTTTTGATTTGCATTTCTCTGATGGCCAGTGATGGTGAGCATTTTTTCATGTGTCTGTTGGCTGCATAAATGTCTTCTTTTGAGAAGTGTCTGTTCATATCCTTTGCCCACTTTTTGATGGGGTTGTTTTTTTCTTGTAAATTTGTTTGAGTTCATTGTAGATTCTGGATATGAGCCCTTTGTCAGATGAGTAGATTGCAAAAATTTTCTCCCATTCTGTAGGTTGCCTGTTCACTCTGATGGTAGTTTCTTTTGCTGTGCAGAAGCTCTTTAGTTTAATTAGATCCCATTTGTCAATTTTGTCTTTTGTTGCCATTGCTTTTGGTGTTTTAGACATGAAGTCCTTGCCCATGCCTATGTCCTGAATGCTATTGCCTAGGTTTTCTTCTAGGGTTTTTATGGTTTCAGTTCTAACATGTAAGTCTTTAATCCATCTTGAATTGATTTTTGTATAAGGTGTAAGGAAGGGATCCAGTTTCAGCTTTCTACATATGGCTAGCCAGTTTTCCCAGCACCATTTGTTAAATAGGGAATCCTTTCCCCATTTCTTGTTTTTCTCAGGTTTGTCAAAGATCAGATAGTTGTAGATGTGTGGTATTATTTCTGAGGGCTCTGTTCTGTTCCATTGGTCTATATCTCTGTTTTGGTACCAGTACCATGCTGTTTTGGTTACTGTAGCCTTGTAGTATAGTTTGAAGTCAGGTAGCGTGATGCCTCCAGCTTTGTTCTTTTTGCTTAGGATTGACTTGGCAATGCGGGTTCCTTTTTGGTGCCATATGAACTTTAAAGTAGTTTTTTCCAATTCTGTGAAGAAAGGCATTGGTAGCTTGATAGGGATCGCATTGAATCTGTAAATTACCTTGGGCAGTATGGCCATTTTCACGATATTGATTATTCCTACCCATGAGCATGGAATGTTCTTCCATTTGTTTGTATCCTCTTTTATTTCACTGAGCAGTGATTTGTAGTTCTCCTTGAAGAGGTCCTTCACATCCCTTGTAAGTTGGATTGCTAGGTATTTTATTCTCTTTGAAGCAGTTGTGAAGGGGAGTTCACTCATGATTTGGCTCTCTGTTTGTCTGTTATTGGTGTATAAGAATGCTTGTAATTTTTGCACATTGATTTTGTATCCTGAGACTTTGCTGAAGTTGCTTATCAGCTTAAGGAGATTTTGGGCTGAGACAATGGGGTTTTCTAGATATACAATCATGTCATCTGCAAATAGGGACAATTTGACTTCCTCTTTTCCTAATTGAATACCCTTTATTTCTTTCTCCTGCCTGATTGCCCTGGCCAGAACTTCCAACACTATGTTGAATAGGAATGGTGAGAGAGGGCATCCCTGTCTTGTGCCAGTTTTCAAAGGGAATGCTTCCAGTTTTTTGTAAATGATCTGGAAAAGTAATGTTGAGGCTCCATTTTTAAAAGATTGACAGAATATTGTCTTTTGTCACATAAAAATGCCCTTGTCAAATATTAAGTAGACAAAATACTGTGACAAAGGGTATTTGATGCCAATGCTAAATAACAGTAAAATCAGTAGCAGGATTTCTAATGTATTATTCTTGCTACGGAAACATGGTAGTGGATAGGGCCTGAGGGAAGGGATCCAGCATTTACCAAGCACCACATGTAAGTCAGGAACTATGTGTCTACTGCAAAGTAGGATTCCCTTACCTCATCTAATTGGTTGGAAATTTGCAGAAATAAATTGGAAGCCATGAGGTGAATTTTCATTTAATGGGAGAATTTTGAAAATCAGTATTTTTAACAAAAATGTTGTTATCTGAGAGAGTCTTCCATTGAAATCTTAGGAGCAATAGCTTTTCTGATGTTTTCGGAGGATAAGTGAGCTTCTCCTCCCACCATCAGTATGAACAGTCTGGCCTTGGATATCTGGGGCCTGTCTCTTAGGCCTTTTCAGTCCTGTAATGAGGGATTTTGCCTACATGATTGAACGGCATGCTAATAAGTTCACTCAGCTGTTCGCTTCAGAGGAGTATACAGAGTCTTCCCCCATTTGTCCCTTACCCAGCCTTCTCCTAATAATCTCATCACAACAAATGATTAAGCCTTTCTACTATTGTCTTTTAGCTAAATCAGAGCGAGTGATTGATGAAGTGCCAACTTCCGAGAACAGATAGACATCCTCATACCCTGAGGCTCTTCCCACCTCCACCCTCCCTTGATGCTCATATACTGCTTGTGTTAACTTGTGTTTTTACATGAATTGATGGCATCTCTATCTAAACTTTAAACTCCTTAAGGACAAAGACTGTGTGTTATTCTGTTCTCTATCTCTCACGTTCTTAACTCTTCCACTCAATTTATACTTGATGGAACTAATGAACGTGGTTTTGAACATCTACATTGAGTTTAAGAATCTGCAAGAATAATATTGTGATACAGTTACAGAGTGTTGACCCTCATAGTAAATTCTGTTATTGTTTTCCATAAAACCCCACGTATTCCCGGCCTTTCTCTTGCTCTCTGTTACTCCACTCATATAGGTAGTTAGCCCTTTTGCAGATCCATTGTGAAAGCATTTTTCCTGCCCGAGCCAGGGGAAGCCATGGTCCAGCTTTATGGACCATGTGTAAAAAGAAATAATGTATTTATGTAGTAAACTGTGGACTGTAAGCAATATGAAGACAGGGACTCTATCTAATTCATACTCTTCTCTCTCCCCAATGTCTGGCAAGTTTCTGTCATCTAGTCAGTGCTCACAGAATATTTGAGATGTGGATAGGTGAGTGGAATACATGCAAGAGAAATTAGGATGTGGTGATTATAACTGCTCTATGTGATTTTCAGCACCAGCTCCCCATTGTAAATTAGTTTAAGCTGGACTCTATTGGTATGATTGGTGCTTTAAAATTGGTTGATGCTGGCAATCATTCTGGTGACACCTGTCTAGCATTTTTCACAATTATGACTTTCTTCTTAAAAATTTTAAACTACCCCCCCCAAAAAAAATAGATAATTTTATTTCTCATGACAAATATGTTAATCAATTTGTTTGAAAGTCTTTTGACACTTTATAAAGTGGTGACCTTTGTTCAAGTGACTGTTCATCTGACAAACCCGGCCCGTGTGCTTTTACTGGGACACGATAATGATGCATGTGTCTGCTACTTCCATTTTCACCTCACCCTACCATTTGTCACTTTCCACTTCCAGACAGCAGGCAAAGCTATTTGTCTGCCTCAGCTTAATATGTAAATCCCTCATGCACATGAATGCACTGTGGTAGTGTGTCTCTTGTATCACAGTTGATACCTCCTAACACGTTCTGCTTTTTGATGGTGAATTCTAGTTTGGCCTTGTGTCCAACTTTAATTATTTTTGTAAGAAAAATGGGACTGTATTCTACAGTTTTTTATGCTTACCTTCCTTCTACATGTATCCATGTATCAATAGGCATATATATCTTACAGGTAAAAAAATGGATTATTCAGAAACTTTGAGTTAAGATAATGTGAAATAATTCTACACCATTGTCAATTAACATTGCATAATTATCTATATTACAGTTTTCATTTATATGATTTAAAGGGAAATGATAGAAAAAAAGTATATCCTTGGTATAAGGAAAGTATATAGCAAGGATAAAGGACCTTTTTCAAACTATTGGGTAAAATTAAAAGCTGTTTGGAAGTTATAGTTAGTTCATGTCACACATTAAGTTACCATTTTAAAAGGCAAGCTTATGGGATTGAATGAATATTAATTTAATAAAATGTCTAGCAATAATAAAAATTGAAGAATATGTGGAAAATACATTCTTAACAGATAACTTTTGGAAATATGTAACGAATAGCAATAAATGTATTTTGTTTCACGTTATTGTCATGCAAGAGATAAGAGGTAGCAGAATTGAGAGAAACGGTAACAGGAGCAAGCCACAGAAAAATGAAGGAGAAAGATGTTGTCAGTGAAGGTTGAAACCTCCAAGTAAGACAAAATTTGTGATGGATTATTGCAACATCACATATCAGTGCTCTTAGAGCTTATTTATCCATTCAGTTATGTATGCTCATTACAGACCCCTGGCATGGTGGCAAGTGTGGTTACACTTTATAAGTAGAGGAATTGAGGCTGAGAAAGGTTTAACAACTTGCTTAATGTCTACAGCTAGCTAAAGATATGAGTGATGTGCTATGCACCACTGCTTCCAATAACCCTAGGCACTGGTGGTATTATTCTCAGTTTATGGAATCTAAGGTTGAGGCCCAGAGAAGCTACCTTCTCTTGGTTACTGTAGCCCTAAGTGGAAGTTTGAGGGTTTGAACCTGCTTCTGTCTCCAGAGCCCTAGGCTCATTCCATTATAAACAACTCCCTTTCCCCACCGAGGTCAGAAAGCTTTTTGGATACTATTTTTTAAAGTTGAGGATTAAATAACACAAAGTATACAGCTTCTGAATCCTTATCCCACAAATGGATTAGATAACTCCATGTCCTATCTCTAGAACCCTATGCTGAGATTGTCATTCTTCTACAAGGAGAGCCACAGAAGTCACTGAAATTGTTTTTCTCACTTGGTATCTAAATAGGGGAATGGGGTGACAGCCTTTAGAACTTTTTCAATCTATTTGTTAATTAAAATCTGCTGTCTGTCGTTTTATTTATAGTATAAGGATGCATTTATGAAAGCAAATCCTGGCTACAAATGGTGTCCTACCACAAACAAGCCTGTGAAATCCCCAACACCCACTGTCAATCCACGAAAGAAACTTTGGGCCTTCCCATCTGACTCTTCAAGAGACTTGCCAAGCCCCAAGAAAGCAAAGACTGAAGAAATGCCTCAGCTTAACTTTGGAATGGCTGGTGAGTTGAGACACTATTTCCACCTATTCTTTAAGGACAGGGCAATACATTTCGGCAGCATTTTAAACAATACTGAGGGCGGGGGGACAAAATTTATAACCAATATTAAGCAGTGGCAAAGATATAGCATATTTTCAAGCATTGGATCATGATATATATAGAATACAGGTAATTTAAAAAAGGATATATGGCCTCAGTGGTAGTGTCATTATAAATATATGTGAATTCCTGACATTGACAGTATGGAAAAGTAGACAGCAACATGGAGATTGTCAGAAGCTTAGGAAATTTTATGTTCACAAAATAGCTTACACACACACATACACACTAGTAAGCCATCCCAGGATGCACCTTAGTTATCATGCTACTTAAACAGCTACAGTCATGTAGATCATCTGGGTGTTGGAAACATTGAGGGCAAGAATATGAACAAGTACATCACAAATCTGAGATTGGACCTGATAGCTGTGTCTTAGAGAGAATTCCCATCCTGTCTGTCTCCTCTCATGTCCATTCTTGTATGGGACAGACAAATTTAAAATTCCAGATGGTGCCATTTGTTATGGGACCTTTAGTACTCTTTGGGTGGTAAGGTATGCTAAATCATTTATTACCATGAAATAAAGTACTTATATTCACCCTACAAGTGGGCTCTGTCTTTCTTAGCTATTACAGTGCAGTAATCAAAAGATGAGTTTGCCAGATGAAATTAGCAGATTGAGCAGGAGAAAGGCAGTGAAGTTGCAATTGAGCTACAGGGTTCCTATTTTGGTATTAGAAGCAAATTTTCTTCCAAAGCAGAGTATTGAACTATTTGCATATGGAAAGGTTGGGAAAAGAGGTTGAGTGATACTGTGATAACACTTTTTTTTTGAATAACCAATAAATTTAACGAGACTTTATGATTCAGTGTGTGATTCATACCATGTAAAGTATGTGGCAGTATTCTATATAATCTACAAAAAATATTATTTTAATCAGTCCTGTATGGTGGCATGTGCCTATAGTCCTGGCTACTTGGGAGGCTGAGATGGGAGGATCACTTGAGTCCAGGAGTTCGAGGCTGCAGTGAGCTGTGACCTCACGACTGCACTCCATCCTGGGCGACAGAGCAACACCCTGCCTCTAAAAAATGAAGTCTAACATAATGGCAGCATTCTAGGGCGGAAAAAAGGATTCAGGTGATTGCTATGTGGGTGTCTGTAGTGTAATTCTAAGTAAGCTCCCAAAATGATGCTTCTACATGTCCCAGAAGAATCAGACATAGTTATTTGTCCTTGCTTTAGCTGTCAATTTTGTACAATTTTAGCTTCAAATCATTTGTTATTAGATAGTCTTGGTGAGTTTTCTGGACTTCCCAGGTTATATCAGTTGGAGTACTTTCTAACATATCTTATTATCAGAACCCAGAAAGAGTATATAGATAACTGACTTCCAGCTGATTTTCTTTGGTCATCATGTAACATCCATTGCTTTTTCTCCCAATTCTCAGTCTAGATCCAGGGTATGTAGTTTGTTGTTGTTGTTGTTGGCTTTTTTTTTTTTTGCATACATCTGCTCTTCACAAACCATATAACAATTGTAGGTGAACTGCAGAAAGCTATGAAAGATATCTTTTTTGAAGCACCGTTTCTGACACTTTATTAATCTGCCTTTTACCTGCAAATTGAAAGTCGAACCCACACTTCAAACAAGATCTTTACAGATCGGTATTTAAGATCAGTGTTCTCAAAAGAAAGTACAGGAAAGAAGGAAAACACCTTCCTTGCATTTATCTCATTATGTAATGGCTTGGGTTATATGTTGCAAATCCATGTTCAGAACTCTTGATAGGCTTGCATATAGTGGATAACATTGATCTGATATTTCCAGGTATGTTCCTTTTCAACAAGATGAAAGCGAACTAATTTGTCTTTAATTAAATCCTGGTGCCTAGACATCTGAATCTAGGAGATAATAGAGGGCCTCTAAATGCCAGATTGTTTACCTCAATATGGAATCTCTTTTGTTTTGCTTGCCCAGTAGTCCTTGTCACATGACATTTTGCAATTTTGAATAACCCCAAATTACCAAATGTATGATATCCAAGAAGGGAAAGCTGTGTAGATTGTAATTTAGTGCAAGCCCTTTCATTTAATTGCACTAAAGAAAGCATCCTATGTATGTCAATATGTTTTTGATAGTTCTAAATAACTTTATGTAAGTATGAATTAATATAAAGGATATTGGTAATTTCTTGGCCTATGTTTTAGTATCTATACAGCAAACTTCTTGCAAAGTCACATTGGTATATAAATTATCACGTAATCATGTTCCTATTTTACTTTGTAATTTGAACTAACACATTTTTATCTTTAGAAAGCTATCATCCAATCCTCCTGATCTCTAGGATGACAGCTGCAAAAGTATTTCTCTTTGAAAGAACCAAACTAAACTTTTACTTTCTACTAAATTCATTTCCCTCTCTTGATTTTTAAGTAGATTTAAGTATCTATTTCAACAGCCATAGTATTTCTTAAACTTAGCATTTAGTTGAAGTTGGAGTCTCAAAACAATACCAAAGAGCTTTGTTTCATCAAATTAGCTACTGTTTGTCTGTGTATTCTCTGTGTATGTCTTCCTATGTGGCTGCCTTCCAATGTTGAGCTATTTTTTGACCCCCTGATCTTTTGGTAACATAGTTTTTCCTCTAATAACCTCTTCCCCCAACCCCTGCCCCTTTTTTTTACTACCTCAGAACTTTTTTTGCAATTTTTTTTTTAAAACTGTCGATAACATATAGTCAAAGTTGCTTTATGAGTTCCTAAGACAGGTTGTATACAAAGATGTACTTAAGGACATATCTTCAACCCGAAAAAGAAAAGAAACAACTGAATTTCTTTGTGCAACATTTTGACTGATCCTCATTTTCAATTGTAGATTCCTGAAATTAAATATACGTTGAGGACCTTATATGTACTAGGAGAGATGCCGAGTTAGGCATTTTTACATATGTTCTTTCATTACACTTCTGAATTTTAATTCAAGATAGACTTACAGGACACAGGTGCCTTTTCTTTGATAACTTCTTTGTTTTTATTTATTTTCTATTTGTTCATTTAATTTTTTAGAGACAGGGTCCCACTCTGTCATCCAGGCCTGGGGTGCAGTGTTGCGATCTTAGCTCACTGTAGCCTCAAACTCCTGACATTAAGAGATCCTCCTGCCTTGGCCTCCCAAAGTGCTGGGATTACAGGCATGAGCCACTGTTCCCAATTCTGCTTTCTTTATTTAGATACAACCTGGGTTATAGATCTACCACTTTGCTGTTTTTATTTTCTCTGTTTATATTGATTATTGAAATAGTGAAAACAAAGACTTTGATAACATAAAAAGCATTAATTTTATACCTTGAAGGCATTTTGGGCATGTGTTTGACACATGCCCTAAGATTTAAAATGTCAAAAACACATCAGTTAATATAAATTTATTTTTAAAACTGTAAAGAAAGATTATTTGAATAAAACCTACCAGATTTTACAGGCCTGATTTGAAAACTTCTCTCTGTTCTCTAGTTCTCTGATAGCCTATTATTTTAAAACTAGTCCTGATTTCACATGGCAGAATTAATAATTTGAGAATAACAATCTAAAATTTCTCAGAAGACAAACAGAAACATTCTTTTGTTTAAAAAATCTTATCTAAACTCCCTAAGCAGTAAGGAAAGAAACATTGCATTAGGAGATAAATTAATGTTACAAACAGCAATGGTATTGAAGAAAGTGTTGTTGGAATGGTGAGACAAGAGTGGTATTCAAGAGGCTCACAAAGTATGAGCACTAAGCACATATATGCCAGGTTACTGTTGCATAAAGAGTTTTTAAAAGTTTTTATAAAAAGTTATATGTGGTTCTGTTGGATTTCTGATTGCTAGTCTTTATGAGTATTCTTTTTGACTCTGTGGATTGTATGTACTTTATGCTTATAAGTTGGTGATTTGTTTTTGACTTATTTAGATCCTACTCAAATGGGAGGCCTGAGTATGCTGCTGTTAGCTGGAGAACATGCTCTTGGCACACCAGAGGTAAGCCAGTCCTTTTCCGTCTCCACTCTGCTCATACTGTGGGTTGGGAACACAGTTATAGTCTGTTTACGTTGTTCATTCTGCATTTTCACTGTTTACAGCTCATGAACAAACTTTATAATCTTTCTCTTTAAGATCTTTCTGTGTGTCTTGTGTGTTGAGTGTAAAAAAAAAGTGGTGTAAATAAGGCCATGAGGATGTAAACACAGGTGTTGTTTTCTGAACCTACAAGTAAGGTTGTAGTAATGCAATATATAGATCACTGGTGTTTGCATGACTCTGTCATGGTTATGTCAGTTGGGTGCTGTAATTCATTTATTCGAAACATTCTCTGCTTGGGTGATGTTCACATGCTAGTGAAAAGATGATAGCTAAAAATTTGCAGCTGTCAGTCTCTCTGGTACCTGAATAATTCCAAACAGCTGTTTTGAAAATTAGGAAACATGGCATTTCAGGATTGTTTTATTCTTCTTTCCCACCCCCCCTTGAGACAGGGTCTCACTCTGTTGCCCAGGCTGGAGTGCAGTGGCATGATCACAACCTCCCAGGCTCAGGTGATTCTCTCACCTCAGCCTTTTGGGTGGCTTGGACTACAGGCATGTGCCCCCAAGCCCAGCTAATTTTTGTATTTTGTGTAGAGACAGGGTTTTGCCATGTTGCTCAGACTGGTTTCGAACTTCAGGGCTCAAGCGTCTTAGCCTCCCAAAGTTCTGGGATCACAGATGTGAGCCACTGTGCTCAGCCTGTTTGAATCTTTAAAATGGAAAAAGGACCTAGGCTTTCATGACCTTGGTTTCATGATCTAGTTATTGGACTGCTTTGGCTAAACATTTTTAGGTATGATTTTGACGGGCAGGTAGTGGCAGTTAACCATGCACAGTCTGCATTTGTAGAATTCCCCTATTTCCCAGAGACATTTAACAGAGGCCAATTGAATTAACCTACAGGTCATGTTATTTTACCACACTCAGGTTTTTGAGATGGAAATTTTTCAATCCCCAACCAGAATTGTTGTTTAGGGCCAAATAGCAATGACTCAATTTTATTTTGGGTCATATTTTTTACTTTTTGTTTTTTAGTTGTGATTATGTCATACATATTATACTTGAAGGCTATTCAAATAGTGGTTTTGTAGACATATAATTAGATAATAACCTATTTACATTATAAAAGGTTTTTATTTTTTATAGTTTACATTTGGGATCCACAATTGTTGACTATATATTCAATTTAACAGAATTATTTTGATTCTGTTCACTTCATTGTAGCAAGAAATGTATAAATGTGTAAAAAATGCACTGGTAGTTACTTTGTGCTAATCTTCAGCTGGAAAAACATACATGTTACTTTGTGCCTTTGCATATTCATTATTCATCATGTTTGTAGTTTCTAACATAATAGCATTGTCAGGCATCATTTCACTTTCTAACACATTGCTGCTACCTCTTAACAAATCAAACTCTCACTTAGGTGTAGAGTATCCCAAGCGTGTTCCAAAGGTGAATGTTGGACTAATAATATGCACTTGACCTTTCAACATGTCTGACTCAATATGATTCCCAAGAATACATTGAATTGTGAAAGCCAGCATCATCTTTCTTAACTATTTAAATTATCATAGTGTTTCATTCGCAACATCTATTTAGTGTTCTTTTTAACCTTCAAGTACAAATGTAAACAAATCAACGTCTGTAGAACTCATGGATGCTAGTCAAAGAAAAGCATGGTTTCTTTTTCCCCTTTTTGCTTAAAGTTTGCCTTTTGGGCTCTTTTCAATGAGAAGTTCTCCTACTCCTTCTTAAGAAGGCAGAGTTTTGACACATGCAACTCAATACTGTGGTGGACCCTTTATCTCTGAAGTGGAAATGTTTTGAGAATTCTCAAGCTGAAGAATCAAAGAAAGCTAAATGATTGAAAGAAGGGAACCATAATGGGAGAAGAGAATCTATGCTAAGGAAGAAGGTGGTAGCAGTTAGGTCTTTAAGAATCACTTCAAAGAACACAACTCTTTCTTCATATTCAGTATTTCCCATCTCAGAGATATTTGGGTCATTATTGAAAATAGTCTTGAGATATTTAAACAGTGAAAGTTGTATAAAATAATGCTGTCTCTAAATATAGGTAGTTTGAGAATTTACTTCACAGCTATCAGTAGACTGCATTAGCACCTGAATTTCTATCCGAAGTCTTATTCCAGATATGTAGACATGATAATGAACTTTAAGAGCTTATATGCATAGGCAGATGAACATGGGACAAATGTAATAAATATGTACTTATGTTTTCCTAAGAAGACTAGCAGGATAATGAGATAAGAGAAATACAGAAATTTCATATTTCTGACATTTAGAACAATTACTGTGAAGTCTGTTGGTACTGTGAGGTAAGACCAAAGTGACATTTTCAAAAATTCTGCCACCAGCAAATGGTCTAATCATACTGGCTTTTAAAAATGCCATGACAGAACCCTTATTCTGAAATATTATTCTTAAACAGAGAAGGTTTTCTTTTGTTCACTGACTTGAGACCTAACCATATAGAAAAAGTCCTCAAAAGACTATTTTTTTAAATATGAAAATTTTAACATAGGGAATAGATTTCTTTTAAAAAAGCATCTCTAGAGGGTAGAGAGGCTTACTGTAACTGAAATAATAAAGTCCCAGATTAAAAGCCTATACTGCTTCCTAGATCTACTGAAATGCACTTAGAGTTTTTAGAGAGAAATTATAATTTCTTGAGATATCAATCGCAAATAATAACAAACAAAATGTTGTGTATTCTCTTTTTTTCTGTCTTCTGATCAATTCTTAATCTACAATAATAGATTTTTTGCATTATTATTTCAACATTTTTTATGTGCCTCTATTACTAAGCCTAGCGTGGTTCTATAGTCTCATTGTGGTAACTGGGTCTGTGATGAAAAAAAATGGATGCGTTTTGATAGTTTGTTTTGTTTATTTTATTTGCACATAATCGGCCTTGTTTTTTTATACCCAGAGTACATTGAAATGCATAAATTATTTGGGATAAATTATTTAAAACAATGTTGGTTGTTACAGAATTTATTGATTGAGGAAGCAAAATCGATACATTGAGCACGAAAGACATAAAGGAGTGACTCCTGGCTCAAAATAGCAGACTAAGCATGTCCCTACTGAGACCCTGTAAAATAGAAGTATAGAAGTCTCATTAGTAAATAACCCCATAATAATAAAGGAAATGGAAAGGAGTGTGTCCAGTGAATATGAGATTACAGCAAATTATTTAAATCAGAAATCAAATGTAGTTCTTTAATCAGTAAAATGTAAGTACCAGACAAAAATAGGCGGCAGGGAGCTACAACGGAGATGACAGCCTCTCTATTAAATAGAATGCCCAGAAGTTTAAGTGAATATCACCTTTTTTTTTTTAATTTAAAGAACCAGAAATAAAAATGTAGAACAAATAAAAGTAATCATGTTCACATCAAACTCAGGGAAGAACTAATGAGAAGGCAGAGAATTAAGCCTTTATGTTTTATACCACAGAGTTATCTAAAAATGAAAATACAAAAAATTGTCAGTACTTGATCTAGAATTTCTAGAAGTAATCTCCAGGACTAGAAATCCTTATATTTGTTAGTTATCTTAATAAAAATGGAAAGCTAAATTAAATCTTAAAAAACAAGGCAGGGAGTGATATAATTCAGATTGTGGAAGGGGCAGTTATTCACCATGTCATGTATACAACAACTTGGATTGATCTCAGAAAGGATGACATCCAGTATCAGACCTAAGTGAGCAACGTAAATTCATCTTGGCTAGAACAGAAGGAGAGGGGTGGTTGGAGAAAAGTAGAATATAAGTTAGTCAGATTAATTATAGCTGATGAAAAGCTTCGAAGGTATCAATATCTGTGTAGTTGTATGACTGTTGGAAGCTAAACTTTCAAATATATGGGAAGTACCTTAGACTTTGGGTCTGTGATTTTAGAATGCCTGTTTTGTTGGAGCCAGCAGATAATGACAGTAAAGTATTGATCAAGCCACTCTTTTCTTTGCCTTCCATCCTATGAAATGGAGCTAATAATACCTGCTTGCCTTCAAATCTCAAGGCTACAGTGAAGATTAATTAAATAAAAGCTGTAAGGCACTTTTAACTCTCCTGCAAATAATTCTTGTAGGTATATATTATTGCCATTAGTTATTCTAGGCATTTCATATTCAACTTGCAAGTTTAAATTATATCAGACATTTCTCCCACAGGCTGATACGCTTTACCAGCAACATGCATACATACACACAGAGAGAGAGAGAGAGAGAGAGAGAGAGTTCTTGTCTATTGAAAACTTAGCAGAAATTACCGTTGTAATTTACTATCTTTATCATCAGGTGCTCAAGAAGGAGACAATTTTTTAATATCTGGGAAAAATCAGTATAGGAAGTCCAAAGTCAGCAGAGTAGCTGAGTTAGTGTCAGATTAGTGGAGAAGATGCTAATAGATGATGGCACACCTCCATAAAAGGACTGTAAAGGTCGTGTTCTCTGAGAATTGAACAGTGCTGAACTGTGTGCCATCTTTTCTTATATTTAATTACATGACAAGTGTTTATTGAATGCCTTGTATGTGTAAGGCATGTCAGGGAACAAACCAGACAGCCTGAAGCTGATATTGTCTTAAGGTTCAAGTTTTTAGATATAGCAAATTCTTCACATGATACTTCTAGCTTAAAAGGAAATCACATTGATTTTCGTTTGTTCACCATGATCTGCCTATTTTAAAATGTTTACAGCTTATGCATCAAGATTTCTTAAAATCCAAAAATATAGGTTAAATATTGCTTATTCAAAACGCTTGGGACCAGAAGTACTTCAGAGTTCCAGTTTTTTTTTTTTTTTTTTTTTTTTTTTTTTAACTATTTGTATGATCCTTACCTTTTGGGCATCCCAAATCCAAAAAATTGAGATCTGAAATGCTCTAGTGAGCATTTCCCTTTAGCATTATGTTGGCACTCAGAAGGTTTCAGATTTTTTTGAGCATTTCAGATTTTTGGATTGGGGATACTGAACCTGTAATAAATATATTTTGCCTTGTAAGTTTGTAATATCAATCTGTCACCTCCTCCAGGAAGTCCTTCATGATTTCTTGAGCCATATTCAATTCTCTGTTTATTCTAATCTCTTATATCCCATATTGTTAGTTTCATACCTTACAACACTGATTATATTTAGTTTTATAATTTATTATAAACTGTATAATAAAAGTCATATTTTAAAAAATTTTCTTATTGTATTATATGTAAGTATTGTCTCTAGAAGACTAAGAAACTTGGGATCAAGAACAATGACAAGATTTAAACTGCAGCAGGTCTACCCACTTGCCTGGAGAATAGTTGTTATTATATCACAACTAACATGTATTGAACATTGCCTCCAAGGCTCAATTCTTAAGTGTATTCCGTAAGACTAACTCTTAATCCTTGTAACAATTTTGTGAGTTAAGTCTTATTTACCTTATAAGTAAATATTTACCATTAGGTGAGGAAACAGAGGCAGAGAAGGGTAAAGTAACAGCCCACGATGGTGAGGCTACAAAGTGGCAGAACTGGGATTCCAACGCCGGAGGACTAGCTTCAGTCTTCTTGCAGCACGCAGGGGCCTTGGTGATTCAGCCTCTGACAATCCAACCTTAGCTCTGGCCACTTCTCCTGTGTCCTGTGTCCTGTGTCCTGTGCTGCACCCTTACTGAAGCTCATCACTGCCAGAGCAGGGGCATTTTGTGAGTGCTTTCTGGGGCCAGGCACTGTGTTCACAGTTGACATTGAGTATCTCATTCTCTCAAGAACCCTCTGAGGCTGGTTTATTATTTTCCCCATTTTGTAAATGAGGAAACTAGGTCAGAGAGGTGAAATAACTTCTCAAAGGTCGTAGAATGAGGAATTCATAATACTAGAATTACACCCACATTGTTTTTCATTAAATGATGAGATAGGCAAAAATCTGAGACACAGAAAGGTTGAATTTTACCAATATTTGTTGGATAAAGGAATGATTATGTCCACATCTTAAATGCTGAGTTTTTAACAATTTTAAACAAATACAGATTTAAATAAAATGGAAACTTTTCACTTTCTTTATTCTAATTTCTAACATCAATGAAATGAGGCTATTTATATGTTCCTGCTTGTTGGTGTATTTGAATTAATTAGATATGTGCCTCCTTTAGGCTGCTAAATTTGACTATTCCAGAATACTTTAATCCATTGAATTCCAAACTCCTTGCCCCAGTTCCTACCTGAACCTCATCAAAACTTTTATTCCCTTCTCATAGTTTTATAGCTTACTTTATTTAAATTCTACACTGAAAAGGAAATGGGCTCTCTGAGCTTCCTCTTTTCTTGGGTGGCTCCCCCTTTATGTCACTCTTCACTGCCCACTTTGGCTGGACCTGCCCATCCAAATCCAATGGTAGAACCCAGCCTCTACCATCTGTCCACTGTGGGGCTCAAGCCCAGATAATTGGGTCCTTTTACCCAGCTTGATTGACAAATCACACATCCTCCGTAAGTCCCTAAGCTGCGTTGATGAAATTGAGTATGCTCGTTGGGCTCTCAGAGATGAAGGCAAAGGTAGAGTGGAAGGTGGGCAGAAAGAGAGCTGGGCTCGAAAGAGAAGGGTGGAGAGCAGGAAGATAAAGGAGGCATCCTTCACAAGAGAGGTGTGGTTATTGTCAATTAGGTGGTTGTTGGAGAGCACATTGATGTACACTGTTGCATTTTATTCTCACAGTTTACTGTGAAGAAGGCAAGTAGACAGAGTGGCATTGTACCTACTTTATCAAATGAGGAAACTGAGGCAGAAAGGTGATCGGAGTTATCTCAATTGCTACTGCAGTTATTTTTACAACTGGCCTGGAGTCTGTTCTGGACTTTCATACTAGTGCTCAGCCACACAGATTATAATGTTAGGAGAACTTGACTCATGGGGTAAAATCCATACTCCAGCAGCCCTGATGCCCTGAGTAAAACCAAGGATGTGTTCTTCCATTTAGCCAGATGACTCGACATGTATTCTGCTTGTGGGAGAGCTCAACTCTATGTGGTGCTGTTGGGTTATGCCCCCCGTGGCGGCCCAGGACTCTTCTCAGATGTAGTGCACCGCTTGTGTCAGGTAGCCGAGTGCAGTGCGTTAGTAACCAGCTTCTCCTTTAACTCTCAGATGGAATCCTCTACCCCAAAACCATCTCTTCTCATAAAAGACACTCACTGCCTCCTTCCAAACCTCCTTCCATCTCTCAAATTTCCTCTTTCAGTGAAAGCTTTAACTTACCTTGGAAACACAGGCATTGTGTTTCTGACCCCTTTCCCTCAGCTCTGACATCTTTCCAGACAATTACTGAAGCCTGGCAGTTACCATCTTTGATTCAGTTGGAGTCTCACATCTCAAATGGCTTATTTCCTTAATCTTCTAATTAGCCTCCTGCCTCCAGTCATCCCCAGACAGCGTCACCCTGCACTCCACTGACAGAATTACCTGACTACACATCTCTCTGACTGAAAATCTTGGCTGGCTCCTCACTGCCTCCAGCCCAATTTTCAAACTTCTTCATGTAGAATTCAGATTCTCCCACTATACTCCAATGCATCTTATTCTTCAGCCACACTGAGAAAGTCACTCTCTCAAACACACTGTGTTCTTACCTTCATACTTTCCCACCTCCTGTTACCGTATCATTTCTACACTTGTGAGAGAACTGGTTTTCCTAAGGTGTATCTTAGATGTTATCTATCTTCCACCTGTTCCCACACAGAGTGAAGGCTGCCTCTCCGTCCTCCTGTAGACCTTGTAATATTCTACCATTATGCACTTACATTTTTGTATATGATGTTGCTGTCCCCTGCATATGAGTTGCAAGCAACTAAGGCTTAGGCACATTTCCTTTGGTCATCATTTTATTCCCTAACACATACTAGATACAAGTAGAATACAAGCTTCTTGAAAGTAGCAGTCTTTGTGTCTGGCATGTCATAGGTGCCTATTAAATATTTGTTGAATGAGTGAGTAATCAATAAATGTTTGAATTAGCAAGGGTAGGAACGTATGGCTCAGATACTACCAGTGCAATACTCCTTTTGTTGACCGTGTGTTCATGCCGGCAGTGCATGGTTGTGGTCCTGTGTTTTGCAAAGTAAGGACAGGCTCATGATAACAACCTAGCTTTCCACACTACTCACAATGCATGTAACTGGCTTGATCTTGTTTTATATCAGGAGGCCAGTTCACTTTTTTATGTATTCAATTTCACTATGTGAATTGCTCCTGTGAAAAAAACTGCATTATTGTAATTCTTAATTATACTAATCACTCCCCTTCCATGGTTATTGAGAATTATAACTAAATCAAAGAGAGGATTGAATTTGGGGAAATCAAATGAATATGTACTTAACAAAAATCCCGTTAGCTATTTTTGTTTTTGGGCATATAGCAACACCTAGTGGCTTTATCGATTATTTCAGAGACTATTTCTAGAAACAGCTTCTTGGGTTTTTTTCTCCCTTATTAAATAACCACTACTTATTTAATATTTTTTCTTTCCTCTTAATTAACGAACAAATATCTTTGACTATTTTGTATTTAGAAAGTAAACTGGCTCTAGCATAGGAATAGATATTACAGAATTGATGTTTATCCATAAAAAGTGTGGCCCACCTAATAAAAATAAGTGAAGTACTTTAAATGCAGACATCACAATGATATGGCACAATATTTTAAACATTTCACAACATCTAGAACCTTCTGAATAATGACATTACTCAAATGGGAGCCTTTTGTGGGAAGTATTCTCTCCCTTTTATATAGATAGAATTTCTTATTTCTTTATCAAATTCATGTGTAGATCAGTGTATCCACAGATATATACATTTTATGGGTTGCCTTACTTATCAAGTACTCAATAATGAATTCTTCATATTTATATTTGCCATGTCATTGAACCATTTTTATATTTTGAGATTTTAGATCCCCAGAAGAAATATGTCTAACCTGTATCACACAGATTTCTGCCTTCTTAATAAATGATATATTTTACAATTTTTCTTACGTTGACAACTTAGAATTATAGTTGTAAATAATTATTGCATTGAGCTGATGCCTTCTTGAGAAATTTGGGGGCTGTTTTCCCTATTCAATTTGTTTTAGACAGACTCTAGTGCTTTATGAAACATTTGTATCTGTTCTTTACAGCTTTTCTGTCTTCTCCTTCTGTCTTATCCTGCTGCTGGCATTGTTTCTTTCCTTCCCAACCCTCCTTTTTCTTTTTTTTTTTTGTCGGCCCTCTTGGCCCCTTCTGATACGCTGCCTCTATTCTTTTGTGGACTAGAGGGTCAGCTAACCAAGTCAGCTAACTACATAGCTTAGTACTCTCCCAATTCTCCTGGCTCCTAATTTTGTGCTGTTTCCACTATACTATACTGAAGATGTATGCTAAATCCGTAATGCTTTAAAGTAAGAATAACTAGGTTTTAAGAGAGGACATGGTCCACTAGAGTAAAATCCACAGCATTAGTGATTCTATTACTGTTATTTTAGCCATTGGATAGCATTTGTTGTACTCCTGGCCAGGTCACTGAGATTCTTCCTATTCACATACATATGGAGAGAATTAAGTTAATAGATATTCATTGTGCCACCCCCTCTTTGTCAGGAGCATGATAAGCACAAACATGTGTAGACTTATTTGATTGCATGCTAAAATTGACAAACCATGTACAGGATTATAGATGCCTTCATAATTATGTGTTCATATAGGAAGTTTTATATAAGACCATCCATCCTAAAGATTTGCAAACAGTATTATTGAACTTTTAAACTTTCTGACTTGATGTGTTGTCGTGGCCAAATAATCTATAAATGACACTTAAAAGAAAGTTGAATTTTCTTCATGCTGTTAATGTGAACTCTAAGCCATAGGGTAATTTACCTCCTCATAAATGGTCACTATTTCTTGTGAATTGTGGGATCTGAAATAAGCATGTATGTCATATAGACTTTATGCAGTGGAGCAACTCTAAATAATAATACGTTTAATTCCAAATATATTTTATAGATTTCTGTCTTATGCACACCTGTTTTATTAAAGTTTTATGAAGACATTTTATAATTTTCAAAAAGTCCTAAGCTTGAATGTAAGTAAAATTTTGATTATTTACCAAATAATCTAGGAGCCAAAAATATATTTTTTGATAAAGCAGAGAAGTTGATTTTTTTAAAATACCTCTAAATTATAAAGATATATTTTGTTCTGGTATTCCTACCAATAAAGGAGTTCTCAATTTTTTGTGGCTACGAATTTCAGGATTTGTTGGCCTTTTTAATTCATTTTGTGTCTCCTTGGTGGGACATTTGGCACAGCATATCAAATAGTGACAATAAGAGAGTCAGGCTTTGCAGCCAAACCACAGGTGGCAAATTAATAAAAGCTTCTGCACCTTCACTAATGTGCTTATCTCTGGGAGAAGGTGACCATTACTCTTTAAAATCCAAAGGTGACAATTAAAATTTCAAATGTTTGCTCCTGCCCAGTGGCCTGTGACATTGTTAGAGAAACACGTCCTCAATGTCTTAAGAGGGTCAGTGAGAAACTGTTTTTAGGAGCATAATCTGGGTAACTAGTAGCTCTTTCCATAGGATTTATCCATCAAATATAATCACATGCAGCTATTAAAATTACACTAGAGAAGACTTAGTGATGCAGAAAAATTAATATTAAAGTTTTTTTAAAAAAGAACATTCTGTAACTGTGGTAGAATATTCTATTTTTGTTAAAAAATTACACAACTGGAAGAATATATAAGAGTATTAACAGTACTTATCTTTGGGAGGTAACATTGTAGGTGATTTTTCTTCTTTGTTTTAGTGGTTTTTTTTTTTTTTTTTTTTTTTTTCAGATTTTTAACAGTGAACTTGGATTATTTTGTAATCAGAAAACAAGTTATTAAAAAGTATTTGTAACTTTCATTTTTTTCTTTAAAGTGAAAGATTATTTTTCCCCCTAGACTCTCTAACTTCATTATTCAGGAAAAGTGGGAAGGAATCACACTGAATTGGGGTTAAGAGAACTGTTGTCAGCTTTCATTAGTTCACTCCACAAATACTTGTTGAGTATCTACATTGTGCCCAGGCAGTGTTGGGGATAATGCATTAAATAAAGTCTCTGGGAGAGGATGTACAATAAATAAATATTTACATCTTGTGGTGATCAGTGTTTAATAAAGATGGGATTTTTTAGCATTGGGAGAGGAAGTGTCAAAGTTTCTTCCTCTTTGAAAAGTGAGAGGTTTAGATCACAGGAATAATGAAATCCTTCCCTCTCTAACATTCTAAGCTTCCTATGACTTTTGAATAACAGTTGACTACCAAAGCAGTTGTCACAAAGCAAATGCAAAAGTGGGTCAATGTTAGCATTGAGATAAAAGAGGAAATGTATATCCTGAGAAAAATACTTGATTAAAAAGTGATGTTTCTGTAACTGTTGTTGATAATAAAGATCGCAAATGAAGATAGAGCATTAAATGTTTACCTAACACAGTAAATAGTACAAAAGAAAATATGATATCTTTCTTTGTTTCAGGTATCCTCTGGCACATGCAGGCCTGATGTTTCAGAATCTCCTGAATTACGTCAGAAGTCACCATTGTTTCAGTTTGCCGAGGTAATATATTACAATTGATACTTAACTAATGAGGAAATTGTAAAGTGGGCTTAAATTGGGGCTGATAACAGTAACTGAAAGCAATGAAGAACTCTACTCAGCTCAACCATAAGTGGGAAAATAGAATCAAATTTTGGAAAAGATATTTTGGGTCTCTAGAGTTCTTAATTAAGAAATAACTACATTTATGCGTTTATAGAAGCTTATCATTAAAGTCATACTAAATATTATTAACCTCATTACTAATTTTTACTCATGGATAGTAAGGTTAAGAATATATTGAATTACTATTAGAATTTAGTCATTTGTTGATGTGTTTATTTGATAAAACAGAAGACAAAATCAGCTCATGGTTATTGGCTATGCAGCTAATCTATGCATTTCTTTTTCTTTTCTTTTTTTAGTGCACTTTCATCTTAATTGAAACTTTAGCATGAGGTTGGCAGTTTTCAAAGTCTTCTTTTGTCAGACTTGTTCAGCTCAATAGGTCTCTTGACACTGGTTCAAAGAGATGGTGTATAAAAGCACATTGTCCTTGATATCAAGTCTAAAGTTTAAGACTGCTCAGAATATCTTAATTTACTCTGGAACTCAATATGAGCCCTCACTGATACATTTTTTTCTTAAACTTTAAGCCACCTGGTCTTTCCTTGATCATTTGAATTGTCTTTGACTACACATTCTTCACCACTGTCATCCTTCCTGGTGTTTGCCCAACTGTTTTACAGTTTTATACAGGGGGAACATTTTTTGTTTTTTATTTTTTTTTAAGAGAGAGTCTCAATCTGTCATCCAGGCTAGAGTGCAGCAGCATGATCATAGCTCATTGTAACCTGAAACTCCTGGGCTCAAGGGATCCGCTTGTCTCAGCCTCCTGATAGCTAGGACTGCAGGCACATGCCACCATGCCCAACTAATTTTTTTTTTTAAACAGGGTCTCACTATGTTGCCCAGGCTGTTCTTGAATTAGTGATCTCAGGCGATCGTCCCACCTCAGCCCGTCAGAGTACTGGATTACAGGGCATGAGCCACCATGCTCAGCCTGCACTCTTTTTTGTCAAAAGCAGTTATAAACATGTTAAATAAGATTGGTCCCAACTTTGAAAGCAGAACGGCTTAAGAGATGATCCTTGAACCTCTAAAGATCTAATGATACCTCTAAAATTTCACAGGAAATTTTGGATATGTTAGCATGTGTACATTTTTGTGGCTTCTAACAGCATATCTAAGATCCAGAGAGATCCCTGATCCTATTGCTTTTATATAAAAGGTCTCTATCTCCAGGAGCTCCTATTTATGTTATTAATTGAAATCTTTATCTTAATTTATAATAACATCCCCCTCCCCCTTTTTTTAGAACTTCTGAGATACTTTTCACAAAATTGGATGGATTGTAACACTGGTTCTATTTTGTTCACTGCTTGATTTAATTCTTAAAGGAATATATTGTATTTAGGTATAACCTACAATATTTGTGTATTTCCCCTTATATAAATTGTTTATTTTTTTCTAACTTTTATAGAGGGTTGGTAGGGATGAAAAGTGATGTCTGAAATAAGTTGTACTGAGTTTATAATTCCTAAGATTACAGGAAGATTTCTCTGGGTTCATTTTTGCATTCTGTCATACTTGCACATGGTGGTCACTTGAAATGATAAGATTCATGGTTTGACCAAGAAAAGTTCTAAAATTTTATCCTTGAATGTCTTCAGAACACTTGGTTAGATCTTACAATGGATAAAATGGTTTATTTCTACCTAGTTTGTTAAATTGGATTTGGTTGATATTTGTTCTTCTTACTGATATTTATTCTAAAAATCCTTATCAGATTAAAAAGCACAGTAGAATGAAATTTTCCTGATGGCTTCAGCAGTGAATACAATTAATTACTCAGTCAGTCTCTCTACTAATTTTTTTTTTTTAATTTTGAGACAAGGTCTTGCTATGTTACCCAGGCTTGTCTTAAACTCCTGGGCTCAAGTGCTCCTCCCACCTAGCCTCCCAAAGTGCTGGGATTACAGATGTGAGCCACACTATGCCAGCCTCCTGATTCTTTCCCATTCCTAAACATCACTTTTATATGTATAACTACGTGGCCCTGTTGTTTTTCTAACCAGTTTAACTAAAACGAAAAAGCAGTTTTTGTGATGAAAGAGTTTTGATGAAGTGGATTTACTGCTTAGTAAGTACCCTTTGATGGAGTTGTTGGTGAACAGTTACTTGAAGGAAAGACTTGTGGGATTGGGAATGGGCTGAAGTTATTATGATGCCCAGGCTTTCTGCTCCTGTGACCCACTTTTACCCTGTATTATAGCTGAAAAAAAGTTTTTTTCACTTTGGAACCAAAATTACTAACTCACCTTGCTCCCAAAATGTCCTTGAAAAGTATTTCCACATGTTCCTCTGAGCAAAGTTGAAGAAAGCTACCATAATTGCCAACTGGAAACAAAAGGTCCCCTAGTTGAATCAAGTGTAGGGTGGCAGACTCTTCCATTCATTGTCACACACTAACGTGTGAGTGTGTGTGTGTGTGTGTGTGTTTGTGTTGGGTGGGAGGACGCAGGTGCTATGAAAGAAGAAAATGCTTTTCATATTTAGTAAACAATTTATTGAGTTCTGGTGCCATGCTAGGTAACATCTTTTATGGCTTATTTTTTTTCACCATAATCCTCTAAAATGCAGATTATTATCATCATCATCAATTTACAGTGGTGAAAAATAAGTCTTAGAAAGTTTAGCTGAGCTGGCCAAGGTCATGTTGTGGGTAAGTAGCAGAGCTGAGATTCAGTCTCCCAGATACCCTGACCCATATCCATATGCTTCACCAACACTGCATCACAGCTGCCTCTAACTAGAGAACAGCTTGGAAGGAGTGGTATTGGGAAGAGAGTGAGGGAGTGGCTTCACTTGCAACCTCCAGCTTTTAACAATATACATTTTTTCCTTTTTTTTTTTTTAAGTAAGGAAATTTATGTCAACAGGTCTCCTTAACTGCTGTTTGATATATACCTGGTACCCTTACCAAAGACATGGCAAATGAGCCATACTCAGTCTTTGTTCTTTATAATCATCTGTTTTTAGAAACATGGCCTTTGTCTTCCCTTATCATTTATACTGCTCTTCTAAAGGGATTGAGGGTAATGACTCATTTTTAAATCTTTATCAGTGTCTACAGTTGAAAATATATGGCAGAATCTTATGATCTGATGTGGAAAAATGTCATTGTATATTAAAAATTGCTTGTTTCCTTTCAGATATCTTCAAGTACGTCCCACTCTGATGCTTCTACAAAGCAGTGTCAAACATCTGCCTTGTTTCAGTTTGCAGAGGTATGGCCTTTTTAAAATGCTTTTTAGGCTAAGAAAACTTGTTGAGCTCAGGAATACTGGAATGGAGTTTTAATAATGTATAGTGAACTTTAGGCATGCCTGTTGTCATTATTAACATAATACACATAACAGAATATTTATTGCTTTTTCTGCTGCCTTTGATCTAATCATAGTCAAATCAGCTCCCGATTTTACACCCATTTTATAAGTATTCATTAAAGAGTTCATTCAGAATACCAGTAATGTGTTTATTTCATTTTATCTTGTTTTTAATTTATTTTAAAAGCTTGGAAAAACTGCTGTCAACAAGAATGTCAGAGGCTTTCGATTTATTAAATTTTTCCAATAGTGAAATTAGATGCTATAATTCATGAATGACTCTCTCACAGTGATTGCAGTGGTGAATACGACCTGTTAAATCAGGTTAAATTAGCTTTCAATGTGATGTAGCTTCAGCCAGTATTTTTATTAGTATTTAATCCCAGGCTCAGATCAGATCAGCTTTTGTAAGATCTCAGACTTCCTTGGTTTGTCAGCCGAAGAGAGCACACACCAGAGGGTAATTTTTTTGGTTGGTGTGCTGCAGAGACAAATCTGATATTCTTGATTTTGCCACAGGAGCCCTGGCCTCAACCATATGCTCATTTCTAATGAGCACTATATGACAAATAATAAAACGTATACAGTTTATGAAAATAAGATGCTATCTGCTTTAGGTCTTTTCTTTTTTCCCTTTTTATCCCAACTAAAAAATGCATGTCATAAACCAACAATTTTTATAGGGTTGAGAGAAAATGACAAGCAGGACTGTGCTGTTTAATATTGATGTATTGAATCACTTTGATTCATTTGAATAAAGAATACTGCATAAATGGAATATAAAATGATATCCTTTTGGCAGAAGAAAACCTAGCATCTTACTTTGAAAATGAGAAAAAAATACTTTTGGCTCTTACATTAAAAAAAAAAAGCTGTTTCCTCTTGGGACAACTCGTGTCAACTACTATGACTTTATACCATCGGTTGGCCTGCTTATGTATTAGGCTTCCCTGCCATAGTATTTGCTTAGCTGCTGAGGGCTATTGTATAAAATTGGTAACAAAAATATATAATGTTATTTCATGAAGAATAATTTGCTTAATTAAACTGAATAAATTAAGATTTTGTTACAGTTTTCCATTATAATAAGCAAAATGTTATTTTCACTGTCTAGGGGAAGTAGATAATAATTGTTAATAATACTTTCTTGCTTTTCTCCAGTTGTTGATGCCCATTGATTCTTCAGAGTTAAAAAGGAATTTTGCCATATTGACTAAATTTATTTTTAATGTTGATGTCTGAGCCAGTTCTATCTAACTTTTCAGAAACATTTTTTTCAAAACAATTGATTTGCCATGTATTCTGTTTGATTAAATTCTATACTGCATAGCAGGAATATTAGAAAGGTAGCGGCTCATCTTTGACACACCTGATATTTACATATCCATTGACTACCAAGAGTATTCAGCTTAACTTAAAATACCAGTATGGAATATCTCAGCTGATGCTGGTTCTAACCGTTATCACCGCTCAGCATATGATTCAGTGTATGACCTCTTTTTTTTTTTTTTTGAGATGGAGTTTCGCCCTCATTACCTAGGCTGGAGTGCAGTGGTGCAATCTCGGCTCACTGCAACCTCCACCTCCCAGGTTCAAGCGATTCTCCTGCCTCAGCCTCCTGAGTAGCTGGGATTACAGGTGTCCACCACCACGCCCGGCTAATTTTTGTATTTTTAGTAGAGACGGGATTTCGCCATGTTGGCCAGGCTGGTCACGAACTCCTGACCTCAGGTGATCCGCCCGCCTCGGCCTTCCAAAATGCTGGGATTACAGGTGTGAGCCATCGTGCCTGGCCATGATTGTTATTTTAGCACCACTATCATCAGATTCATTAGGAGCTCCTGAAGCACTGGGGACAGCTCTAAGGGACTGGTTTGGTGGTGTAATAGCCACCATCCTGTGATTCTGCAGGATGAGATCCCATGCCTTTCATAAACTAATTTGTCCTTGCTGCTCCGTACACTAATTCTTGAATGAGATTTGGTCCTTGCCTCTTAATTATACTAAGTTTTCTTCTAGAGAAGAAAAGAACTTCTTACTTGGAGGAGAGAGTCATGCAGGGTGTCATTCCCAGAGGTTGCCCCTCTGCTCTACAGCACTCATCTCCTGAGGACTCTTGGGGTTTTTAGCTATAAAGTATATGCAGGATTTGAGGAGCCTTTTAAAAAATTATTAATTTGAAAACTTATTAGGAGTTGTTTCAAAATATAGGAAGGCATGTATGACAGAAAGACCAAAATAAAATGGATAGTGTAAAAATATATTATTTTCTGTTTTGCCCTAGAATGAGATGTAGTCCCTACAAGATATAACTTTTCCTAGTTATATTTTGTAACCATTGGTAATAGCCCTAGTTCCTCAGCAAGTTAAATTATTGTATCTTTGGTTATTTAGCTGTAAATGTTATATGTGTTTATACAAGAGTAGTTCATGGTTCTCAAAGGATACATAACCTCTCTCGTCACTTTCCTCCTCTGACCCAGCAGTACCCTAACTTTCAATCTTTAACATCTTACAATCTGACCATATTGTCAGACTAATACTGGGCTGGTTTTATTTAAGGCTAAATAAGAGCTAACTAGATGAACTAAGAAAAATATCTACTAAAATCTGCTATGAGCATATGTATTGCAACAGAAATAGAATAGGCTCTAATTACTCACTGCGATATCCCTAAAGCTCTTAGAATTATTTCATAAAACACCATCACCTTTGAGAAAATCCAAAGATTCTTGAAATTCTTGTTTTAATTAGTCAAAAGCAAAGGTTCTCAAACTTTACAATACATCACAGTCACCTAGAAGGCTGTTTACACACAGATTGCTGGGCCCCGCCACCAAAGCTTCTGACTGATTAAATCTGGTGTTGGGCCTGAGAATTTGCATTTTGAACAAGTTTCCTATTAGAGAACCACAGTTTGAGACCACTGCTCTATAGTTATGTGTTTTTTAAAAAACACCAAATTATTAAATCATTATTGTTAAGGCATTTATTAATATTTCTGGAACTTCACGGTGGAAGGGTCAAGAGAGGAAGGGATTGATGTATAAAAGAAAATTACTGAGTGGAAAGCTTTATATCCCTGTCTCTTTTCAGAGGGATTCCTGGTCCTATTATATACACTTAAAGAGAAGTGGGTGTTTATGTAATCTAGGAAACAATTTACTCTTTAAAAGTATTTAGCTTTGTAGTATCATTTTAAGATCAGGCGTGCAAAATTCTCAGAAACTATTTCCGTTCATTTTATTTACAAACTCTTTTAACACTGGGAAAAAGTTAACTAGATTTTCTCTTGAAAATGGGTCATTTATCGTGTAAAATATTTATCTTAGAAACATACTTTTAACAGTAAACCCTGGTGATTTCTTTAAGTCGAAAATGTTTTGTTTGTTTTGATTTTTTTTCATTGAGTCCTGGATCTCTTCCCTGCAAGATGAGAAAGATATTTTTCCTTCTTAACCAAATCTGATCATTGAAAAGCTCATTGAAATTAATCTATGTGGAGCCATGAAACTGAATAAAGCATATTTGTTTGTAGGTGCCTCATAAATGTTTACATTTAAGAGAAGAAAAATCAGGATTTAAAAAGAAATACAGACTGCAGGGACAGTTTCTCACTCACCACCCCCAATTTCAGCCTGTCTCCCATTCCAAGGTGAGACTCATATTTCATCCAGAGTCAGCTTGGCCCATCCAAAGTGCCATCTACTCTGTGTTTCCAGGCTCCGATCCATTAAGTTGGTCAGAATGAATTTCCTATCTGTGTCTTCTGTTGTTTACAGGTAGAGTGACACATCAGTTACTTTTTAGGTCTGGTTTACCAAAGACTAATGACCAGATATAATGTCAGAAGGGAACTGTTGTCTTTAATTATTTAACAGGCCTAAAAGCCATGACCAATCCACATATTCTCTGATCTGCTCTGTGGCTCACTCTTACACCTAGAGTATATCTTTGCATTGAAAAATTATATTTACCTTGAAGACACAGCTAATCTGGGTGATTTAGATAGATTTGGACTTTAAAACTTCCCTTAGAAGATATTTGCTTTGCCTATATAAATATAACTATAATCTCACCAAAATTAAAATATTGTCACCATTGGATATAAGCAATAGGTACAAATTTAATGCATTTATTTTCATGAGGGAATGCTCAGTTTGTTACACTATATTACAGTTGATTAAAAACACCATATACTTACACTGTAACTAATCAGTGGATGTATTTTGTGTTTTATTGGAAGCACTAATATTTCTTTTTAGATAAGAAAGGTAAGGTAAAGAAGGCCTTATTTGTTCTTTGACTCATTTATTCATTCAACAATTATCAGTCATTTTCTCCCAAGCTACAATATTTACAATACCGTCATAATTGCAAGACTTCCACCATTACCTAATTTGATTCTCATCTTTACCACCTGTTTGCTCACCCACCTCAGACAGCCATAAAATTAGCAATTTAACATCCAGGGTGATCATTTTTCTTAGCACTTTAGCTGTACCTCATGTACTGTTGCACCCACCCTGTAGCTAGACTTTATGGATGAATACTGTTTATCCAAACATTACATAATAGTCAAGAGAGACTACAGTGGAATTAACTTATTGGCAAGCCCTATCCAATTTGAGGAAAATAAGAAGCATACCCATGAACATCCTATGCCGTATGGCCCACTAGTGCCCTCTACCTACCAACCTAGCAAACACACACTTCCCTCCATAGCTGACCAGTCATTGGAAAACAGATGTTAACTATATTGTTCGTATCTGAAAGGATGTATATATCTCTTAGGTAGAACAGCATGGGCAGGAGTGAACAGTAATATAACAAATCATTATTATATCAGCTATGCTTGAAATTGAAGCCATCAGCATAGATGAGATTACTGAGAGAGGGTCCTAAGACAAAACACTGAGGAAAAACATTGAAGGGATTATTATGGAAAGAAGAGCCAGCAAAGAAGAACCACAAGGAGTGGCCTGAGACATAGGAGGAAAGCAAGGACCCTGCAATAACAGAAGGGCAGGAAGGAGTTTTTCTAAAGAAAGACTAGCACTGTCAAATGCTGCAAAGAAATTAAGATAAGGACCAAGCCATGGAAATTAACGTATGCCCAGTTTTCCACCCTTCCTTCCCTCAAATTAAGAAGTTTTTGATTTAACTTTTAGAAATCGTATCTCACACTAAGTAATGCCATAAAAATGTTACTGTTAGGAGATCCTGGAAATGTTGGGCCACTAAAATATGTTGAACCTCCCCCCACACATGCCCTTTTGGGAATCAGGCTTCCAGCAACCTTGAGCATTTAAAATGCTTCCCTGTACCTGTAAACAGGTAAAAATCCTCCCAGAGGCAATAAGGAAAACTGTTCTTACTAAACCTAAGGAGAGCATTCTCAAGCCTCCTCTCTGACAGCTTTGCTTTAACTCTAAAGGCAGGTAGTGCATCCATGCAGTCAGTCATTCATGAGCCTCTCAGTGTGCCATGCACTGCATTAGGCACAGGATATGTGGGAGTGACACACACGGGGAACAAAAACCTGCAGTGACAAAAGCAACAGCAGAGGGAGCCAGTGGAAGAAACAGAAAAACAGCATGGGTGTGAAGTGCAGTGCTACGCAGCTTGTGGTCCTTCAGTAATTCTTGAGCATGTCATGGGATTATGTGACAAATTTAGTGCTCTGCAAATTACTAAATTTAATAAATATCCACACACACTGCTATTTTTAATTCTGTTCAATTTCAGTGTTTAAGTAATTTTTGGAATTGTACCAAAAAGGTGTTTATGTTTATTAAGTGTTAAAGATAAATCATTATTAGTAATAATTGGGCCATTTATTGAGAGCATAATATCTCTTCAGCACTGCCCTACACTAGCATCACACCTAATCTTCACAGCATAATTGCGGGCAGGTATTACTGTTCATATTTTGAAGGTAAGGTAAATGAGGCTCAAAATCTTATTTGCTTAAGTCCACACAGCAGCAAGTAATGAAAGCATGCCTGTGTGGCACAAAGGCCATATTCTTTCTATTATAGAGCGTTGATTCAAGGCACTGGCATTTATGTTCAGTCCTTCATTCCCTGAAGCACTGAGAGCCGGTGGTATTAATGTGTTTGTTTTCTCTTAGTCTCCTGATAAGGTGAGTAATTGAATTCAGCATGTCTAGAAAAGGTAGAAGTAGCATTTATCAGTGAAAATTCGGCCAGAAGAAAATATTCCAAACTTCAGAAAGTTTGAGCCCCATAAATGTATCTTCTAAAGGAAAAGTAAATGATAGAGATGAATAGAAAAGCACTCTGTTAAAACTGATAACACCCAGGAGGAAAGAGTCCTCATAACTTCCTTAAGCTAGGCCCTTTTTAATAGCCTAGGTAGGCCATTATTAAATACATGCTTCTACAAAGGCCTGTTATTCAGCAAGTATTCTAGGGAAAATTTCTTCTAGCATGAAGCACCCAGTCCCTCCTGGAGCTAACAACTTCGTAGAATCACCTGTGGGATCTGTGGTCACCTTTAAGGATATAGTCACAAGCAGGATTACCTACTAAATGGAAATAAGAAATAGCTCTGTTTTTAACTGAGAAAGAATTCAGAATCACAAAGAATCTAAAAATCTTAGACTATAGCTATCTACTCTAACAATGACAGAACTTCAGGTGAAGATGCTTGTAAATGTCTTTAAGAATGTATGTCCTTCTCAGCTCTTATTGAGGCTAGAAATGGAAAATGAAGTTTTTATTTAAAAAATGAGAAAAGGCAGTGTTGTTTATTTTTATCAATGCCCAGCCACTTTTTAGCCAAATTTGCAGAAGAGGATGCAGTCAATGTTAATGTTGTACATATGTTATGTACTGCAACACAGCATAGGCCATTAACTGTACAACTCAGATTTGTGGCCTTGATTATCAGTCTTTGCATGTACATTAAAGCATACTCTGAAAGCCAGGGTCAGTGTTTTATATAAAACTCTTAGATTCCTAAGCTGCTGTCATATGGCCTTGCACATATATATTGGATTCTAAACAAAATTTGTTGACTGACTTGATGCTGTCTTTCCACAGAGATCCCAGATATATTCTTCAAAAAAATTGTTTGGTAAATGCAAAATAACTCTAAATCTCTTTTATATTTGACTAGTTATTAAGTTAGTACTTAAGTAGAAATTGAAATGCATTTCTCACTTTAAGGTTACAGAGTTAAATTTAAAGCCTAGAATATCCAAGATAATATTCTTACTGTTAAACAGCCATACCTACTTTTGTTATTATTTTTGAGGTCATTTACTAAAAATGGTTCTCAAAATGATCATCCCAAATGTGACATGTTTTGTTACTTGGTACATGGGAGCAATGATACTCTCGTAACTAAGAAAAATTCCTGAATGTATATGAATGAGAAGCAAAGATTCTGGTATCACAACTAATATTCCCTATTTGGATTGTCTTTAATATAGATTTCTTCAAACACTTCGCAGTTGGGTGGTGCTGAGCCTGTAAAACGCTGTGGAAAGTCTGCACTCTTTCAACTGGCAGAGGCAAGTTCCTAAGAATATATTGAGATAAGATCTGCAGAGGTGGAAATTACAAAATATTCTAACAGTGTTTCCCTAAACTGTACCATCTCTCCTGTGACCATAAAATGAGTTACATCTAATTTTCAACAATGAGAGGGTTAACCTTTAATTTGGGAAAACTGAATTTTGCTACTAAGAGTCATTAAGCATTGCTAAAGGTTACCTAGAGATATTGCAAAATTTTTTTCACAGGTAGTATTTTAAAATAAGGTTACTTAGATTGGCTATGTAAGTCCAGCCTGAACACAGAAGAGTATCTGTGGTTATTTTCCCTTTTCTGATTCCCGTAAACCGTCTATAAATCTCCAGAATGCACTGCTTTTAAATCAGATGGTTGATGTTTGAATTTTTTTTTTCCTGGTGAAGAATTCATATGACATGTTCTAAAATCTGATTTTATAAGATCAATCAGTTGTACATTTGATGTGATGTGTGTAAAATGCTACTCTTCCATTGGCAAAGTAGAAAACTTGCTTTCATAAAGCTGGTGAGGAACAGAGACCTTATTAGTGGGGGATGGATTGGGGAGGAAGACGCCGGAAGCATCTGTTGCTAGGGTGGGCAAGGCAATGGCTTTCTCTGCCAGGCTGTGACTACCCTACCTCAAGGAAACATGCAGAAGAAATGTTTTCAGCACCAGGACATTCTAGTAGCAGTTTTCTCTGTTGGTAAGATAAATTAGGAGGTAGAAAGTGGATAACCAAAAATCTCTTACTAAATTTTTTTTAATTTTCTCATTTTTCTGGTTTCTTTTCAATGAGCTCCCTTTGAGTTCTTTTGTAAATTTTTTGTAGTTTATTTAACTTAATGAGCTGACCAATCATATTCTAAAATTGCTAAATTTTATGGTAATTTGTATCATAAAACTTATGCACTTAAAATATATAATATCTTTAAATTAGGTTTTTAAAGATTACCAAGTCCAAATTAGAAATATAAAAATACAAAGGCCTTAAAAAGTAAAATTAATAAACAATGGAACAAACTACCCCATTGTTGTCTGACACTACAATGACACGCTTCTTGTGTAAGACAAGTTGAGACCAAAATAGAGGGCTACAAGTGACTGGAAAACTCTAAGGAAAACTAATGAAGACAGCAGGGAATAGTTCTCAAAAGAACTGCATGAGTCAGTGCAAAGTACTACTCCAAACAGAGCTGAAACAGTGAAGATCTGACAAGAGAGTGCCTTTAGAGTTAGAGTTGTAAACAAATCCTAGTAAACAGACAGACTGTGAGGTCATGCATTTGTCTAGTAACTCTAAGACTGTATATAGATTGTCAAGAAAATTTATTTGAACGAAGTGATTATTTTTCTTGAATAATATGGATGTATGACCCTCTGCTTGTGCTGGTTATATAATTGCATGTGTATGTATGTGGGCACACATATATAGGAAAATACATATGATTTCTTAAATATTAAACAATACTAAAATGTAAAACCAGCTTTCAATGTATGATATTTACCTTTAAACAGTTTTTTTTTGTTAAAAATGTATGAACCTTTGGGGTACTTTGCTGCATGGGGGGGCTGGTAAAGAAGTGGATTCGTCATTTTCTTTCTTTGGCATAGCAGTCATAAAAAAAGGATTCCTTATTAAATCAGAGCTCATTAAAAAGAACACTCTTCTAATTTGTAGGGATGCATCCCAAATATGAAACAGATGCTATGGTTTAACAGATGTTTGAATGTTGGTATCATAATTTAACGGGGTAAAATGACTGAAATAAGCCTATTCCAATTATAGCAAATCAGCTTATACCAAGACTGAGTTTCTTATGACATTTGAGCAAAGATTTATACTTTTGATTAAACAGAATCCCTAAAAAAGAAAACTTTCTGGCATTGTTATTTGCACTGAATCAGTGTGATGTCTTAATACAGTGTATTTTAGAATAACATTCTAAAACCTCCCAGTTTCTAATTAAACTTAAGTATATGCACAATGGATTAACCAGCATCTCCAAATAATCACCAGCAGATTTATGCTTCCTTAATTTTTTTATTGCATGTGTACTTGATATTCATTTTTCATTCACAAAATATAACGTTTAATTATTTCTGATGCATTTTAAGATAAATAAATATAAGAAGATATTGAAGATTTTTCCTATTGCCTAGAATTGGTGATGGTGTCTGCAATTTGAAGACACAACCTTAAATTCACACATTCTAAAGGGAAAGTCACCAAGAAACTACTTCCAATTTGGGCCACACCCATCTCGGGATTTCTAAAGAGATAGCCTAATACAACTTATTATCCTATCTACCACTCCAGGAGTTCCTCCTCTTATCCCCACTCCAATCTCAAGTCATCCTTTGGTAGAGGGTTATCATAGGCTGTCCACACATCTGGAATATTTTGCCTTTTCTCTGTGTCTCAGGGAGGAAAGAAGAGATATTAATTCTCATTCTTTATCTATGTCCCATGTCAAGGGAAGTGAAGGCAGCTCCAAGAGAAGCACTGTTAAAGATTGAGGGAGGTACATGCAAAAGATTTCTTCTTCTTCTTTGGCAAGAAACAAGAAATATTTCAAACATCAATTTATTGCTGGATCCTTTACCTATCTGACCAGGCAAAAAAGAAAACTGAAGGAAGTTGACAGCATGGAGAGACTCGGAATGGCCCGCTGTACTTTGGGCATTATAAAGATGTATGAGTTTCCCAAGGGTCAAGTGGATAAATAGAAAATAGATCCATGTGATCAGGCAAGAGACTATTGGACAGTAACAGAGAGGGGTTGCATAAGGTAGTCCTGGGGCAGTCTCACATCAGGGGAGAATATGGTAGAGATGCCTTTGCTCGGGACCTCTGAGGTGTGCCTGCAAGCAGGAGTGATACTCAACTGGTTTGCCGTCCTTATACTAAAACAACAAGATACTTCCTACTGTCGGGAAAAAGCCTGTAACCCAACCACCCGAGTACTCTTCAGCACCTGGAGGGCACATCCCCTCTGATTAGGTGGCACCCCTGCCTGTTAAATATTTTGAATATCACCCCTGCCTGTGACATCCCCTGAGAATGCCATTGAGTCTTGTGTAGAGTTAACAGTAACAAAGAAAAAAAGAAAAACATAACCTTGGGCAGTTAGTTATACCTCCCCCATTCTGTCTTCTATTCTCTAAATGAGAGGTTTTAGGCCTTGTGAAAGAAGGGCCAGGAACCAGCCCCAAACTAACTACTCACCTTTCCCCAACTCCATTCCTGTGGGCTGGAGTAAGAGGAGTGAATGAACAGTCCTTCCAAACATGGGGGTTGTTGCTTCCAACAAATGTCTTCTCCTTAGTGAGAAGTAAGAAATATTTGGGGCATATATTTACTGCTGTGCCCTGTACCCATGTAAGCAGGCAAACAAAAAAAACTGGGGGAAATTGGCAGCAGGCACAGAGATACTTGGATTGGCCTGTACTCCCAACTTTAGCGTTGTAAAGACCCCTTTCCCGTTTTCCAGGACCCTGGAGCCAGGAGATTTCCTGGGGAAGGTCCTAATTCAGGCATATGATTGGCATTTTAAACTGGGTAGACTTTTAATAGCTGAAAGTGACCTGAAAGTTCTGGGATTTGTTCCAGATATTTTTAAGGGTTTTGTCTGAGGTCAGGGAATTGGCAGAAATATAATGCTTTATGTTTGGACCTCCATGAAGTTCATACTGTTCAGTTTATCATTCATTTAAGTTGTGCAGGTACTATAAGGTATTGTGTTTCCTTTCGTTTTGAAATTAATTAGGTCAGGTCATATAAAGAACAGCAAAGCATCCCCACTGGAGATCATTGTGTATTATAGTGGCTATAGTTGGAGGACACTGAAGAGGGTCAGAGATATCTGAACCTGTGTACATTTCAGCAAAGAAAAATTCTACCCTTGAAGATCTCTAGTACCAAAATTGTCTAATATAACAAGTAGAGCAACTTGTTCATTTATTCTCACAGTAGTTATTGAGGATGTATTCTGTGCCAATAACAGAGGTGACTGAAGTTACCTGTATGTGTATATACACATATTTTTGGTGCAATGAGAACTAAAACCTGTAAACCTTCTTCTAAGATCGGTGATATAGGAACATGTTACCTCCAAGTACAGAGTATTTTAAAGTGTGACTAGAGGCTGCAGCATAAGCCTAAAAAGATTGCTGTTCTGCTTCTCACTTTTCTGAAACAATTTTGAATGTTCTTTAAAATACATTACAAATTTGAATGGCAGATCTTTCTACAGATAAGTTATGCTATCTAACCTAAGATGATAATGACTGGCATTTATTATCTGCTGTGTGTTAGGCACTAAGTACTTTATATGTACTAATTTGATTCTCACAACTATCCTCTGAGGTAGCTACTATCATTCTTCTTTTACACATTAGGAAACCAAAAGCTATAGAAGTTATATAACTTGTTTAAGGTCACATGGACAATAAGTGTTAGAGCCTACACAGGAACCCAGGCAGACTGTCTCCACAGCCTGTACTCTTAAACACCAGGCTGTTCTTTCACCTTGTTTTAGATGAATATAAAAGACTGTGCAAGTTGCTTGTTATAGGAGTGTGCATATTATAAAAGTCTCTATGGAAGACAGCTTACTCCTACACATGTATGTGTGGCTGAATAAGATGACAGATTGTCCAAGACTGCTGTCAAAGAAATGGAGCTCATGTTTTCTTTTTAAAAAATGTCTGTGCTTTTGAAACTGCCAGGATGCATCTTACACCCTTAAATAAGTGCTTGTTTGTGAATGTGCTTTGGAAGATACTGTGGGGATTGTAGGAAATTATGGTATACAACTCCTGTCCTCAAGGAGCTTATTCTCTAGTTGTAGAGATAAGATATAACAAGTTAAGGAATAAGAAATAAAGAGTGCAAGTGATTTAATAAGGAATCATGCAAGGAAATGATGAAACTCCACTTGAGTGATGAGTGACACACAAAAATGAATGTGTGAAACTAGGGAAGGGAGAAAATATTAGCAGGCATGTTCTGGAGACCAAGCACAGGGGAAAAAACTGATGATGGTTTTCAATCAAGGAGTTACTTAGGAACCACTAGAAGTTGAAACTAGCAGTCTCTGGGTGACATCCAACCTACAGAGATCCTTTGTTTGGCCTATATTTTGTTGACCTATATCATATTCTACAGTTCAATTCATGGCTAATATTTGAAGATTAAAACTTCAAATAAATATAGATTTCTGACTTCTGAAAATTTGGAGGACCTGGAGACATCAAGCTAGCCTTCCTTCATGAGAACAATTGCTCAGAGTTGATTAGTGGTTGCCCTTTTGGATGCTTGTTCTCCAAATGACTGTCCTCTCCTTTCCCTGCTGAGCCCTCAGTCTGAGGCCAACAGTCATTGCCATTATCCGCTTAAATTTGCTCATTTCCCTCCTTTATACCTGACCGCCATACATAGTGGGGATTGTGACTTACACATAATTAAGTGGACAGCTGGGGGAGATAAAGCAAAGGGATTAAGGCAAGCACAGGAGAAAGGTAGATGGTAACAAGTCTATCAGATTGACAGGAATAGAGGACTGTGTTTATGGAAGATGAAGGTAAAGTGTATCTGTGAGTCAGAATTGGGAGAATGTTTAGTGCAGAGCAAATAAATATATACTTGAAAATAATGAGGAGCCATTGAAGATTTGGGACGGTGTTACACAGTGATAAAAGCAGCACTTAGAGAGATCTTCTTGGCAGCTATGTATGGAATGGAGTGGAAAGCCCCTGTGGACTTAAGGTGTGAGAAGATAAGAACTGGAATTGAGAGAGCTGACAGTGGGAACGGGAGACAGAAAGAGATGCCAGGGGTATTCAAGTGAATTGTTTGAGTGAGTCAATGTGAGAGGCAAAGAAAAAGAAGAGTCAAAGATGACTCCAACACTGAACCTGATTGTTTGACCTTGACCTTGGAACCCTGCTTCGGGAAGGCTGGTTGCAAACAAAGAGTAAGCCCTGCTAGTAGAAAAGAAGAGCTGAAAGATGCTGAGGGTGGGGGAAAGAGAAATTCAATAATAGAAGAGTGGAAAAAGGAGAAGATTGCTAGCCAAGTAAATAGTTGAGTTTAGGAAGCAGAGACCTGCATTCCTGAGAGCACAGACGACAGAGGCAGCCACCATAGATCCCTCCACTGCTCCCAATTATTGGTGATATTTGATCAGTGTATGATTCCATTTAAGATTTCTGTTGTGTCTTCATATTATTGATGTGCATTATCCCTTCCATCCTATGGTAACCCCCTTAAAGCCCAGAACATCCCACCTCAGCTCCTCCTACACTATCGTCATATAAATGAATTCTAATACTTAAAATGCATTTAAGGGGACCCGTGTGGTGGGTTTCTTTCCTTATCATTTTATACAAAATTGTGAGTTGTTTTTAGAAAACTCCTGTTCTAAATCTTTTCACCTCATCCCCAATTGCACTAGGTTATTTTTGGAGGAACAGAAAGTAGAGGAATGTATCTAATTGACTGCCCTTAACCTCTTTGGGGGAAGACTTTAGTAGATGGGCTTATGGAGGAAAGGCCACCTCCACCCCATTCAGAGTCTTCAGAAACAGTACCATTTCTGAGGAAATGGTGAGTAAAGAAAAATATTTAAATCACCGTTTCACCTAGTCCAGTTGTTGCAGCAAACTACAGAACTGTTAAATATGCCCAGATTTTAGTGTTGAGAGAAGCTTAGACCACTGTTCTGTGACCAGTTATCTCTTATGATAAATGGAATTGAATTTTTTAGCAGCAATGCTATTCTCAGAAACCATCAACCAGTGTATATTTCTCTGGCACAAGCGTTCGGGTTTTATTTAATTATGGGAGAAATGCACATCCTGAAAAACACTGCTAAAATGCCATCCTAAGGTTATGTCTACATTGTTTTGGCAGATAATAAGCCAGTACAAAATGATTGTAAATATACCTTGGCTGCAAAACATTTGTTTTGTACTAAAAAGCAGAGATTTGGAAATGGAAACTTCTTGATTGGTGTCAGTAGGTCTGTTTTCACACTGCCTTGTTTTTAATCTGGCCAACTCCTTTATAATAGACAATGAAAGATGACATATAATTAAAAGAGAAATTATATGGTGCATTTTGGAACTGCTTATCATTTCTTAGGACAGGTTGAGCATCTCTAATTTGAAAATTAAAAATCCAAAATGGTGTAGAATCCAATACTTTGAGTTCTGCCATGACCTCACAAGCAGAAAATTTCACACCTGACACCGTCGCTTTTTGATAGTTCAGTGTACACAAACTTTGTTCCATATACAGTTATTTCAAATAGTGTATAACATTACCTTCAGACTATTTATATACAGTGTATATGAAACATAAATGAATTTTGTGTTCAGACTTGGGTCCTATCCCTAAGATATGTCATTATGTATGTGCAAGTATTTCAAAATTCTAAAAAGTCCAAAATCTGAGACACTTCTGATGCCAAGGTTTTCGCACAGGGGATACACAGCCTCCACCAGTTAAATGGTTTCTGCTTCTGTACTTCTGTGGTATTACCTTTTTTTTTTTTTTTTGAGACAGAGTCTCGCTCTGTTGCCCAGGCTGGAGTGCGGTGGCGCGATCTCGGCTCACTGCAAGCTCCGCCTCCCGGGTTCACGCCACTCTCCTGCCTCAGCCTCCCTTACTTTTTATCTAGTACACCTAATTTGTTATTTTTCCACTGATCATTTTATTACGTCTTTTAAAGCAGAACAAATTAAAAATGAATATCTTAACATCAGTAGAAAAGAATACATTTTAAAATACATCTGATTCAGAAAGATAAAAGCTTGTTGCAGCCAAGGTTTATTTTATCTTTAAAGCGAGTCCGTAGTAACAAACTGAGCCTAAGGTATGGTTTTACCTGAACTAAAAGTGTGACAGTCCCCCTGAACCCAGGAACATAAAATATAATCCCTTTACTACACATTTTATCTCACCCCTTCAGTATTTCTATTGAATTGTTTTCTTTGTAATCATTTTGAAGAAGATAACTTTTTATACATGGTCTAACATGCACATCCTTAGGAATCCTAGGTATTAACATACTGATTTTTCTTTTTCTTTTGGGAGTGAGTTCCATTTCTTCCTGCACATCACTGTCAGATCCTTCTGACTACACAAAACACTGAGAAACCTCAGTGCGATTTTTATTGACAGAGGTAATATTAAAATATTGGTGATTAATTTCACTGGTATTCTTGGGAGGTATAACTAAGGACAGTATGATTGCTGGGCCGGACCAAGCAGTAGCATGGTCATAATTAGCATTGTTTTTGTTGCTGCTGCTGTTGCCGTTTTTTGAGATGGAGTCTTGCTCTGTCGCCCAGGCTGGAGTGCAGTGGCACGATCTCAGCTCGCTGCAACCTCTGCCTCCTGGGTTCAAGCGATTCTCCTGCCTCAGCCTCCTGAGTAGTTAGGATTACAGGCGCCCGCCACCATGCCCAGCTAATTTTGTGTTTCCAGTAGAGACAGGGTTTCACCGTGTTAGTCAGGCTGGTCTCGAACTCCTGACCTCAGGTGATCCACCTGCCTCAGCCTCCCAAAGTGCGGGGATTACAGGCGTGAGCCACCACGCCCAGCCAGCATTGTATTTTATAGGCTTAAAGTAACTCTTTCCTTGTGCGAATCAGAATGCATTTTAGACTCATAGACTACCTCAGAACTAATGAACCATCCTATTAAACACAATTATCTGTTGAATGCCTTCTTTTTGAAAGGTACTAGGGTATTCTTGCAGGAGAATACAAAGGTGAACAGAATACATTTTATGCCCACTGAGTTACAGTTATAAAAAAATAAAGTAGTACCTGAGGGAATAGACGATAGGTATCAAATATTTATGCCCATCATTTGATTTAAAACATTAACATTTTAACTTCTTTGAATGCAGTCACGGGAATTCCATCTCTGGAAAGTGTCCAGATGATTTTTCATTCTTACTTTTTAAAAAGGTTATTGTCCAATTTAAAATAATATTAGAAGAATAAATTGTCATTTACTGAGGCATGTACTGTTTCAAAGCCTGATTAATAACTCACAGTCTATTAAGGGCAGCTTGAGTAAATTAATAACAGCCATTAATTCTGTTTCCCACAATGTAGCCTTATTCACTTGAGTTCACATTGATTTATGTTCTTTTATGTCTTCTGTGTGCTTGTCTGTGTGCACATCCATGCATACATTTGTAAACCCCACTACAGTGTTGATGAGTGCATCCAAAAGTAGATGTAAGTGGATCTACTTGTACCCCAAAGTAGAACTGAGCTTTCCTACATGTTTCTTAGAGTTGCTTCTTGAAAGACAACTGATTTGAGGTCTTCCTGAATCTCATTTTGTTGAATATTTTTCCTCCAATGATAGAATCATTCAACCCTAAAATGAACACTTAGAGCAAAACAGTCTACCAAAGACATGTCATGCTATTAATGATACTAATATGAGTATTACTGGTAAGTTAGTATTTATTCCATATGGCATAAGGCTCCAGAGGGATGGTTATTACATTATTTTAGCTCTGTACTAGGCACTATTTTAAGTACTGTTGCATGTGCAACTCATTGAACCTCACAGTTTTCCCAAGGCAGTAATTTTAGCATACACATTTTATAGATTGAAAAACTGAGGCACAGAAAAATTTAGGGAAAATAGCTAATCAGTAGCAGAGCCTGTCTATAGTCCTAGACAGTCTGGCTCTGGCTCCAGCATCCCTGCTTTTTGTGTGGGTTTAGGGGTGGGTGTGGGTGTGTATGTGTGTGTGTGTGTGTATGTGTGTTTTCTTTTTTCTTGAGACAGGGTCTTTCTGTGTTGCCCACACTGGTCTGAAACTCCTGTCCTCAAGCGATCCTCTTGCCTCAGCCTCCCAAAGCATTGGGATTATAGGTGTGAGCTAACCTCGCCTGGCCCATCCCTGCCTTTTGAAACTGCCTTCCAGTACATCACTGTCAGACCTTTCTGACTACACAAAACAGTGACCACCGATGGCTGCCGACTGCCTTTCCTCAGCTCCTGTGTCCCCTGCTTCCACCTGGGTTCCTCCAGTAGGCGGCACTGGCTGGAGACTGGGGAATGGGAGGATGGGAGAGGCCAAGGATTTGCTTACATCCAAGAGTGATGCGTCTTATAAATGTTACTACATTCATAGCTGTTCCCAGGTTTTGTTTGTATCTTATGGAAATGCCTAATATGCAGTGGAACAAATATCAAAAATAAAAATTAAGGAATTTATTTGTAATGATTTTCATAGTAATAGACAAACTGTGGAATTTACTTGTAATGATTTTCATATTAGTAGACAAGAAACTAAAGTGCTCAGAAGAAGATGCTTAAAAGGAGAGTGCTTTAGAAGGAAAATGCTTTAAAAAGTCAAACGTATACTTTTGACGTAAGGAAGAGTGAGTTTAAAAAAATTAAGAGACTGAACATGCAAATAAGCACTAAAATGGAAAAAGGACCAAGGTCAATGAGAATGTCTGTCTGTCTCTCCACACACATATACACATACAATCTCAGTAAAAGAACGAGGAAGATTTTTTCAAATTGTGATTATGCATAAACTCTAATGAATTCATTTGTAAAAGAATATAAATCTTGCATGACAACCAAGGAGAAATACAAAAATACAAAAGTATGGTATCGACTGTTAAGACAAAAATTACTCTAAAATCCAGTATGAGGTAGGGCTTGGGCAAAAACAAACAAATCTTAAGACTATTTTTAACTGTTTAGAGCTACATAAAGAAATTGGCTTTGTCTGGATTAGAGAAGATAAAGCCAACAAGAAACAAGAGAAGGCAAACTATGTAATTATTGCTTTTGTCGCCAAAAAAGCAATAATTTGGTGGGGAGTGGGGGGCAAGGAAAATTATGATCAAACCAAAAAGTATAGGTAAAAAAAAAGATAATTGTATATTAAATCAAAGTTAGAAAAAGCTAAAATATGATTCCTCAAGGATCTAGAACCAGAAATACCATTTGACCCAGCAATCCCATTACTGGGCATATACCCAAAGGATTATAAATCATTCTGCTATAAAGACACATGCACATATATGTTTATTGCAGCACTGTTCACAATAGCAAAGACTTGGAACCAGCCCAATTGTCCATCAAAGATAGACTGGATAAAGAAATGTGGCACATATACACCATGGAATACTATGCAGCCATAAAAAAGAATGAGTTCATGTCCTTTGCAAGGACATGGATGAAGCTGGAAACCATTCTCAGCAACCTAACACAGGAACAGAAAACCAAACACTGCATGTTCTCACTTATTAGTGGGAATTGAACAATGAGAACACATGGACACAGGGAGGGGAATATCACACACTGGGATCTGTCGCAGGATAGGGAGCTAGGGGAGGGAGAGCATTAGGACAAATACCTAATGTAGATGATAGGTTTATGTTGCAGCAGACCACCATGGCATGTTTATACCTATGTGACAACTGTGCACATTCTGCATATGTATCCCATAACTTAAAGTATAAAATACATATGTATTTCCTTTCCTTGGCTCCTATGCCCCCTGCTTCCATGCAGGTTCTACTAATGGGAGACACTGGCAGGAGACTGGGAGATGGGAGGAAGGGAGAGGCCAGGGTCAACAGGGAACTGGTAAAGAGGCATCAGGGTAAGGCAGAGGCAGCTTGTCTTCCATTGGTACATATCCAATTTAAAAAAGGAGAAAAGCTAGAATACAATACACATGGTCTTAGTATATTAATTTAGGTTTCCAACAACAGAAAAAACAGATTGTAGGATACCACAAGACCTTGCAAATTGGGTTTCAACCTCACTTTTGATCATCTTTGACAAGTTGTGTGAAATAGGAGAGCTCAATAGGAACAAAAAGGGGAAAAGTTCACTTTAATTTTTAAAAAGAATAAGCCTGATTTCTCAAATACAGACGATTAATTCCTAGAAACCTTTGAAAATTATTTTAATTGGAAAATCATTCTAATCATGTTTGAATCCACAGAAAAGAAGAAGAAAACAGGGAATTATCAAAGTCTCTCTGAAAAGGGTCATTGTCAAATGTGCCATCCCAGAGTCTCTTTGCCCTGCCCACTGCCTTCTGCCCCATGTGACTGCTGACTGCCTTTCCTTGGCTCCTATGTCCCCTGCTTCCACGTAGGTTCTACTAATGGGAGACACTGACAGGAGACTGGGAGATGGGAGAAAGGGAGAGGCCAGGTTAGGGTCAAGAGGGAACTGGTAAAGAGGCATCAGGGTAAGGCAAAGGCAGCTTCTCTTCCATGTTCCAGTGCTCTCCAGATAAGTGCCCCATGCTTCCATCTTCCACTGGGGACCTGTCCCATGGGCTTCAGTGTCACTCTTTCCGCATCTGTTTCTTCTGTGGCTTTCTGCTGTCACTAACCCCTGTGTTGCGTCACCGCCTCCTGTTTGGGTGTCTCAGTTCTTCATGGCCTGTGTAACTAACCTATTCCCTGCCTTAAATTCCCGCTGCTAGTTTTGCTTTAGGTGCTTCCGTTTCCCTAATTAGACCCCGACTGGTACAAAAGCCGACCTCATTTTCTATTTGGTATAGTTACGGTTGGTCATAAAATTGAGTAAGAGAATGCTGTTGGCATGCTGTATCCAGATTTTAGCAAGACTTTTGACAGATGTTACAATGTTTTGTGAACAAAATGGGAGGAATTTCAAATGGATTAGAAAAAACATTCTTAGGTTGCTGAAGTTTATTAATGTTCAAATCATCTTCATGAAAGGGCTCTAGAAGTTTGGCAGAAGGCCCTGTCCTTGGCCATGTTTTGCTCAACATTATTACCAAAGATTTGGACAAAGACATGAAAAGCAGCTTTATTTAATGTGTGTATAATACACAGATGGAAGATAATTCACATTTTGAAGAGATAAACTTAATAAGAAAAAATGGAAAGTCTTACATCTAAGTGCAAAACATAAATTATAAAAATACAGAATAGAAGAGATCAAGTTTACCAGCATATTATGTGGGTATAGAAAACCAGGATTTTACATGACAGTAAACCCAATACAAGCCAGAAATGTGACCTATTAAAAAAAATTAATCTCTGGGTCCCATTAAAAGAGCATTCCTATCAACTGACAAGTAGTTACCCCTTCTCATCTAGTATAGGCTAGGAACATAATCTTAGAAAGATATTGCTAAATTGAAATAGCCAGCCAGATGCAGTGGCACATGCCTGTACTTCCAGCATTTTAGGAGGCTGAGGCAGGAGGATCGCTTGAGGCCAGGAGTTGGAGAGCATCCTAGGCAACATAGCAAGATGCCTATTCTCTACGGGTGGGGGGCGGCGGGGGGGGGGAGCCGGGCATAGTGGCATGAACCTGTAGTCCTAGCTACTCGGGAGGCTGAAATGTGAGGATCACTTGAACCCTGGAGGTCGAGGCTGCCATGAGCTATGATCATGCCACTGCACTCCAGGCTACATAATAGAGCACGACTCTATCATTCATAGATAGATAGATAGATAGATAGATAGATAGATAGATAGATAGATAGATAGATAGATAGACAGATAGATAGGATAGATAGATAATCTGATAGATAGAAAAAATTTTGAAGTATCCATTTTCCCCAAGCTTTGTAAAGCTTTGTATCATTTACAAGTTGTGTTTGCATATACATTTCTTCACTTTTGCCTCACAACAGCCCAATGTAGGATGTACTGTTACCCCATTTCTTAGCCTCTGTTTCCTCATAGGGGTTCAAGTCTAAGTTACATAGCTTACTGTTGGAGCTTTAAGCAAACTAGGATGCTTGGTCATGAGCCCAGCCCCTTTCAATAAAACCCATCTCATTTCAGGACACCTACTGCATCTAGGTAAGAGGGACCCAACTTTTGAAGTGTGGAAGCCTTTACATGTGATGAGCTGTTAAGGGAGATGGGAAGAGACTTACGGGAACATAAAGTCTGTCTTCGAGTATCGTATCTGTCGTATGAGCAAGAGTGAATTCATGTGGCTTCAGGGAACAGAACTGAGGCTGATTGATTTTTGCTCAATATTTTAAAAATTCAAGCAGAACTGTTGTCTGATAGAGTGATACGCTCACTGTCTTTGTGCAAAAGTTGCTTAACTGACTCTCAGGAATACTGTAGTAAAATGAATTCCTGCCTTGGGTAGGTTAAAGTAGAAAACCTCTAGAGTGACGCCCAACTCTGAGAGTCTGATTGGGTTTTCGGTTAATGAGTAGATTTGTGATTTGTAGTTTTAATTCAGAGTTATTTGATTTACATGTATAGTTTCACTTCCAGCAATATAATTGTTTTTCCTATAATTTAGGATTAACATAATCTGTGAAAAAATTTTTAAGAGCCTGAAATGAGGAAGTAAAGCATGACTAGTGTTCAGCGTAATTACCTACACAAGAAATATTGTGCTATTTCCCAGAATACGTCCCCAGAGTGAATGTCTGTGTTTGTTCCATTTCATTCCTAGCTGTAGAATCCTTTCAGGGGTGATGAGAGAATCATTTTGAAATATATTGAAGCCTAGAATAGAGTTTGCAAAATATTATTAAGTTTGCTAAGATGAACCTGTGCAAATGCAAACTGTCAGCATACCACTAAAAACTAGCGCCGGTAAGGTAAATGTTCCTGAAGTGACCTATTAAAAGCCACCAGAGTGACAGTGGCTGAAAAATCATAAAATTTACCTTGAGAATGCCTTTCTAGCCTTTTTTCCAGAACTAGTATAATTTCTCTCCCCCCACATGGGATAGTTATTCACGAAGGGCTATAGAAGTTGAGAAAGGAAAATAAAAATTATTTCAAAATTGATATAAAAATAGTACATTCTCCCATAAGAGTAAAACATGCAGGGAATATTAAAGGTTTCAGTGATTCAGAATTAAGATAACATTTTGCTTTGAGCTTATTTCTGGTTATGTTTAATAAAGAGAAGTTCATAGTCTTCATAGCCACTTGCTGAGGTCTAAAGGTTAGCTTACCTGAATTCCTGAAAAAGACAGCTCTGTTGTGAATCCTTAATATTTCATGTCTTCCCTGTGAATGATCCGAAGGGCTGTGTGCTCTTGTCATGTTCACTTTTTTTAATTGCAGTGTCTGCCTCTCTCCACCCTTTCTTTAATTTCTTCCCAGACTTACTAATCATAACATAATTCTCACAGGAAGATTGGTGATGCATTGAAAATACTAAGAGAAAAATGAGGTAAAAAAGCATCTGGTATTTAATTCAATGTATTATCCACCTAAAAATGAATTTTACAGATGGTAATGATCTCTGACAACTTGCCATTTAATAAAATGATGGTTTTTAAAAACAGATCAGTTTCCTACTCATGTGCTTGATTTTGCATTGACTCAGCAACCCCCAATACTCTTTCCCTTCTAAGTTGCTAATACAAAGTAGATAAAATAAATTATGACTAAGACTTCCTTGCTGCCCTTGACCAAATCGGCATCATCAATCTCTTTATAAGTTCCTCAAAGGCAGACAGACCTGACCTTATTGATTTTTGTATCATTAGTGTCCTCCATGGGGGCTGGCATTTTGGGAGCCTTGCAGTTAAGTGTGTATAAATGAAAACCCAGGCACTGAAAACAGGTTTTACAATAAGCTTAAATTTCCCATTTTAAAAAATAGCTCTATATTAAAGTTTCAAGGTATCTGGGAGCCAGAGAGGAAAATGGCAACTTTCCCCTTGAATGTTCTGTACGTGAAATTTGGGGAGTTTTGATGAGAAATATAAAAACTTAACCAAATTGGGGCCAGATGGGTTTTGGTGTTCAGAATCTTTCAGATTTTAGGAAAATTATACAGTAGATACATATTACACTAAGTAACTTCCCCAGTGCATATTTGAATGCACCACTATTCCAATAACAAAAAGTATGAATGGTCACAGTAAGTGAAATAAACTATTTAAGACTATAAAGTTTCAGGTTGGTTCAGGTCAGAATTTGCAGCCAGCTGAGTTCACATCAGATCAATTTGCCAGCAAGTGAGTTAAGAAAACAAAAACAAGTTTGTTCTCAGAGCATTTATGACTTTAGAGTTGTCTATCAGCATTTGTGGACCTATAATGTTTTGTTCATTAATCAAAACCTTCTGTAATTGTTTAGCAAATGGTTATATCATTTCTAATTTCAAGTGGACAGGTAGAAATTATTTCTGCTTTCCTCATTTCCCCTGGAAAAAAAGAAAAGGCAGATATCTGAACAGAGTTTGAGGATGATTAAATACAGGTTGAGCATTCCTAATCTGAAAATCCAAACTCCAAAATACTGCCAAATCCAAAACTTTTTGTGTACCAACAAGAAGCTCAAAGGAAATGCTCATTGGAGCATTTCGGATTTCTGATTTTTGGTTTAAGAATTCTCAACCAGTAAGTATATAACGCAAACATTCCAAAATAAAAAAAAAAATCCAAAATTTGAAACACTTTCGTTTTCAAGCATTTCGGATAAGGGATATTCAGCCTGTGCTACAGTTAAGTACATCGTTTCACTTAGACCACACAGAATCCTCTGAGATAGGTCCTAGGATCGTTTTCCTTTTACAGAAGCCACAGAGGAGTGAGGGGGTAAGTGATTCATTCTGGGTCACAAAGTTAATAAGTAGCAAAACTAAGAATCAGACTTGGGTCTTTCAACTCTGAATCCCTTCCTCCTTCTTCCAGGTCTTGTTTTCATAGGAAAAGCTTCTGTTGAAGCTAGAAAATGACAATTCAGAGATACGTTTGACGAGTTAAATGACTGTATAACAGTGCCCACAGCCTTCTATCAATTTGATTCATTTCAGTTAGTTTGGCAGAAGTGGGCTGATTGTTGTAAAGTTTAAAGTGTGTTTTGATTATTTTTAAAACAGATATAATTGAAAACTTTAATTTTGAAGGTGGAATAATAAGGATACTTTCGGGTGCTCTCCCATTTTGTTTTAATTGTTTAGATGTGCCTGGCATCAGAAGGGATGAAAATGGAAGAATCAAAGCTAATAAAAGCAAAAGAATCCGATGGTGGAAGAATTAAAGAATTAGAGAAGGGAAAGGAAGAAAAAGAAATTAAAATGGAGAAAACAGATGAAACTAGGTTACAGAAGGAAGCAGAATTTGAAAAATCGGCTAAGGAAAATTTAAGAGATTCTAAGGAATTGAGAAATTTTGAGGCATTGCAAATAGATGACATAATGGCTATAAAAATGGAAGATCCCAAAGAAATTAGAAAGGAAGAGTTAGAAGAAGATCACAAATGTAGTCATTTTCCTGATTTTTCTTATTCTGCCAGTAGCAAGATAATAATTAGTGATGTTCCCAGTAGAAAGGATCATATGTGCCATCCTCATGGAATTATGATCATTGAGGATCCCGCAGCATTAAACAAGCCAGAAAAGCTAAAAAAGAAAAAGAAGAAAAGCAAAATGGATCGACATGGAAATGATAAATCCACACCCAAGAAGACTTGCAAAAAGAGGCAGTCTTCGGAATCTGACATTGAGAGCGTCATATATACCATTGAAGCCGTCGCAAAAGGAGACTGGGGCATAGAGAAACTTGGAGATACCCCTCGCAAGAAGGTCCGCACATCCTCAAGTGGCAAGGGAAGCATTTTGGATGCCAAGCCACCAAAGAAAAAAGTGAAATCAAGAGAGAAGAAAATGTCAAAGGAGAAATCCTCAGACACCACCAAAGAGTCAAGACCTCCAGATTTCATTAGTATTTCTGCTAGCAAGAACATTTCTGGTGAGACACCAGAGGGTATAAAAGCAGAACCATTGACCCCTATGGAAGATGCACTACCACCCAGCCTATCAGGACAGGCCAAGCCTGAGGACAGTGACTGTCACAGAAAAATAGAAACTTGTGGTTCCAGGAAATCCGAGAGGTCTTGCAAAGGTGCTCTTTATAAAACCCTGGTGTCTGAGGGCATGCTCACCTCTCTGCGAGCTAATGTTGACAGAGGTAAGTAACTTCTACAAACCTGAAAAGAATTCAAAAACCAAACAGAATTTCACCTTTAGACCTATTGAAAACAACTGCCATAAAAAACAATATGGTATCAAAATAATACCTTACATTTGTATATTTCTTTATGGTTTATAGATCATAATTATTTGTTACTTTACTTACATGTTTTCTAGCACCATTAAGGGAAGTGTATTCATTTTGTAGGTAGTTCTCAGGATGTAATTAAAGTAATTTTAATCTCTTCTTTCCCCCCACTGGTATGGGCTGGCTGTTTGTTTTGAAAGATTATTATTAAATATTCAGAGCTTTAGGTTTGGTTTTGAAAACTGGTGGAATTTCGAGAATCAAGCACGTATGTTTGTCAGAATCTTCACCTGTAGGCTCTAGAAGCAACTGCCTTTCTCTCTTCATTAGGTAATCAAAGCTGTAACTGAAGTGGGCCAGGCACAGTGGCTTACACCTGTAGTCCCAGCGCTTTGGGAGGCCAAGGCGGGTGCATCATTTGAACCGAAGAGCTCTTTAAAACATTATAATGTCCAGAAAATAGTTAACCTGTTTACCTTTATTCCATTGAGTGTTTTATATAAATTCTCTATTTTAAAATATAGCATCTGCCTGGAGGACTACCTTTTGCCAAGCTATATTCCAACAAGACATGTGTGAGTCCTAGGTCTAACAAGCCCCAAATGAAGATACTTGGGCCTATTTCATCCCCAGGGATGTCAGTTCAGTGAGTTTTAGGGAAATTAGACTGAATAGTGCCCACCAGCAAAGGACTCCCATACCTTGGCTGGTTTTTGAATGGAAAAGCTAGCAGCAGTTAGTCTGTCTCTTTGAGTCATGTGATACCTGTTGAATTACATGACAATTAATCCCAGAAGCTCTAAGTCACTTTTCTGCATGTTCCATTATTAAAGATGGTCCAGCATGAATCACTCTGAGAACTCTGAAATAGCTACAGTTAGCTTCATGCAAATGATATGCAAGCAGTCAAGAGGTTGCTCGTGAAGCAACTAACATCATCTCCCCTCGCCCACCTGTATACCAAACACATCCTTTCTCTTGAATTTTCTTAGGAAAACGAAGCTCAGGAAAAGGAAACTCCTCTGATCATGAAGGGTGTTGGAATGAAGAAAGCTGGACATTTAGTCAGAGTGGGACCAGTGGGAGCAAGAAGTTCAAGAAGACAAAGCCAAAAGAAGACTGTCTCCTTGGGTAAGTGCCTGTGAGCACAGTCACCTGTACTCCACAAGCCTCAAGTGTGGGTGGGATTTTCAAGGTAAACAGATCACTAACTACGCATGCTTGTTCTTTGACTACTCGCTCAGGACTTCCTACAATCTTAGTAGGCACCCTAGTGAACACAAATCAAGTGCATCACATCATTCCTGCTGTTAACATGGTCATGTGAATGACAGTAACATTCACATTTTGATCATAGTGAAAATATATAGACTTTAGACTTGGACCTGAGTTTGAATCAACATCCCTTCACCAGGATGCATTTTTCCATCCGAAGCTTAGAATGGATAGTATTAGCATGTTTACATTTTGCCCATTTTACATACTATATGTATTTATTGTTTATAAAATGACAGCTGAAAAATGTAAGGTAAATGAAATTATGCTTCTATCGCCAACTTTATTTTGTTCCAGCTGTCTTCTGTTGCTCTAAGATAAAAATATCAGGTCAAATATTCTGCTGTAGAGAACATTCAATATATTAATTATATATTGAAATGCAGTATTAAGCAATGGCATGCATCAAGATAAAATCACTTAAGAATTATTTTATATTTAACGTTATGCCAAAGACTGTTAATAACCATCTTAATATAAAGTATTTTGTTAGTTAGGAGATCCAATACTTTATACTGGTGAGGAAAGTATCTGCATATTCAGTTAGACTATTTTGAAAATTCTTGAGGTTTCTTGTCGGCTCAATTTGAAAAGAATACTTTGAATAGAAATAAGTACATTGTTATATTCACCATATTTTTTCAAAAGTGTGTTTAAAGCTATGCAAATTGTATGCATTGGGTGTATTGTATTTGATTTATTCATAATATTTGCATATCTCTTTGTGGAATAATATATTTTTCCTTAGATGTCACAGTGCTTTAAGTCTGGCTAATTCTAAGGCTCTAGGTCATCACAAAGTAGCGAGGTAGAAATTATTTCCCATAGTGCTGGCTCTTTAAGATTATTTTTATTGAAATGATATATTTATAATTTTATGTATTTCATTTCTAATATTTTTAAAAATCCAAAGTACTTCAAATTAATTTTGCTTATAATTTTATGTATTTCATTTCTAATATTTTTAAAAATCCAAAGTACTTCAAATTAGTTTTGCTTACATTTTGCTTAAGTAATGACATGAAAATCCTCGTATTTCAGTGTCAAATCATAGTGTAAATGCAGAATATCATTTTAAAATGACCTGCAAGCATCTAGACCAGTGCTCTCTGTAGTCTGGAATTACTGCCACTGCCTTGTGGGTCTGCTCACTGAGAGAGGAGCAGGTGTTATGTAGGCAGTGTGAGGTCCTAGGGGAATAAAGCAAGCATTGAGGCTCCCCAACAGAAGCATTTCTCTGATGCTTCTATTAGAAACTGCTGAAGCTGTAAGAGAGATTTTCATCAATTTTCTTTGAGGAACAAGATAAGTGAAACAATCTTGAAAATCTGTTCCTGAAAAGAGATTGGTATGTGGATTGTATGTGTTTGTTTTTTTAATCATTTCTGAGGAAGGCACATGTGTATAACTGGGAGATGCTTTTTTATAGCTGTAAATTAACAGTAAACTTCAGTGCCTTTTCCTCCTTTCTCCCTTTAAATATTGGCCTGTCAGGATTCGAGTATTTGGGTTTGCCTTGTTTAGAACACGCCAGTATAATACTTAAGCAGGGAGAAATGCCATTTCCTGTCAGTCTGCTCTGAGATTTGTAGATGAGCATTTTAAACCTTTTTTTATCTCAGAAAATGTGCTACCTGTTAACTGTAGCCAAGAAAAATTCTCTCAGTATTGACAGATCTAATTTTATAGACTTCTCTAAGAAAAACATAAATGATTATTATTGTTCTCTTTTTAAGAAAAGTCTCAAGAGACCTTATGAGTTACGTCTCACATTTTCAGTTTTCTTTTGGGTATTCAGAGTATTTGAAAAATTCACAACTTATAGACAGCTTTCTGATAGTATTTAATTAGTATCCAATTGTATCTGATTTTCCATCAGAATAAACATTTTTTAACTAAATGAGAAATGGTGATGTTATTAAGGGGAAAATATCACCTCCACCCGTTACCCTTTATTGCTTTGACAGAACTTAGTACAGTAGTTCCCCCTTAGCCATATTTTTGCTTTCTGCAGTTTTGGGTCTGAAAATACTAAATAGAAAATTGCAGAAATAAACAACTCATAAGTTTTAAATTATGCACCACAATGAGTAGCATGATGAAATCTCGTGCCATCCCACTTCATTCCACCCACTGCATAAATCATACCTTTGTCTATCATATTTCACTGTACAATATGCATGTATAGGAACAAACGTAGCATATGTAAGGTTCAGTACCATCAGCGGTTTCAGGCATCTACTGGGGGACTTGGAGTATATCCCCCCTCCAGTAAAGGGGTGCTTCCATAATTGCCATTTCCTGTTGACCATTCAGTTGGTCATCTGACCCTCTTATCTCTGCTTCTCAACTCTTGTATATTCCTCCAAAACAGTTGTAGTTAAAAACATTTTTAGGACACCCCTTAGCTAGCAGCCTAACACATTTACTGCTTATAAGCTGGTACTAAAATTGCTCTCCTCTTCCCAATACACCTTCTTCCATTTTCCATCTACCAGGCACAGCAGTTGTCCTACAGCCTCTTCCATCTGTCTAGGTTGCATGTTAGTTTAATAAGTCTCACCTAATGAAAGCCAGAAGCCAGCCTAGGATCCAGCAGGCATGTTGCCATTGCTGTGGGACCCTAGAGACAGTCAGCACCAGCCCAGAGATTGCCCAACTTTACGGGTGGCATTTCTGAAGTCATTGATGATTTAAGTTAAAGCATGTTGCCTCTGTGCCATTGCATTCATTGAAAACTGGCTTTACTTTGCTCATTGAATATTTTGTCTTCATTCTAGTCCACTCTCCAGAATGTTTTCCTAGTATTAATGCTTTTTGTTTGTGTATGTTTTAATCAAACAGTAGTCAGTACATTTTTTTAAAGAAACTAATTTTACAAAACTACCAATATATCATATGGTAATTTAATAAGCTTGATTATTAATAATAAGCTTATTAATTTAATAAGATTGATATTGATACCAATATATCATATGGTAATTTAATAAGCTTGCCATATATACATGTATATGAGTCTGTAAAATGAGAATTATATGAATAGAGTATGCTTTGTACTGAACTTTATGAAAAACTCCCATGCCAGTGGAGAAAATGCCAAATTCCCCACTTCAGAAATATTCTAATATTATAAATGATGTTTCTACTTTTCTAAGGTAATAACATAACCTGTCATACGAGTTTACTAAGAAAACTGTGTTGGTAAATCTCAAGCATTTCAGAAAAGGTGTTTTTTTCCTTGCACAGAATTTACTTACCTAATTCCCAGAGACCCTGTTTTCAAATAGAATATCCTAAAATATATTTCATGTCACTTTCTGTGTCATATTTGGTCATGTGCTGATTGATTCCCCTCTCCCCTTTTAATAGCTCCGCAAAGCTGGATGAAGAATTTGAAAAAAAATTCAACAGCCTCCCTCAATATAGTCCTGTTACATTTGACCGGAAATGTGTACCTGTCCCAAGAAAAAAGAAGAAGACTGGAAATGTGTCCTCAGAACCGACTAAAACCAGCAAAGGTTAGGTGTGACCTGTACCTTCCTGCCATGTGGTCAGAATCTCAAGTGACCCTTCAGCCAAGCTTTTAGCTCCCTTTAGACATATCATTGGATTTGGAATTGAGGCAGTAGGGAGTTAGAATCTTAGGTTGCTTTCCAAGATTATCTTTGTCCCTTTTTTTCTTCCTTATTTTCTGTAGCCTCTGTCCATTGGCATCTCAGTCTGTATATTTGCCCGTGATGGTGTAGCTAAGCTTTTGCAAAGATGTTACACATGGTCTTCAACCTCCTGCTCTCCAGAATTCTAATTTGGAATGTTAACCTTTTCTTGAACAGAAACTGCAGGTTGAGTCCAGTTCTTCTGTTCCCTGTGTCCGCAACAGGTTGAACTCGGGGACTGTAAATCATTCTTTTCACCTGATAAGCAGATGCTAACTACTCTTTACTGGCATTATAGACCAAAGGAAAATAAAACTACCTGAAATCCTCCAGCAACATATATATATATATATATATATATATACACACACACACACACATATACATTGGTTTTGTTAAATTTAAAAAATGCTTTGTTTAGTATATTCATTTTCAAGTAATCAGCTTCTCTACTGCCTATATCAGGGAAGCTTTTTTAAAGTTATCAGCATGACTTGGATGGATCTCAGCATTCATCAGTGACAATGCTGCAGTCCTAAAGGGGATTGTAAGAGGGTGGGGGCATTTTCAGTGCTCTCATCACCTGAGACCACTGTTGACATTTGTGGGACAGGCACTGGAGTACTAAACATCTTGCCCTTCAAGCACAGTGAAGGACTGTACTACCCAAAATGGCAATATTGCTTTCATTGAGAAACTTACCTTCTGATTTTTCTTAAGGTCTAAAGATTGATAGGGAAAATGTACCTCTAGTTTTCCATACATATATGAAATACTTCATTCAGTTGGCTCTCCTATAAGGACATGGAATAGAGAGATGAAGAACTTGGGTGGCTGGGCTGTAGTTGCTTTCAAGATCAGACTCTAGCAGGATTTGCTGGAAGAGTTATTTTAATTATCCTGTAAAAGTTGCTGCCTATTGCCTGCTTCATCAAATTGGATAATTTAATCAAATCAGATTAATTCCACTCTTTTGTATTTTAAATAGACCAATTAATCGATCAGATATAAATATTAACAAAGAGATATAATTTCATGCATTTTAGGGAATATTTAAGATATATAGATGAGGGAAAATTATGGTTTATTCTCTGGAGAAACCTGAACCTTTCTCCTTCAAAGCCTAAAAACCCTTTGCACACTGGAATTGACACAACCAAACAGGGTCAATTTGAGATCTGTATCTCAAGACAGAACTGAAAGGTTGAAGAAAATTTCCCCTTCATGATTAAAGCCAGGGAGGTATAGAAACGTCATTTTAGAATTAGCTCAGTTTTCCTCTGTGGTTAATAAAAACAAGTCTAGTGAATAAAGAACTAAAAAAGAAATGTTGTTGCATCGCCAAGTTTGCTCGTCTGAGAAAATAAAATAGGGTCGTATCAAGATCTTCCAAGATAGAAATAAAGTAGGCTTGTTGACAGGTAGGGAGCTGAGCACCATAATGGATTGCCAAATGAAATGATAGTCTCTGTGCCCTGGAGATATTTAGGAATAGGAAAAGTAGTCCATGAGCCCAAAGATACCAAGTATCTTGAGCTCCCATAATTCTTGGATTTAAAGTTGCTGATAAATACCTGACAAGCCAATAAAATGGAACTTAATTGATAGATGTGCAGGACATTATTCCTTCTTCCACTCCCAAAACATTCACGTTAGAGCTTTGAAGTTGGCTGAATTATGTCTCAGGGAATGTAACAATAGATTTATTTTTGTAAAGCTATAAAACCCTGAAGTTAGGATCTATTTTCATGAGACCTTCTCTTGGGTCTTAGTTGTCTGTACGATTTTTCTCTCCCAGCTGAGATTAACAGTATTTCTTTTGATGTGAAATAGCTTTTTGGAGCTTTGGATTATACTTCATACAATATCATCTTAACTCTTCCATTATACCTCTCAAGCCACAAAGTCACTGGTTCTTATATAGTATATCAGTAATTACATATGTGGGAAGTCTTCCAAGATGAGATTTTGTTCTGCCTTCAGATTTGTGAAGCAAAATGCAATTAAAATAAGCAGAAATTAAATAATATATTATCTATTCAGCAAACTAAAGAAATAGTATTTGTGACTGATTGTAATTTGGCATTAGCAGCACCAATATACTAGACTACAAGTTATTATTAATGAAATTATCATACCAGCTGTGCTGTAATTGCCTGATCTTTAGGGGACAGAGGAGATTATTTTCTTAGACTCTAGACCCTTTCCACCTTTGCATAATGAATCATTCAGAGCAAACATTGTGTATGAGATCATTAGTTCATTAATAAAAGAGTATATGTCCATCAGAAACCTAATTTTTCCTCTGATAATTTGCCATTTGTCTATATTTTATTTTTTCATTTGTCATCATTCAATATTCATTATATTTTCCTTCATGACTTATACTAGGTGCCTTTTTAGGTACTTCAGCTTACATAAAATGTATAGAATTTTTCTAAAGTGTAATTTCTAAAATAAATTTGTATGTATGCATTTATATAGTTGTATATCTCAAAGTCATAGTACCTGCTTGGATTTATTCCTCTGTTTTCCCAGTAGTCTCCATATTCGTATCTGTATTTCTAAGGAGTCTCTTCCTGTCTTTCCCATGGTCATCCTACTATCTCTGCCCTTCCTCTTATGTCTGTGTCATAGGTCTTGTCAAAAACTTGACAATGAAAAGGGATGAAAATAACTTTAAAGGCCACTTTCCTCCAACTTGGGCTATGTTATAGAACAGAGCATGATGACAGGAATAGGATTTCCCTTTCCTTCTAAAAATGAATTATCCAGTAAATTCTAATCTAACTCACAATGCAATTCAGCTGAATCAGCCCAAACTTAATGTTTTCTGAGTCATCTCTCTGTTATTTTGAAATATTTTTAAAGGAAAGCTTTAAATTATATGTCTAAATTTAATTGTAACTTCCTAAGAGATTTGTTTTACACATGTTTTTACATGTACTGATAATGTATGAAGCATTGTTTACGAAAGTATTAGAAGTCAGTTCTCTGTAGAATAGTAATTTTTCAGTGGAAGTAGGATCATGGAGAAAAAAAATTGTGTTGAAATTATGCCTCATCTTGACTTATTAGACTCACTTCTTCACCTTATTCCTTCTATCTTTACATAGTTCCTTGGCCTATTATCAAACATACTGTTGATCCTTCTTATATTTTTTCAATCCACACTTACATTTTAAGACTAAAATCAAAAATGGTTAAGGCATTGAGTCTTTCAAAAAATCACAGTGGGAATAAAAGAAGCAGGTTTACAAGATTGAAAAGACAGAATCCTCTGTTTGAGGTGGGGCCAAGCCAATAGTACTTTCAGTCTTACAGAGCCGAGATGTGATGATAGATCTCCTATTAGGAAATTTTAGCTTCCAGATTGGGCAGAGTTCTGTATCTTTCTCCATAACTGTTTGAAAGTCTCCGCTGCCACCAGATTTCTACAGGAATATGGTGGCAGCACCTTTGCAGGTATAAAACGTATACCTGATACAATTTTGAGTTCCTTAACAATGCATGCATGTCCAGCCCAATGAAGTGGCTCCTCCCTCTGAATGAATCTTAACTTGATTGTGACTGATTGACTCAGAGAACTTATTCAAGTCAGTAAATGCACATGCCCTGCAGGTGGGAGCACATTGCTATAAATTATTGCATAGGAATATATTTTTTCATTGGGTACTCATTACTTACAAGTCCAATACAGAAATGGTAGCCTAGTCTTAGAAGAAAACCCTTGCTCTTTATATATATACACATATATATAGTTTAAAAACATGAAACTATAGAACCTGGGCAAAAGCCACCACCACCAGAGTTACGCCTGACATTTGTTTCTCACAACAGGTGTAAAGAGCAGGTTCACTTAATTCACCTTACTCACTGACCTTGAGAAAGTATCGTGCTAGGCTCATGCTGAAGTGGCTCCTGTGTCACTGCAACTTCTCACCCCCAAAACATTCATTTTTCAGCAAACCTTGAACAAGAATGTTCTGGAAAGGTTATTGTCAGTGTCCTTCTGGCACCCCTCCTAATCTCTCGGCTTGTCATTTGGCCCTTTTGTTTTCTGCCCAGCTGTGAAGTTGAGGTGCAAAGGAGATTGATACCTTCAGAATACGGGTCATCTGCCCAAAAACTTAAGTGGAGACCTAAGCCAGTTTGCATACCAGCAATGAGTGATTTTTTTTTCATAAGGAAGCTGAAGCTGATGCAGATATTCCCTCAAGAAATTTGGTAGGGAAAGAGATGGGACGGAAGCTTGAGATATCATAGTAGAGTGAAGAACAGTTGTGAATATTTGTTTTCTGAATGATTCCTTCTAAAAGCCCTTCTGCATTTTACTTTCTACCATTCTTCCTCCTCCATGGATACTTCTACATTAATATAATAATTGACTAAGGAAAAGATGTAATAGTAAATTTCCTTATATTTGCTATTTATTACAGATTTTGACTTTATTTTCTGTAGACAAAATACCCAACATATACACTATGCTGATTGGCAGAAATCAAATTTTTCACTTCTTGACTCTAAAATGGCTGCTTCTCAGTGACTACAATTAAATCTTATCTATTTGTTTTCGAGTTTGTCACTTTCTTTTTTCATCTGAAGTTGTCATTTACTTAGAGTAGTTTTATATCTATAATTTGGGGGGTGGCCAGAAGAAAGGAATTTTAAAAATGTAAGTTTATATAAGCTCTTCTGTGTACAAAACTACTATGATTGTTATTTTTTCATGTTAAAATTGACAAGCTCTATCTTTAGCTTAGTCTTTAAATTACTTTTTAGATTTCTCTGATTATGATTGGGTCCAAAAATATGTATTTCTTTTCTTCTTTCCTAACACACTGCATACGTCAAATCATTTTGCTTCTGTGAACTACTTCTTTATATCATTCTTCCTATGAGCCAATACCCTATTATTAAGTTATTTTCCTACAGGTAAATCACTAGGATCTTTATAATCCTGAGTAGTAATTTTTCTCCTTTCTCCTACGTTGGTTTTCCATGATTGCCTATGTATCATTCAGGTCCACCAGCCTAGTTTCTTGGGTTGTATAAAACACATGAGGCAGTGATTGCAAATAGATTTTAGATACCTGTAATATTAGTGTAGTATGTACATGTGATATATTTTCTTTGTACTTGTTAAATTTATTTTCTTTTCTCTTGTTGCTCACTTTTTCCCAAAGAGGCAAACAAGGAAGCATTTCTAGTTTCATTTCAAACCACCGCTAGTCAATTTAGAAGCATTTGCTATTGGTTATTTAGAAGGATTGCTTAGTGTAGTCATCAAAAAACACTTGCACAGATTTATGGTATCAGTAATAACAGCAACAGCTGTAATTTCTTGAGCTCTTACTTTGTGATAAGCAGTGCATTAAGAGCTTTATTTGTTCATGGAATAAATATTGAGAACCTGTCATGTGCTAAGCACCATTGTAGGCATTTAGATTATATCTGTGAATGAAAACAACCCTACTGCCATCAAGATTACATTATAATGGGGGAACCAGACAATAAATAAGCCTAAGCAATAAGCAAAATATATAATTTGTTTGAAGGTGAGACGTACAGTGGAAAAAGAATTGGTGGATAGAGCAACTAGGCAAAAGATCAACAAGAAAAGGCTGGAACCAACACTACAAACCAACTAGAACTAACAAACATATAGAACTCTCCACTCAGTAATGGCAGAATGTATATTCTTCACAAGCATACATGGAACAATCTCCACAGTAGACCATATGTTAATCCATAAAACCAACCAATAAATATAAAAGGATTGAAATAATACAGAGTGTGTTCTCTGACCATAGTACAATGAAATTTAAAAATCAGTAGTAGAAAAAAATTGGAGAAACTCACGAATATATAGAAATTAAATACACTTCTACATAACTGTCACATCAAAAAAGAAATCAAAGAGAAATCAGAAAGTACTTTGAAATGAATAAAAATGAAGACACAGTATAAGAGAATTTAAGAGATGCATCTAAAGCAAACTTAGAGGGAGAAGGGGAGAATTATAGCTCTAAATGCCTATATTAAGAAAGAAATCTCAAATAAGTAGCCTAGCCTTCTACTGTAAGACACTCAAAAAAGAAGAGTAAACCAAACTCAAAGGAAGCAGAAGAAAGGAAATAATAAAGATTAGAGAAGAAGTTGATGAAATGAAATTAATTAAATAATACTAAAACAGTAGAGAAAAATCAATGAAACCAAAAACTAGTCCTTTGAAAATAACAAAATTGAGAAATTTTAGCTAGATTGACCAAGAAGAAAAAGAGAAGACTCAAATTATTAGAATCAGAGATGAAATAGAAGACATTACTACTGGCTACAGAAATGAAAAGGATTATAAAACAATACTATAAACAACTAAAGCCAATAGATGAGATAACATGTATGAAATGAACAATTCCTAAAAAGACACAAACTACTGAAACTGGCTTAAGAAATAGATAATCTTGATAGATGCATAACTAATAAAGACATTGAACTAGTAATTTTTAAAGTATCTGGGGGAAAAAAAAAAAAAAGCCCAGGCCCAGATGGCATCACCACTGTATTCTACCAAACATTTAAAAAAGAATTTACACCAATTTTTCACAAATGAATCCAGAAATTACAAGAAAAGTAAACACTTCCCAATTCATTCTGTGAGACCTGTATTACTTTAATGTCAAAGACATTCAAGACATTCTCAAGACAAAGACATCACAAGAAATGAAAACTGCAGATCAATATCTCTTACAAATGTGAACACAGAAATCCTCAACAAAACACTGGCATACCAAATTCAGCAACATATGAGAATTATACATCATGACTAAATGGGATTTTACCTCATGACTGCAAGTTTGCTTTAATATTCAAAAACCAATTAGTGTAACATACCCTACTAATAGAATACAAAACAAAAACCACTTGATCATCCCAATAGATCTAGGAAAAGCATTTGATAAAAGTCAATGCCCTTTAAAAAAAAAATTACTCAACAAACTAGAGTTAAAAGGGAAATTCCTCAGCCTGATAAAAGGCATCTACAAAAAATACACAGCTAACATGATACTTAATGGTAAAATACTGGATGCTTTCCCCCTAGGCAAAGGGGCAATACAAGAATATCCACTCTCACCACTTATTCAACATTGGACTAGAGGTTCTAGCCAGGGCAATTAGGTAAGAAACAGAAACAAAAGGTGTCTAGATTAGAAAGGAAGAGGTAAAATTATATTTATTCTCAGATAACATGACCTTGTATATAGAAAATCCTAAGGAATCCACCAAAAAACTATTACAGCTAATAAATGAGTTTAGTAGAGCTGCAGGTTATAAGGTCATTAGATAAAACTTAATTATATTTTGATACACTTAAACAATGAACAATCTAAAAATGAGATTAGGAACACAATTCCATTTACAATAGCATCAAAAAGAGTAAAGTACTTAGAAATAAGTTTAACAAAAGAAGTACAGTACAATGAAAACAAATCATTGCTGAAACAAATATGATAGAAATTAATAGAAAAACATCCCATGTTCATGGATTGGAGGACTTCTTATTGTTAAGATGGAAACACTCTCCCAAATTGATCTACAGATTCAACCCAACCCCTCTTAGAATCCCAGCTGACTTCTTTGTAGAAATTGACAAATGAGTCTAAAATTAATGTAGAATTGCAAGATATTCAGAAAAAACAAAACAATCTTAGAAGAAAATAGTAGTTGATTTTAAAACTAATTACAAAACAATGGTAATCAAGAGAGTGTTGTACTAGAATAAAGACAGACATATAAATCAGTGGAATAGAATTGGTAGAGAACCTGTCATAAACCTGACATTTTTGGTCAACTAATTTTCAACAAGGGTGCCAAGAATATCCAATGAGAACAGTAGAGTCTTTCCAAAAAATGATTCTGGATCAACTGAGTATCTACATTCAAATGAAGTTGGACACTTACCTCATACAATGTACAAAATTTAACTTAGAATAGATCAAAAACTTAAATGTTAAAGCTAAAACAATAAAACTTTCAAAGCAAATGGGCAAATCTTTATAACCTCAGATTTGGCAGTGAATCCTTAAATATGATACCAAAAGCCCAAGCAACAAAAGACAAAATAGATAAATTGGACCATATCAAAATTTAAATCTTCTGCGCTTCAAAGAACACTGCCAAGAAAGTGAAAAGACATCCCACAGAATGGGAGAAAATATTTGCAAATCACATATCTGATAAAAAAACTTTTATCTAGACTGTATAAGGAATGTTTACAACTTGGCAGTAAAAGACAGCTCATAAAAACGGGCAAGTGATCTGAATAGATACTTCTCCGAATAAGATATATAACAAATACGTGGCCGATAAGTACAAGAAAATCCAGTTAATATCATCAGTCATCAGGGAAATGCATATCAAAACCACAATGGGAATAATACCATTTCACATCCTTAGGATGGCCATAATAAAAAAGACAGATAATAACAAATGTTGACAAAGATGTAGAGAAATTGGCCTAAGCTTTATTATTTCCTTTCTTCTGGCCAGGATGGTCTTGATCTCTTGATGTCGTGATCTACCCGCTTTGGCCCCCCAAAGTGCTGAGATTACAGATGTGAGCCACTGCACCTGGCCCACCAACTGTTGAATGAATAAACAATCCATTAAATGGAATATTATTCAGCCCTGATACATGCCGTAGCATGGAGGAGCCTTGAAAACATTATGCTAAGTCAAAAATCACATTATATGATACTATTTATATGAAATTTCCAGAATAGGCAAACCTATAGAGACAGAAAGGAGATTAGAGGTTGCTTAGGGAGAGGGGGAATACAGGTATAGGAGTAGTAGTATTAAAAAGGTTTGGAATTTATTTTTGAGGTGATGAAATGTTCAAAAATTGGTGCCGGTTGCAAATATCTGAATATAAACACAAGTTTTATACTTTAAATGGGTGAATTGTATGGTATGTTAATTATATTTCAACAAAGCTGTTTTTAAAAATCAGTTAAAACAATAGGTTTGTGAGGGAACGGGAGATCAAGTGATGGGCATGGGGTTGGCTTGCAGTTTTATATAGAGTGGTCTGAAGATAGTTAAGTAAAGCCTTGAAGGAGGTGAGGAAGTTAGCCGTGCGGACATCTTGGAGAAGAACATTTTCTAGGCCATCTTGGAGAAGAACATTTTCTAGGCAAGGTAATGGCTGGTTCAGAGATCCTAAAGTCAGGAACACTGAGACTACATGTGCAGAGGACTGCCAGGAGGCCCATGCAGCTAGAGAGACTCAAAGGAAAGGAGTGGCAGGATATGAGGTTATGGAGGTAATGGAGCTCTGGATCTCTTAAGTCCTCGTAAGATAGTATAAGATTGCTGACTTTTCATATACACCCAATATAAGAGGTCTGGCTGGGGTGATGCATTTTTGAGTCTTCAACCTATAGCTGGTATTTATTTTATTTTATTTTATTTCATTTTATTTTAAAGCCCTGACAGTAGAGGTAATCACCAGATGAGTGAGAATAGAGACAAGGACAAGGGCCAAGCCCAGAGCTTTCCAAAATTAAGAGGTCAGGGAAAATAATAAGCAAAGGAGAGAGAGGGAAATATCAGTGATGGAGAAGAGAAAAGAAGAGAAGGTGGTATCCTAGAAGCCCAATGAAGGAGGCATTCAAGGCAGAGGGTGTGGCTCTAGTGGTCAGAAGCTACAGGAACAGCCTGGTGCAATAAGGACCCACAATTGGCCTTCACAGCATGGGGGTACTGGATGACCCCTTGAAGAGCAGTTTTCCATGAGTGGCAGGGCAGAAACCTAGTTGTAGTGAGTTTAAGACAGAATGAGGCTGGGCACAGTGGCTCACACCTGTAATCCCAGCATTTTGGGAGGCCAAGGTGGGCGGATTGCTTGAGCCCAGCCTGGGCAACATGGTGAAACCCCAACTTTACAAAAAAAAAAATACAAAAAATTAGCCAGGCATGGTGATCCCCACCTGTAGTCCTAGTTACTCAGGAGGCTGAGGTGGGAGGATTGCTTGAGCCCAGGAGGTGGAGGTTGCAGTGAGCCGAGATCATCCCACTGCACTCCAGCCTGGTGACAGAGTGAGACCCTGTCTCAATAAATACATAAATAAATAAATAAAGACAGAATGGAAAGAGAGAAACTGGAGACAGCCTAGGCAACCCTTCTGTGGAATTTTTGCTACAGAAGGAATGAAGAACTAAGGCAGTAACTGATGTGAGGGAAGTTAGGTTAGGAGCCACCTTTTTCTTTTCTAAGTTAAAAGAATTTGTTTGTATAGTGATGGAATGGCCCATTAGAGAGGGAGAAATGATGGTGTTGAGCTGGACAAGGAGGGTGGGGCTATGCCATGGGTGGAGGAACTGACCAGATGGGAGCATCAAATGGTTCACCTGTGGCCAGAAGGCAGAGCATGTAGTTGCAGCTGTTGGTAGGTGGAGAGATGCCACCGGGGCTTTGGGGAGGTCAGTGCTGTTGCTGGTATTTCTGATTGTTCACTGAAAAAAAAAAAATCTCAATTTTGTTTCTTTATCTGAGAAAACTAAGAATCTGAAACATCTCCCCCTTCCAACCAGAATAAAGTTTTTTGGCAGATATTTTCTCTTTTTAAGTCATTTTTTCTTCTTAGATTATTCTCATAAAAGGCCAGAAAGCTATCTAATGCTGTCGGGTCAACTGCTGTCCTGAAAGTGCTATCCTTGTTGTGAAAAGCAGTTTCATTGGAGAGATAAAACACATATTCCATCCTTTCCTTCATGGTATTTAGGAGTCTAAAGTAAAATCTTTTCTCTATTACAGACTCTAGCCACTTTGCTGTTATTGGTTGTAGTTTGTTTCTACTCACTGTATCTGCAGTTTCTGCTTAGGGAGTCCCAGCCCTAATGGAGGCTTTGCCCAATACATTTCTAAGGAAAATCTCACTGGGTTTAAATAAGCCTAAAAAGGGGGCTAAGCACCAGTTAAGTAGGTGAAGATGCAAGATGACATTTATTGAGATTCAATTTGCTTATTCCACAGGAGGGAGGAGGGTGGAATTGTTGAGAAATACACAATATTTTTTATGAAACATTGTGAATTTAAAATATATTTATATTAATATTGTCTGTAGGTCCTTTCCAGTCTCAGAAAAAGAACTTATTCCACAAAATTGTCAGCAAATATAAGCACAAAAAGGAGAAGCCCAATGTTCCGGAAAAAGGTATTGGTGCCCTCCATCCTCCATGAAGGGTTCTTGGTCACCTCCATTGTGATTCATCTTTGAGTAATGCTCCCATGCACTGCCTTTGCCTTGTCCTCCCCTCTGCTTGCTTCAGTGCCATCAGCTCCTGACGCGGGTGTTCTCATTCTTTCCGGACTCTGCAGCTAATGCAAATCTCCTTCACTTGGATTGCTGTTCAAATCCATATTTGTCTCTATTTTCAGAGCCCCATATGAATCCTAAAATTGCCTCTTCTCATCTGTATTTGGTGCGTTTTGCAATTCAGTCTTCTTGACCACTTATCCATTTATTTTCTTTGACTATTCTTGGTTTTCACATGTTTGGCAGCCCTTCATACCATGACCACATTTTCCTACTTCATGAAATCTTACAGTTTCGTGTTCATGTGAAAGTGCCCCCGTTTCTGTACTTCCTCTGACACTTGGGGATTCTTGCGGACCTTTTTCTCCACTCTTAAGTTGTAACCTGTGTCTCTTCTTCCACCCCCCCTCGTTTGCCAGGCTCTTGTTCCGACCTCTTTCAGTCACATGCCTGTTACTTGAAAGGGCAGTAGAGACTGATTGTACTCTGTCCCCTCTTTACTCGGAACGTCTGTCTCATTGGTATGATCTTGATGGGCCTTTAAACCTCTTCAGGGCTCATCTTAAGATCTCTTTCTTCCCATAGTGCAGGACTCCTATTCTTATTTCACATAAAAGATAAATCTTCCCATCTGGCTCAGTGCAGCCAAGTATTCTGTAGGTCGGGTTTTCTTTAGCATCTCCCTGCATGTTAGTGTCGTGACTACCATAAACCAACTCATCCGGTGCCCATTTGCATCCTACTTGCATGGCCAGATGTGAAGCATTCCGTGTTTCTTGAATGAGGCTTTAAACGCAGCTGTCTCCTGTGTGTAGACATGTGTGCCTGTATGTTCCTGTATGTAACCTTTTACTTACTTTGGGCCTTCTTTTCACTTCCACTTCAGCTTCTTAGTTTTGTTTTGTATATTGATATTATTTTTTCTTCTGCTTACAGTAAAGAAACATTATTCATTAGGTGAAAACATCAGCTTTTTTCATTCCGTTTTACTGATCTTCAGATTACTTTGATTAAAGTTACAGAAATAATCCAACACTATATTTCATAAAAGACAAAAATTTTATTTTTAATCCATTTTCTGTACAGCCTCATTATTTTAGTTGGCAAATACCATTTTAAGAATTAAGTAATTGACATAAAATTCAGCTTTATTTGTGTGATGTTTCAAAAGTTAGTTTGTATATCATCTTGTTTTTGTAGTATGGGGAATCTACTAAGAGTAGAGTTTCACTTTTCTTTCCTTTTCTGTCATTGTTTTTAGGAAGTGGGGATAAATGGTCAAACAAGCAACTCTTCTTGGATGCCATTCACCCTACAGAAGGTAAGACAAGCAATGTTATTTAATTTGAGACAATCGGAGCTGGAAATGACATAAGTTGTATAGGTTTTTAAAAGGTATAATTTATATAGGTTTAAACAACAGCACTAGACTTATGTGTTCATAATTAGGTTATTTTTAATTTTCACATCAAAGCTGCTATTTGGGGGACTCCTGCCAAGGGTCAGGCAATGTGTCATGTGGTGTTTAATCTGTTAAAGGGCGATTTGTAACCTTTGAATCGCATTAATCAGAGATTGGAGTTTTTCATAGCTAAATGTATTCAGCATTGCAGTTCATGTTGCAGGCAGATGCTTATGCCCAGTGGGAGCTGGAATAACAACCTGGTTGGCTGGGCATGGGCAGGCCTGCAGGAGTAACTTCTGACCTGGGTGTTTTCCTAGCCCATTAAAATAAACACCCCAGCAAGGCACAGTGGCTCACGCCTGTAATCCTAGTACCTCGGGAGGCCAAGGCGGGCAGATCATGAGGTCAGGAGTTCGAGACTAGCCTAACCAACATGGTGAAACCCCGTCTGTACTAAAAATACAAAAATTAGTTGGCTGTGATAGCGCATGCCTGTAATCCCAGCTACTCAGGAGGCTGAGGCAGGAGAGTTGCTTGAACCCGGGAGGCGGAAGTTTCAGTGAGCCAAGATCGTACCACTGCACTCCAGCCTGGGCAACAACAACAAAAAAGAATAGAACACCCTGAGGCTTATGGGTAGCCCAAGAAAAATCCAATATTAACTAGTCATGTTATAGGTCCTAGGTGCAGATTTGATTTTGAAATTTCTCACGGCCATATTTATTTGTGACTTTATATTATTACTGTTAAGCATTGAGCCCTTAGGTGAAGCCTAATTTCTTCAATGGTTAAGAGGCCACCTCTCCCTTCTTCCTGTTGATTCTCTTTTTTTCATTGCAGATATTTTAAAAGAGCTGACATTTTTGTAGGGCTTAATTAGGAGTCACTTCATTTGAAAACTAGAAGGGATTTTAGAGATGATTTGTTTCAACTCCTTTGATTCACTTATATCCAGAAATGGGAACTTCATGACCTAGTCCACATCTTTTGACTCTCAAATATGCTATCATTCCTTTACTGAAAATGAGAAAAAAAATGCACAATTGACGTAAGTCACTTATCAGAAATATTCATGTTTTTAAGATAGCTAGCAAAAATGGTCAAGTTTGAGTTCATGTTAAACATAAGTATTTTTGATTTAGTAGGCATCATTTACATGAGCCACATCAGCTTCCGTGTCATTTTACTTTTACAGAAAACGCCAGCACTACATCTATTATCTCACTTGTTGATTCACATTCACAGCCTCTATGGAATATTCTGCTTCAGTGCTGGCAAAACAAAATATGAATTCTGCTGTTCACAGCATTAAATCCTAACATCCTCAAATTGATACATTAGCTCTTGTATATTTTAAAAATATATTCCATATAGTTTTTTTAATGTAAGGCACTGATGAACTAGCAGAAGAGTTTGAAGGACATTTAGGACCACTTTACTCTTTACTTAAAATGTTTACTCTTTACTTAAAATGATACTGTTCTAAGTACTTTGTTCTGTTTTTTTAAACACTGAAAACCCTACAGAGGTACCAGAGCAAGTGCAGTGTGGTAGAAAGAGCACTTACCTGGGAGTTAGGAAATCTGGGTTCTAGTCTCAGACCTGCCACTAATCAGCATTTTTCAGTATGACAAATTGTTTAACCTCACTAGGATTACTCTCCACATTGGTATTAAGTACATATATAATTTGTGTGTTTAGAGATTGGGTGAATGATGAGATGTAGTAGTACACAGACTGTAAATTCTGTTTCCCCTCTAACACTTGATAATGATTTTATTGCTCTGATATCTTGAGTAAGTATTGTGTTACTAGAAGTACTATATTCTGTAGCCCTAATTTTCTGCTTTTGGGGGCAGAAAAGTAAATCACTTTTGAGTCTTACAGGCAGTCCCAGGCTTTAGCAGAAATATAGTTATAATTGGTGATATTTAATTATATTTATTATTAATGTATATGAAACAACTTTTGGAGAATATGCACTGAAAAATGCATGTCCATTGTTTAGTGTAGAGTACAAACTCATTTTATGTGGCCAGGAAAAACAGGAATCAATTTGAGCATCAGAAATTACTAGTAATTTAAAGTAACCATTTTTGGTTTTTCATTTTCTTACTATCTCCAACATTTACTTGTTTGTGTAGTGACTATGTGCTTTGTGAGTTTTCTAGGCCTTTAATCCTCTCTCTCGTCTATGACTATATCACTGCTTATTGAAACTTCACCTTGGAGAGGGTATAAATATATGACAGAAAATATAGCAATAATATAGAATAATTTAAACATGTCTAAAATTAAAATCCTGCTCAAATGTTAGACAGGCATTGTTTGTAGCTGATGTCTTTAATAGAAATATTGAGTCAACTGATGCTATATAACTGTTCAGCTATTCTGATTTCTTCTAAAGTAGATGACTTCAAGTTCACTGTGTTTTCTTTATACTGCCCTGTGTACAGGCACCTTGCAATCTTTCTTTTTTTTCAAAATATCAGAAATATTTAGATGCTTAGTAATATGTTTAAATGCTAAGTTTATAATGTGTCTTAAACCCTGGGCTTTTACAATTCAAAATTGTTAAACCACTTTTTGAAATTTCGGTATATATGTATTAAAAAAAATTGTCCACAGGCTAGAATTAAAGGTAGGATTTTCAAATAAACCAAGAACACTACCTCCTACCTCTGCCACTGTGTTTATCTTTCCACCTAGTTATGGTGCCATATGCTCATGCTTTAAGCTAGAAGTTTCTAATTGCAATAATAATGATGATGATAACTAATACTTACTACCACTTTATAGTTTACAGGGGGCTTTCATATATATGTATATATTTTTTTCAATTTCATCTTAACAGCATTCCCAGTGAATTAAGGAGGGTTTATCAGCCCCGAATACATGGTAAGGAATTATGGCCTGAGCAACACAAGCAGATAGGGAAGAAACCATATCTCCATTTAAGTACATCAGCTACTACATTTTCCGTTTTTCATATTTGTAGACTTTTAACCCTCATTTGGTTCAAATATTGAAAATATAAATGGTATTTCACAACGGGGAAAAAAAAAACCCCAAAACCTAGGACTAGGAATCTCTGTTAAAATTCACTTCTTTGCAGTGTATAAATCTAATTACAGGCAGGAAAATTCTGGTTTATAGTTAGATTTTCACACACGATCCACAGTGCCCAATCTAACTCGATCTCTTTTCTTAAGTTTGAAATAGTTGCTATATAACTTCAGCAAAGTCTCCCAGGATGTTGGATAAGGCTCATTCGTTTCTTTTTCCTGTGTTCTATTCAGCATCTGACTGCTGTTTCAGCTCATGGGAGACCTACCAAAGGCAATTAGATTCCAGATCTGGCTATAATAATTTCAGTGCAAGTTTGAAACCCCAGTTGGAATGTGAATTCATGACTCTGGAGCACTCTAGTGGCCTCATGGGGTACAATACAAGAGCAATGCTGCTTTCCCAAAAAACCTACTCCACATTTTGGGATCAGATTTTGGAAAACAAGACGGTCTCTTATTGCTACATTCCTGATGTGGCTCCAGGAGTGAGCTTGCATCATCACTCTCAGATGATACGCACCAAGTGTGTTATGGTTATTGTTTGGGTGTAAAAACTAGCCCAGTGGATTTGTTCTGAAGTGTTCGGGTAGTTTTGTGTGCTCAATTAAAAGCTGGAAAAGAAATGACTAATTTGTTTTGGAGCCACAAAGCCTTTCTTTTCTTACATTTCCATTAGGTTGCGGGTTGTCGGGAGGAACTAGCTTGCTATCTTTGTACTCAACTTTTGTGCTTGTTTCCCTCTCTGAACTTTTTTCATCTCATGTCCCTCACCACCAAGCTTTTGTCTGCTTTGCCAATGTCGTTGGACTCAGATCTACTGTTTTGTTCCAGAAAATTACTTCTCGGATACAGTCCCATCTGCCTTCCCTAATTCTTCTGTCTTAGGGGAAGGGTCTCCCTGAGGGCTGATCCTGAAGGCTGTCCTCAGTCTAAACCACCAAACAAGACCATACGTTCTGGGGTTAACCCTTGGGTCAGAACATTAGTCTGGACCCTTATCCTCTTTCAAACTCTAGGAAGGTCACATTACATACCTTTTGCAAATGTGCATCATCTGCAGGGCCCATCATTGCATTTTGATGTAATAGTAGGTTTAGAGGAGACCTCTGGTTAATTGGCATTACCTTCTTTTGGGGAACTTATGAGAACCTCCGACGTAGTCTTTTTTTTTTTTTTTTTTTTTTTTTGCCTCTTCCACTTGGTCTGCAGTCTGATTCACTCCTTTACTTTCCTCCAATATACTGACCCTTGGGACTTGGGTATTGCTGGCCTGCTTTGGGCCCTCAGGCTCTTTGCCTGCTGGTTTCTGAGCTTTCCATAGTCACAGTCTGGTTTTAGGCAGAAACTGTACCTCCATTTGCAATCAACCCTTTTGCAGCTGTGCCTTACGCTTCTTACTGTGTTTTTACCAATTCATCTGGAACAAACTAGAAAAGGAACAACTATTAAGTAGAAATGAAACCATTTGAAGGCTCACCAAACAAACAAAAACAGTGCTAGTCACAGGAGTACTGTTTCCCAGCCTATGACTCTGGAGCTGACTGGTGGTTTGTTGTTGTTGTTGCCCCTGGCCAGATCTCTGATGGTAGCCTATGTAGCAAAGTTATTTTAGGGCTAGATGGCTCCTTTAAAGCTAATACAGTCCAACCTCCATCTCTGAATGAAGAAACAGAGGCCCATGGTTGGTTGGACTGCTGTTAGTAAATTTAAAAGTCAGTAGTAGAATTCTGGTCTCTCTGTGACTGTTACTTCCATTACCCCATGGTCTCTGTGTAAAAAGCAAGTCATCTTTCCCAACCGACTTGGCCTTTTTCTGGTATCCATGCCTTTTCATTGACCTCCTTGGTTCTTCTTTCCGCAGTCAGTTCTAATGTAAGATATGATACACCTTTCCATCTTTGGAACCCCACTATATACCCTTATTTCTACATGTTCTGTACTTTCCTGGGAAGGGGAAGTAGAAAAGGGAAGAGGTTAATGTTCTTTCTGGAATGTCCATCCACAATGTGGTGATTCTATTGGAGAGGTAAACAAGACTCCTGTAATCAGAAGGGACAGCTGATGGATCTGGATAAGAAATTCGAAATCTCGAAGCTTATGAATGTGCAATAGATGTTATTTAATGCTCATTGTAAATTCAGATTTTGGGCTTCTTTATACTTAAAGGAGGCTTTGAATTTTAAGGCTAAAATAGAATCATGCATCTTCTTTGGAGTGTTTCTTACCGAATTATTTTTTATTTTGCTGGAAGCTTTTATTGAAGTTTAAACTAAAAAAAAAAAACTTAAAATATGTACCACCACTGGCCTATGTTAAGCTAAATATCAAAGTATAAATATTCTAAGACTAAGTATAATAACTGAGTAAATTAATCCACCATTGAGGTAGATCTATTTGACCTGGGAATAGATCTGCAATCTAAAAGGAGTATGTTTTCTGACCTTTGATTACTTACTTGAAAAGGTGTTTGGGAGCATTGCCAAGTAGTTTTTTAAAACAACTGTTATCTTAAGCCTGTCTGCACACAGCCATCTGTTATGCAATATTGAGGTAAGGCCAAACCACAAATGATGGTGTGATTTCTGCTTTACATACTTTCTTTTGATGTAATTGAAATTATTTCCCACTTGTTTAGGAATGTGAAGCCTGGAATCAGCCTTTCTTTTGAAACATCTTTTAAAGACAAGGTGCCATGATTTCCAGGACAAATAATCTTATTAATTCATAGCCTTCTTTCTTGAGGATGTACCTAAATCCATTAAACACCTAGATTAAACATTTTAAATGAGGGCTGTGCAAGTGTTTATACCAACAAGTTCATTTTTTCACACCCTGAGTTATTCTTGCTCTAGTTTTTTTTTCCTCTTAGTTTAGCTTTTCTTCCAAATATATATATATATATATATATATATAGCTTTATTGCCAATATCTACCTTCAGATATGCCTCCTCTGGATTTAGTTTGCTTAGGGCTTGTTATGTCTGACATTAGTTTTCTGACCCACATTCTCCTTTTCTTTGTCAAAAATAATTTCTATGTCTATCCTAAGAAATTGGATAGTTAAAAATTATGAAAGTGCATCTTTTCCCGGCTTAAAAGCCCTTGGGTCACTGGAATTTCTTTAAAGTCCCAATCATAAAACTCAACTATGGTATACCCCTAAACACTTACTAAACTCATATCTACACATCTTGTCTTACTTTTAAGTTAAGGTCAGGAGGGGGTAAACTGCTAAGAAAATGAGTATGTAAGAAAAGACACAAGCTTCCCCAATCTGTGTAAACCAGGAGAAAAGTCTGTGGTACAGGTGTCTTCCTTGCTCTTGACAGAGTGACTCAGAATATAGGAGTGTGCTATCAAATGATTCATTGGGGTTACAATTAGGATACCTAAAACTAGCCTCTCCACAAGCCAGGATGACATGTGGGACTTCATTAAATTATCTCACTAAGTGTATTCCTTGTTTTAGAATTCAGTGAATGAAAGAGAGTTTCTTTCCTTGGCGTGCTGGCTTCAACAATGTTTGTCCTGTCCTTACTGCACAGTCAATCTACATGAAAGAAAGTCAGGCCTCAATTTCTTTTCTGATCAATTCAACCTGGTGCTTAAAAGCAAATGTCCCAACCATAAATATAAATTTAAGAAGGACATATTTAATTTTAGTGTCCTCTGAAGAAATTTCTTTTACCATCCTCTCTAGGCCAACTGGCCAAAAGGATCTCTCAGATAGGGACCCTGATCACAACTAGGACATAATTTACAAGAGGACATAATTTACTCAGATTTACCTAAATTATCGTCCCCACCAACGTGCAACACCCAGAGACTTAGAAAATGTAAAAAAGAGGGGGTGTCTTAATTCACTGCATTTAATTTATCAAAGCAAATATCAATTGGTAGTAAACAAGTTAGGGGCAACGTTTTATTTCATTTTTTCCATCAGTACTTTGAAAACTCTGAGTGTAAATTCTCCATTCAGACGGGTCAGAAATTTAGACATGTTTCCTTCTAAGAGCAATTTTGGTGCCTTCTGTTTTTGTGCATAACTATGCATGGTATTTCCTATTTCAGCCATATTTTCAGAAGACAGAAACACCATGGAGCCTGTTCATAAGGTTAAAAATATCCCATCCATTTTCAACACTCCAGAGCCAACAACAACGCAAGAACCTTTGGTGGGCAGCCAAAAGAGAAAAGCAAGGAAAACCAAGATTACACACCTTGTCAGGACAGCAGATGGCCGGGTATCACCAGCAGGAGGTACTTTGGGTAAGAAGAGAGAGCTTTAGACCAGAGGTGTCCAATCTTTTAGCTTCCCTGGGCCACACTGGAAGAAGAATTGTCTTGAGCCACAATGAAATACACTAACAATAGCCAATGAGCTAAAAAAAAAAAAAAACAAAAACAAAAAAAACCAGGCCAGGCGCGGTGGCTCACGTCTGTAATCCCAACGCTTTAGGAGGCTGAGGTGGGTGGATCATGAGGTCAGGAGATCGAGACCATCCTGGCTAACACTGTGAAACCCCATCTCTACTAAAAATACAAAAAATTAGCCGGGCCTGGTGGTGGGTGCCTGTAGTCCCAGCTGCTTGGGAGGCTGAGGCAGGAGAATGGCGTGAACCCGAGAGTCGGAGGTTGCAGTGAGCCGAGATCGCGCCACTGCACTCCAGCCTGGGCGACAGAGTGAGACTCTGTCTCAAAAAAAAAAACAACAACAACAAACACAAAAAAATCTCAGAATGTTTTAAGAAAGTTTACGAATTTGTGTTGGGCTGCATTCAAAGCTGTCCCCAGCCACATGCAGCCTGCAGGCCATGGGTTGGACAAGCTTGCTTTAGACAGAGATAACCAGAGCAAGCAGATGACCACCATGTCAGCAAATGACTGTAAGCAACTGTGGTTCCTACTGAAAAATGAGTCTATTCTGCAGCTTTCTACAGACCTCCAAACATGTTTTATTCCATGTTTAAAATCATAGCTAGTTTTCCAAGAGCATATCTGAATTCCTAGAAAAGAAAGGTAGTTTTTAGGACTGTCATCTTCCCTTTATCTTTCTCAATGTGCACAAAAGCAATCTTAATTCCAGGAGATCCTATACTTTTAAAGATACTAGATGAATCAGTATTTGACCATGGTCTGCTGTTCGGGTCACTACAAGCCAGATTACCAGGCATTCAAACCAGTAGATTAAGCTTAAAATGCATCCAACATTCACTTCCTATATAACTGGTTTAGACCATGCAGGGAGCCTGAGAATGCTTCTGGATTTCTTGAGTTATCTGATTTAATTCACCAACTGGTGAATTTCTCCATTTTCAATCATGGCCTGTTGTCTGTTTGCTGTTCCTGGTAGCCTCTTTGGCAGTAGAATGACCGGAGGAGCCCAAGGTAAGGGGTGTGGCCGAAGAGTGATACTGAGACCCCCCGGCCGCAAAATCTTGGAGTGCTATACCAGCTAGGTACTAGTGGCCTTGGCTGTTGCCTTTCTGCCTCTCAGCACCTCCGCAATTTTATTTTATGTGATTTGGGTTAATCTAGGTGTTAATAGAGGGGAACTGTTTGCTTAGTTAGAGGACAGTTTATGAATTTTGTGCACTTCTTTTGTGTGTTTTGAATATTTAGATTGTTAGAAACATAGAGTATATTAAAGGCCCTGATTTTGCCCTGTCATATAAGAGAAAAAATTCAAAGAGGTGGAAGTTTTTGTTTGAGTACATTCAATACAATAGAAGTAGAATGAGGACTAACACCTAGATGTCCTGATGTTTAGCCCAGCAGTCCCCTCCCTCCTTTTCTGTCCAATCTGAGTTCTGTTCTGTGACTTTCATTTTGTAGATTGTTACATCCACATTTGTTTTCACTTGGAGGAGGAGTGAAGAAATATGAGAACAGTCCCATTTACATAGAAAAGTGTCATACCACTTTTGTGTCCTAATAGATAATATTTAAAGCTTTTATCAGTCATTTTCTATATTTACAATTTTTTTAAAACTATGATAAAAATTTCCCTTCTCTATAATGGCTACATAAGAAAGAAAGTATACTCATTTGTAGCAGGCATACTTGCACAGCATTTCATCCACCTCTTTGTAAAGACCAGAGGGCTTTGTCTTCTCTCCAGTAGGTCTTTAGAACAAAATAACAACTTGGGCTCTCATTAGAACTGGTTAATGTGCTGTATAGGCCATCCTAAGTGTTGGTATCACAGCATACCCAATGTCCAAGTTGCCATAGTAGGGCATGCTACAGCTTCATGAGAAATGCTTAGTCAGTTGGGTTTTTAAGGGCTCTTTTACAGCATCTACAGGCCCCTCTACAGAAGTCCCTTGGGTTTTATTTTAGCTGAGGCTCATTTTTCCTTCTCACTCCAAGACTGACCCATTCTTTGACCTCAGATAAAACACAGCTTCTCTTCAGCTCAGCCTCAGGGCACAGTGCTGTCCATAGTTGCAACTAAGCTTAATAAAAGAGCTTTGTTACTGAGGAGAAGAGATTCTGTAAAAGCCTTAATATTCGATGGATAGCAAAAGTGAATGGTAGAGAATGTTAGCTCTTTTCATGTTGACTGGCACAGCGTTTTCTATGTCTCTTCTCTGGAGAGAACAGAGTGATCCTCTCATGATGGATTTCTCTTTTGTTACAGATGACAAACCAAAGGAACAACTGCAGAGGAGTCTCCCTAAAGCAACTGAGACAGACTGCAATGACAAATGCTCACACAACACCGAGGTCGGGGAGACGCGGAGCAGTACTCCAGAAATGCCTGCCGTGTCTGCGTTCTTTAGCCTCGCTGCGCTGGCTGAAGTGGCAGCCATGGAAAATGTGCACAGGTTAGTGGTAGAAGGTGGAAGGAGAAAGCAACATGGAAACCAGATCAACCTCTTTGATGTGATTTGTGACATTTTTTACAGGGCATTGGGGTTCAAACTTGGTTCAAGAGCACTATTGGTTATATGAGGTATTACAAAAGCATATATGCTAATTAGCAGTGCGGGAAAATACCAGGGAATATAGTCAGCCAAGTATTTTATTTTGAATATGTTATCCTGTGGCTAAACTTCATTTCCGTAAAAAGCCTGAGAGCAGGGAAGCAGTATTATCTGACCAATGAGCTTTGGAGTCCCATTGCAGACTGAGGTTTGAGTCCTAGCTCCATCACCTGCAAACCGAAAGATCTTGACCAAGATTATTAACCTCTCTACCCTTGGTTTTTTTCCTCTAAAAAAACAGGGGCAGGTGGCACTCATTTCACAGAGATGTTATGTGGGGTAACTCTAGCATCCCAGTGCTGGTGTGTGGAATGCCCCTTATTGGTGATGGTGTTGGTGCCATCACCAGCCATCAGAAGACAGTGCAGTTCAAGGGAAAGAGCATTTTGGCATCTGACTCATGGCAGCCAGAGGCCTGGATTTTTCTTCAACTCTTCTGTGATTTCCTACAAAGTAATTTTTTTCTCTGGACTTTAGTTTTCTCAGCACACATTGAGCATAGTGATATCGCCAAAGAATTACGAAGTTGTAAGCATCAGACGAGATCATAGATGTGAAAACCCTTTGAACTCAGCGAAGCCCCACAGAAAGTATATTAAGTTCTAAGTGTATAATTGGGTATTCTGCTACTTAATGGATCCTTTGGGAAGGCAAAAAAGCCTGTTGTAAATTCAGGTATTTTATATTCCTATTCAAAGTGGATTACCCATGGATGAGCTGCTTTCTTAGACTTTCAGTCTTCAGTACAAAAGAGCTCTCAACCCAGTGCAGCTTGTGTAGCCAGCTGTAGGCCCCATGCTCCTTTTTGACATCCAGGTAAACCTGGAGTCCCCTGACGTGAGCTTGGTTTGCTTCTTGCTATTTACCTGTCATATTACAGTTTGAGTACTTCCTCACAAATAGCCTCTAGATATTTCCAAGAAGTCAAATTCCTCTTTATGTGTACACTGCAAGTTCCTAATAGCAAGTGAATGCTCACAGACATTGTTAAAATTCAGTGAGGTCTCTGAGGGAGACAATGCACAGATACTTCTCCATTTGTGGAGTTGTGCAGTCAAGGATAGAGGACAAGCACATACACGTGCAGTGAGAACTTAAAATATCTGCCTGAATGTTATTAAGTGTCCCTGTGAATTGTGGAAATAAGAGGGAATCTGAGAATTGAGAGAGGGATAATAATTCAAGGGTAGGAAAAGGCTAGCACATAAGCAGCTTGGCTGCTGCCTGTGTTCTAAGCGTGGTCACACCGTTGCTCTGTTAACCAGCCCTCCATGGTTCCCAATTTGCATCAGCAGAAAGCCACAGCAAACCTTTCCAATCTCATTGTCTCTGCCCTCCACACTCCCTACCCTGCAGTTAGGTGGAATCACTTACCCCTTTCCAGATACGCCAAGCTCTTGCCTTGTACATCCTCTGATCAGGTGAACTGCTCTCCTTCTCCCCACCCTAGTCCCCGGTCCTCTTCTCTCAGTCCTCCTGATGCCCTAGGCTGTGTGTTTCTTGTTGCTCCTGCATGCTATGCTCACACCTCTCTCAGACCACATTGGGATGTATTGATTTGTCGATACTTCTGTCTACTTTCAGTATATTTTGAAAGCAAAACAGTGGTTTTATTCTCTATGTTACCAGCTTGCTTAGTTCCTGTTATAACAATTGATAAATGAACAAATGAGTGGGTGAATGAATAAATGAGGTAGTTTCTGAAGTATGACTGCCTAAGTTAGATAACAGGTATAGAAAAAATAATGTGAGTAAAGATTCTTTTTATTTTTTTTAACCTTCCATTAGAAAGAACAGTAATGATTACTAGAATTTTACCATCAACCTAATAAATGGTTAGTGTTCTTAATAGCTAGAAGGACAGATCACCCTGGAGAGTCTTAGCTGTAACTTGAGCCCCTACCTGTTAAAGCAGATCTACCCACCAGGCTTCTACCTGTAGGCTCACTGTTATTGAACCTGGGTTGCATACCAATGAAGTAAGCATTACTTCAGCATCAACTCGGTTCATAGTTTAAAGGGTGGCCCATGGAGTTAGGGGTGGAAATATACGACCTGCACTCATGCCATGAAAAAATCTAACGTTAGGTTCAGAAACCTAACTTAGACAGTTTTACAAAATACACAAAATAGAGAGTTGGAACAAACCTTTGTTAAGAGACCAGTTTATTTACTAGAAGTTAAATTAGCCCTCCCAAGTGGGCCTTTTTAGTCCCATTTTAATGACCGTTAATTAACTTGCCAAGAGCACACAGCCAATTTGTGCCCAAGTCAAGATTTGAACTCCTTATCTCGCGTACTGCCAAAGGAAAGCTTCAGTCATGTCAGAGAAAATCATGAAGAATCTCACCTGACCCTTCCTCTGGGAGCTAGAATCATCAGTTGCAGCACATAGTCCTCTCCCACTGTGATTCTGACTTCTTTCCTTTTTCCATTGATTTAGCTGGACTTTCACCCCAATTTCTCTCTCCTTCTTGCCATCTTTTTTTACATTGCACTTTTCATCTTTTTTGTTTTTTTTTTTCCTTTTCTAATACTTATTAAAATTCTTTTGGGTCTTTTAATATCTTAAAAGTAAAAAGTAGCATTTTAATTTCATCTTTCTTGAACAAAGAGCTGAACATATTGAACAGGTGGTATCTATAACATCCACATGTGAATAGCTTAATCCAGAGGTTTGATTCTAAAATGTTTTGCTTTTCTAAAATCCTAAATATCTTGGGCTATTAAGTGATCATTTGATTCTGAAACCCCCAAATGTTGCAATTTGTCTACATTATTTTTCTTTTTTGTGCATCAAGAGAAACTTGAGTATAGTTATAGAGCAGGTACAAGCTAAATCTTGAAATAGCTCCTTTTGTTCTATGTACTCTGAAGAAGATACGATTTTGAAAGGTCATCCCAATGAAAACATTGCTGATACATCACATATTTTCAGCACAGTGTTATGCACTACAGACCATTGTAGGTTACAGAGCAGTGAGTGTGCATTTTCTAGGATTGGTAGGCCTGTTGGAAAATGTCAAGGAAGTACCCAGTCCTATCTTTTTAGAATGAGAAGCTCTGTAGAAATTACCAAGAATTTTGGACAGTTTTCTCATAACCATGAAGTAAATTGTATTTTTACTACTAATTATACAAAAGCTGAATGAAAAATCAGCTATGTTTGGCATAGGTTCTATCCAAATGATGAAAATTTCCATGAATTTTCTAGTCCTGTCTGGAGTTCTCCCTCCATGTGTATTGATTTTCACCCAACTAGGGTAGATTTTGTTAAAATCTAAAATCCAGCATCAGTGCTTGTTTTCTTCCTCTAAACACTCTCTGTCCATGTGCATGTGAGTTCAGAGGGTTTTATTGTTTCTTCATTCCTTTTTTTTTTTTTGGAGTCACAGTCCATCTCTGTTTCTCTTCCAGAGTCATTGCTTTTATTATCACTAAATTACCTGAAGGTTACCAATTACTATAGGAGAACTTTCCCTTCAGGCAAGTCAAGAAAAGGAATGTGTCATTTTTAATACCAATGGATCAACAGGAAAATTATTGTCCAAGAACCCCAGTCCTTGATTGAAATTTTCCCACTTCTTAAAGAGTTGCCCCAAATCTGTTGGTACTTAAAATTTCATCTCTTCAAAATGGAAGTGGTTAGTTGTTTGAGGCCAGAGGGTATGCTGTTGAGTTGTATGAGGGGAATTCAGATATAAAATCTTAGGAAGGGAGACAGAATGGGAAGGAGGAAGGGGAAAAAAAGGATAAGGAAGGGGACAGAAGAGAAAAAACTCTAAAGCAAAAACAGTTTTCATTAAATGATGTAAGTAACAGCAGTAACTGTTAAACAAGATATTGGAACACACTTGTTATTCATCGTCCTCTCCTGTCTCTAATAACATATGCTGAATAAGTGACTTTTTCTTCCTTTTATTTTACAGAGGTCAGAGGTCAACTCCGCTCACCCATGATGGACAGCCAAAAGAAATGCCGCAGGCTCCTGTACTTATTTCCTGCGCTGACCAGTGAAGCGCCCTTTCATTGTAAAACATTGTGCTTTACCTACTACCCTAGCCTTGTCTTTACCGAGGGATGCTAGTGAGTCCAAGTGGTGGAAAATATAGACTGCAAACAAGTGCTTGTTGCCCCACACGGCCCAGATTCACTTGAAGCAGAAGTTAGCATCCTGGGCCAGTTTGTTCTCTCAGAACCCAGAATCTTTGAGGGTAAGGTTATCTGTCTGATACTGAGCAGAAACAGAATGATCCTGGAGCTTTGCTTTCTATTGAAGGCTTTTGACGGTAATAGGTGGTAACTTGGTAAAAGGCTGCCTTTACTGTAGCTCACCCAGCATCTCTTTTACCAACCAGAGAGTGTGAAACTAGTTTCATATATTACCTAGTTATTCTTTCAAAACAAAACAAAAAAAAAACAAAAACTGACGCACTGCACTAGTTATTATTAGATATTCTTAGTCTTTTTTGTACATGGAGATTTAAGTTTAAGATGGTTTATATAATAGGTTATACCTACATTTATATTGTAGAATAAATATTAAAAAGCCTGTTCCAGAGACTCCCAAGCAGCCTGGGCAGGCAGATGTACCATTGTTAGTGGTGTATGCTCGGCCTCGTGGTCCATATATTCTGCACTTTTATATTTGCCACCAGAATGGTAGTTTGCTGGCAAAAAAAAAAAAAAAAGAGAGAGAGAAAAAATTACAACTCTTACAATCTGAATTTTTTTCTTAGCCTTGAGTGACCAAGAAGAATTTGCTTGAGGCAAATTGTGGCAAATATTTTCCCAGACAGGGGAAGAGTCCTGCAGATTACAGATTACTGGTGTTTTCATGCCTTGAGGATTCTTTTATTTTTACATAGGGGTCTAAGTGACCAATGGATTGTTCATACAAACAAAAAAAAAGACAAAAATATTATTCAGAAGTGACCTTAGTATTACTTCACTATTCTAAACACATTGAAGACACTCACTTCATGTGGACTTGGAGCTACAGACCTTTTACATCCATCACAGATTGGCTGGACGGGTTGCAATTGCTATGCACAGCCTGATTGGCACTGCAGGTTTTTAGAGCCATTTTGAGTTTGTGTTGTTTAGGAGGTACTGAGTCAATGATGAGGGAGGTATGCCTGACCAGAGTGGGACTCTCAGTCATAGATCCACCTGCAAGTCTCTGTTTCCTTTTTGTGTTTTGTTGCTTTTGAACATAAAACCAACCATACATAAGCAGCGCCAAGTGGATTAACTGGCTTAGAACATTCAACATATTGACTTAACCACCTGACATTCACAGTGTCTTGTTTCCTAGCAACAGATGCAAAGTGATAAATCAAAATTAGTCTGAGGCTACAGATTTTACAGGGTATTTGTTCTATAGCACAAAGTATTTCCCCACTCTTGCGTCACAGCACAAACTACCAAATTTTAATTATTGGATTCCAGCAATAATTTTTAATGGTTTTCAAACTGGCGGAATTTTGACAGTGCTAGTTCGAGTTTGAAGCTTTTGAATTAGATCTCTAAATGGTGACAGTTTACATGGTTTTATCTAGCTTTCTTATTTATACTTGACTGAATTGTAATGATTTTTTTTCTAATTGTAATTTGACGTAATAGCCATACAAAAAATGACTCTATTCATACTAGGTTTAGCTTCTCATGGTTGTAGATATTACTTCAGTTCCGGTGCTGGAAAATATGTACAACATACTAACAGGATTGAAAAAAAAATAGAGGTTTTTCTTCTTGTTTTTTTTTCCAAAGCAGGTAAAGAGGGTAGCAAAGCATCGGAATGATGTGCTCAAAAATGCATATTCCTGGTGGGGATGGAGGAAGAAGGCATTAGTAAAAGGTTAATCAAACGTTACAACTTAACCCCATTCATGTAGGAATAAATCAAGTGAGCAGTTCCAGACTTTTGCATAATATTTTTACTATGATGCTGTTTTATTAATATTTTCTAAATTTCAAAACAAAAAGTGAATGTTTGAAATTGCTGGGTCCCGATGTTGGTGGCTGTTGGAGTTTTGGACCACTCGCTAGCAGTGATTTGAAGATTATAATTAGCTAAAATCCAAAACAAAAAACCAACAACAAAAATTGTATGGTGCGGAACATGCACCTTGACAATGGTACTAACTTGTTATTCTATAGAACACGTTAGAATAGATCTATTTTTGCCAGAGCACCCTCCTTCAGTCCTCCGATTACATTTCACTAGAGTTCCTTACGAGATTGCTGTATATTCCTGGGACCTTTTTTAAAAAAAAAAAAAGCAAAACAAAAGATTACTTTTTTTCTATGTGATTAATATCTTACTTGATCTGCTTTTCCTAAACCTCAGTGGCTTTTCCCTTAGGCAGGGTTGGGGGTGGGAGGGCAACTTACTGGAGATGACTGTTTTCAGATACTTTAAAACAAACCTTTTTGTAGAAATGCTTAATTTTTAAGCGGTTAGGCACTGAGAGTAGCAGAAATCCTGCAAAGCTTTATAGTTCCTTAGACTCACCTTGTCGATTCTCTGAGTAAAGTCTTGATTTCAATAATTGTGCTTCTCATGCCCTGAAACTGCTGGAGAGGAGTGTTGTTATTTTCAGGTAACAACATTCGTTAGCACAAATATTTCAGACCAATATTAGTGCTCTCCACCCCACCTTTTGTTATCATTTTCATTTCATTTCTCTCATTCTTTTTTATTTTGGAAAATCATATTGCTATAGTGTGTACTTTAATCTGCCAGCAGATACCATCTACACTAACATTTGTCCCACAGCATCCTCAAGAGAAAAAGTTGTTGCACCTTATATATATCTCAAGCAAACCAAAATATGATGCTCTTCTGCTTTGTTTTATTCTAAATTGTTGTATCATATCTTTCTGAAACCATTCTGAATTTAGTTGAAATTATCAATATTTATGCTTTTAACCTTAATTTCTGGATTCAAGCCTGTATATAAATCTTTTGAAAAAAAATTGTCCTAGCCCTTCTCTGCGATGCTGGAAGTAGAAGATTGCGTCTCAGATGGAGACGCAGTACTGTTCCAGTTTTCTTTAGCCTTTTATTTATTTAGTTATTCTGGGTATTTCCTATGTAATTTTGAAGTGTGTAGAGTATATTATAGTAACTGAAGCTGCAGCTGTAAGAAGCTGAGTGAAAGAAAAAATACTGTAAGACATCCTTAAAGTTTTTATTTGTTTGGGTACTGTATATGAGATCAGGAAAAAGAAAAATGTCCCACAGCCACATTGGAAATACAGGTTCTTGTCCCCAAATTAGGTTAGTTCCCAGATTTTAGATCAAAACTGTTAATTCATTAAAACCCCTTTTAAAAGGTAAATTCTACTGTTGTAATTCCGATAGTCTTTTTCCCACAAATATCAGAAATATATTTATTTAATTCTGTCAGATGAGCTTTCTACCGATGCCATGTCCCAAAGCCATGTTAAAATAATTCCCACGTTATCATTGTGATTCTACTTCCTGCCACTAAAATTGCTGGAGAAACAAAATAATGATGGAACACTATGAACAAAAAGGAGCATCTGAACTGGTCTGGTTATTTAGAATCCAATGTGTTCAAATCCTTTTGTTTTCTTATTAAGTCAGATGCTACTGTAAGTCAGATAAAATTTTGTTTGCACTCTGCAGTCTTTGGCTCAATGTATGGAAATGTTTGCACCTATGTAAAGTCACAAGCTAATTACAAATTGCTACAGAACAGGAGTAAGCTGAAAACTGAATGCCATGTTTTGTTTATAAGGTGGGGAGGGGAGGGAAAATACCAAAAAACTCTGTTCCAAGTTTGGCATTTGACATTAATGTGAAGCAGTGGGACCATGCTGCCTGCTAAACTACTGTATGAATCGTAAATGTTCTGAAGACGAGCAGCTGGAGGCTGGAGGATGGCATTCCATACAGCAAAGGAGAAGCACCCACCACTTCATCTGGGAAAAGGAAGGAAATTGCAGGAGGCCTGGAGCCATCATTTGTAAAGGGGATGTTGCGGGGTGTGATGCTGTTGAGGAGATTCACCTTCAATTGCACTGCTCCACAGAGCCCTCATATAAGGCCAATCCTAATGGGCTACCTCGGCTTTAAAAGTTAATTTCAGTAAGTCCTGTTTCAAAAGTTTGTCTTTTTTTGCTTCTACCTTCAGTGCCACTATTTTCCACTGCAGTGTTTTGACTTCACAAACTGCCTCCTCCAGAGAGAACAATGTATTGCTGAAAATGGGCAGTAGAAGCAAATGCTGTTGTTACATTTGACCTATAAAGTATTCAGAGTGACTGCTAGGTAGAAATTAAAACTTAGCTTTCCCAAATAGCTCCTTATTTTGCACCTTATAAAAAGTATACTAATTGTTAATTAGATGTTGCTTTTGTTTATACAAGCATTCCCAAAGAACTAGATTTGGATTTTGTTTTGAGTTTTTGGATTTTTAAAAATTATCTTATTTAGATTGACTAACAGCATACTTACAATTTTAAAAGAAGCTGTTGTTCAGTTCATCTTACCAGATGTGTCTGGCGAAGTATTCAGGGTTTGATGGACTGCTTTACTTTCGTTTGGAAGTGATAGCTAAGTTTATTATACTCTATATTAAACAACTTTGTTCATTTCACTGAGGACCTTATCTTCCTTATATTTCAGAACAAAGAAGCAACAAGCGTGAATAAAAAGACAAATGTATTTGACTCCCTCATAATCCCCATCTGTATGTGCTACCCTTCCTTCAAATATATAAATGTGCATCTTTTTTTTAAAAAAAAAAAAAAAAAAGGTTCCTCTTCTGGCCAAATTTGATCTATGGTGGTATGATTCATACTGTTAAATTGAGAGAGGAAACCTTGTGGTTAAAAATTATATGGCTGCTGTTTTCTTTTTGCAGTCAGTGGTCAAAACTGATCATGTGCTTAAATCGATTTTTATGCACAGAACTAGTTATTGTGAACATTACTGCTCCCTCCAAAGATTTCCTGATAACTTGGGCCAGAGGTGGTTACTGAGTAACAAGGATCTAATTCAATGCCTCAAAACTCTTCCACCCACAATGCAAATCTTACCTCACAAGCTCTAACCTAAATCACAGAGACATGCATGTTTCATGCATTAACACTGATTTCGCTCTGTGGCCCACCAGAGGGGTGGGCTCATGTCCCCTGACTCCTCACATGAGTGCCTCAGCTCTAAGAGCCGTGGAACGGGGGGTAGGGAAGGTTTGCGATCTGGAGCTCAGCAACTGGCTCAGCAACGTTTTCTCCATTTCATTAGCACTAAACAAGTCTCTTGCTCTCAGGAATTTGTCAGAAAAAAGAATAAAATCACCTGAGACTCCACATACCAGATTATAAACTCTTCTCGTAGGTTTGAATTGCTTACTCACATGTCATAAATTAACCACAGCTTCATTTGACCACCAGGTCTAAAGTCTGTTGACAGTTTCAGCATGACTGAATCGCTCATTTTTTTTTTTTGCTTTCAGAAATTGGCTTGGTTCTCTTTAGAGTTGGTGTAAACATGCCATGTAATAAATGATTTCCACTTAATGGTACAACAGAATTATTGCTTTCTTAGATGTATGTGTAGTAAAAGTCAATATACACATTTATATAATTTCTTTCTTCAAAATCTTATACCTAATTTGATATTTCTAAAAATTGCACATGTAAGTCATGTGTATAACATGCTAAAGTACTTTAACTGTGATCTTAAAACTGAATAAAAATATTTAATAAAACTTTGAAATATTTTAAAGATATTATTCAAATATATTTCTTTATGTTCACACTACTGGCCGTAGAGTATGTGCCTTTAATGTACCATTTTCACTAAAAACAGTAGGAAAAATACTAATAAAAGTAAGATATTTCAACTATTTTAGAACATCGAATGATGTGTCCCCCTAAACTGTGTTTGCCTGTGATTTGCCATTGTCTGGACAGCCTTGGTTGCTTTTCCCAAAAGTGTAGAGTGATGATCAGCCCAATAGAAGAAGAGGATATGCTTCAGTACGCCACTTGGGTGAACGCTTCTGGGGTGCGCTTCTGGGACTAGTGATCAGAACACACCATCTTTCCCTGAACTGGGACAAAACTGTGGAAGCGATTTCATTAAGAGTGTTACCTAAGTATAAACTCGCACCTCAGATTTGGTGAATACAATGTTCCTAAGTTGTTTTTTTTAATCCTTTGGAAACTACACGCATGCATGCACACAGTATTAATTATCAACAAATAGACTTTGTATTCAGACAGTTCTTCTACCCATGTACCATTGGGTTTTTTTTAACCTCCCTAATTCAGATTTATTGATAGTGATGATACCTCCTCATACCATTGCTGTGGTGAAGAAAAGAGAGTATATATGAAAATATTGTCATAGGGCCTGTAGCATAAATGCCCATTAAATGGTAATTATTGATTGTATTGTTTTAATTCCAACTGTAAGGTTAGCATTTTTTTAAGTACATTCAAAAGATATGATGAGTATAACTATTCAAGATAAACTTTGATGCTGTAGAGATAAGCTGTTGCAGGAGATTTGATGGTATGGAAAACTCAGAATAGGTAAAAATTTGCACCCATTAACTCATAACTTTTATATGTAGCACTATGTAAGATTTTTCTATAAAATTAGCCTGTCTAATGAATTATACGAGATATTCCAGCACACCTCCTTTCCATTGCTGAGAATAAGATTGTGTGTGTGTGAGGGAGAGAGAGAGAGAACATGGGGTCCATACCAAAGATTAAAATTCTGTTAGGAAAAAAGTGACAGGATATACATAAGTGTAGTTTTATGGTCCTGTGTGTATTACACAATTGCACCGATCCTTTTGAATAGAACATAAAACCTATTGCAAGGAAAAATTAAGTGATTCTAATCAACAGTCAGCTAAAACATACTACTGACTCCATTCCATACATATTTTAAAAGGATTTATACTAAAGATAAAATTATGAATCATAATTTATCATAAACCTTTTTACCTTTTTGAAATTATAGGAATTTTCAAATACAGTATATGCAGAAGTAGAGAGGTATTTTGAACCCCATATACACATAATCTAGCTTCAACAAATAACATTTTCCCACTCTGGTTTTATCTGTGTCTGTTTTTTCCCTTTTACGTACCCCAGAAGATATGCATATCCCAGAAACATTTCATCTGAGAAAATTATCAGAGAAGCCTTTAAAAGTGAATCTTTTGGTACTCACAGATTTTAATTTTTTAAATATTTTCTCCTCATGATTCCAAAAATGTTGTCTAAAGCATAAAGGAACCCATGAACCCAAAGAACGGAAGTGCTGAAGTGAAAGTCATTTGGAATTAGAAGACACTGTTCAGATTTGCTCTCTCTGTATTTACCTTTTTTGATCCACGGTGTCGAGAGAGACTTTTAACTTACTTCATCAAAGAGATCCCTTCTTTATGATGACTTTTTTTAGGGGTTGAGGGGGAGGGTTGTTTATGATTCTTTTTTCCCTAGACGACCTAATGAAAGGCCCAAAGGCTAAAACTTGATTTGTGTCAACTGTATGTCCTTACACTTTTCCCTCCCACACTATTCCCACTGCATTTTTTTCTCCCCTAGACTTGCAAGAGAAAATCTGTTGGAGGGGTAGAGAGAATATTTTAGATGAGCCCTGGAAGGCAAGTTGCCAAAGGTTTTAAAAATCTGAAATGCTAGGTCAGTTGGCCCAAAATTAAAGCATGAAATGAAATCTCTTTCTGGAAGAGATAAAATGATAGTTTGGCTCACCCCGCTTGGAGATTCCTTACCCTGTGGAATTTTACAAAAGGTCATTTTGTTGCAGGGTTGTATGTAGGAGAGTCAGAAGAGAAAAATGTGAGATTGAAAGTCTCTTAAGGGTGATAGAGGATGAAAGGGGGAAAGGGGAAGTTTATATAAAATAGGTTGTGGATATCTTATGTTTAGAAGTCAGAATGGTTTTAAAGCCAGCATGAAAATATGTCCAAGAAATAAGCTCAAGTACAATGATTTTTTCCTGATCTTTTCTACTGTTGGGCATCATTATCTATGGTGCTTATAAAAGGCCAATTAAACTTCAGATAAAATTTATATCCTCCAGAAATCAACATATGAGGCCCTGAAAAATATGTACAAGCAATATAAATATAATAGATACAAAAACAGGTAATGATTTACCATATACTTTGAAGTATTCAAATATATTTAATAGAAAAGCGAATTTGTAGAATAAAAAAATTTCTCCCAGGTCAAAATATATAATCCTTGAGATAAATACTGGAAAAATTTAGACATTGTTTTATAAAATATTTTCAATTTTCCCATACCATGTATCTTGGCTTGGGTATTTGGTAGTGTGCTAAAAATAAATTTAAAAGCAATATTCTGCACATGAATCTTTGAATACCTTAAACCTTTTAATACATAGGATATGAAGTATTTAACAGGTGAATGCTAGCCTCACCTGCATTAAAAACTGTATTGTTAGAATAAAATTGCATACAGTTCTTCATTCCATTACTCTGTTTCAAAGCCCATGGAAAATTATTTCATCTCCCATGCTTTGACTTCAGAAGAGTTTTCTGTTACCCACAGCTCATATCATGCACCCATAACAATAATCCATTCAGCAAATCTGCATTGGATGTCTACTGTGTGCAAGTACCAAGAAGACAGTCTAGCAGGGGTTAGAGACAGTCTGTTGAAATGCAGTACAGATGAAGCTGGGGATCAAAGCCTGTCAGGGGAAAATGACATATGAGCTCATGGGAAACTCGATAATCTGCATTTTGAAGACATCAAGAAAAAAAAAGTGTATGTGTTACTGTTCTTTAAAATTTTATTTTTAAAACTTTTTCTCACAGAAAAGATCTTAGCGCAAGGACAAAAGGAACTGCTGAGACTAGGCCACAGAGCTCCAAGACTGACAAATATGTGATCAAAGTCTTTGGGGGCGATCCATCATGCTGTGTACCTTTCCTTTCTGAGTGGCTTAGGATAGGGAGCATCTCAGCCAGGCTGGTTCCAGGACTGATGTCACTGTGGGGCTGGGTTGTGCACCAGCTACAGCCTTGACATAGCCTAAGAATATTTGGAAACGTAAGGTCAGGAAGTACAGCTCAAACATTTGGCCCAGGAAGGAGGTGGTTCTGTCACCAGATAGTGTGATTCCCCCAACTCTTTTCCTTCTCCCTTTGCCATACCCTTCTTTCCTCACCTTAGTTCCAGCTCTCACATACTGCTGAAATCTAATTTTTTTCAATCGTTGAATTTTTCTACAGGGATGGCACCCCATGCCCACCAGAGCTATTTTAATTTCCCTTTCTTTTTTACTTTTTTCTTCACTGAGAATAGCTGTAAGGTTTTTATGGCTGAGGGAATGACTCAAGAAATCCTTTGCTCTAGGAGGATTCCTGGAACAAAAAGGAGCTGCTATAAAGGTTTCTCATTTTTGATGAGTGCTGCCCCCACTTCGTTTGGGGTCTAAATTGGGCACGTGAGCCCTTGCTAATCCTTATCCTTAAAAAAGGACTTTACTACAGAAGGTACCTATTCTTACAGGACTCCCCGGGATTACTTTTCCTTTGGGAGTAGGGAAGGTTTTGTTTCTACTTTTTAAACATTCACCTTCATGTGACCAAATCAAAATCCCCTTTTCTGGAATTGGTAGTTAAAGGAATTCTTTCTTCTAACTCTGAAAACATCTTTTAAAAAAGCAAAACCATCTCTCTCAGGTATGCAAGCTGCACTGTAATTTATGTATGTATGCAGCAAAGTTTTAGAAATTTAGAGTTTAATTTAAAGTTCATCAGGCACCTGTCCGCGGCCCCTGAAGATTCAGTCAATAAAATCTGTGTTGCCAAAGGTTTAATTTGAACTTCCTCTCCCCACTTCCCAAAGATCTGACTTTAAGTGAGTTGGTGACATATGGAGCAACATTTCCTAAGCACCTAATGTGTACAGAGGACTGGCTGACCAACAGGCAGGATGCTTGTCTTCCGACACCTCCACCTGCCCACCTGATATGGCACCTAAAATTCTAACCATAGTGCATAGGGGTTGACCGTAATAAGTATGCTACCTTCCTCCTTGGGACACTGAAATTGGAATCAGACCAAGATATTTTCTTTTACATATGGGCATTTATCCATGTAAATTACTTTTTTGGCTTCCTCTTTCACTCCCCTGCCCACACATCCAATATTCCATATGTCTTCTTTTATTTTTATTTTTTATTTATTTTTATTTTTTTATTTTTTTGAGACGGAGTCTTGCTCTGTTGCCAGGCTGGAGTGCAGTGGCGTGATCTCGGCTCACTGCAACCTCCAATTCCCGGGTTCAAGCGATTCTCCAGCCTCAGCCTCCTGATAGCTGGGACTACAGGCGCGTGCCACCACGCCCAGCTAGTTTTTCTATTTTTAGTAGAAACGGGGTTTCACCATGTTGGCCAGGATAGTCTCGATCTCTTGACCTCGTGATCTGCCCCCACCTAGGCCTCCCAAAGTGCTGGGATTACAGGCGTGAGCCACCATACCCTGCCCATATGTCTCCTTTTAAAACACAGTTTTCTGGTCCAGGTGTAGGCTTTTCCTTTTCCGAGTTGCCTTTGTGTGACATTCTAGCCTGCCACCACCACTGCCTGCTCCTCAGCCAAAGATCTATTTTAGATAGAATCCGTCTCAGCTTTTGAGCCTACTGCAGAGAGCAGCAACACCAGTAATTAGTGGTGGCAAGATGAAGCAAGTCATAAATTAACTGATGAATAATATTTTCCGGGGAATAGCAGGGCTTCACCCACATTCAAAAGGAGGGCAGAACCAACCAAGCGGCAAAATTCCACAGCAGGCGGGATGCTGAAAGATACTCCAGTCACTCAGCAGAGAACAGTTTTTCCCCGACAGTTCACCTTGCCCTGCTGAGGAGCACTGTCTGCTGTCATAATTCTCCAAGTTTTGGAACAGAGCCGGAGTTTCCAGGATTACACTGCTGCAGATGAGCAGCACTATTCACACTTCCTAGTACCTCATTTTTTTTCCTAGTCAATTTTATTTTGAGGTTAAAACTTTTTCATTCGAATGTTAAACTCAAATTAGCTTTTCTTAATTTTACCTTCTAAACGTACAATATACATACACATTTCCGAGTTTGAGCATCAGGCACAAAGGTGGTCCATTGTCATGTAAACAATGACCTTGTGTTGCCAGCACTCAGAAGCTAAGAAATGGGCACTTGTCCTACCCCTTTGCCTCTGCTTTTTTTTAAATACAGCTTTTTTTTTTTTAGCACTTGTGTTGCACTAATTACTCCAGATGTTTACATAGAATTATATGTGCTTCCGAGTCACTCAACAGCCTGATCTACCTTTTCCATTTATGGGTTTTAGGCTGGGTGTGGTGGCTCGAGACTATAATCCTAGTGCTTTGGGAGGCTGAGGCTAGAGCATCACTTGAGGCTAGGGATTCGAGACCTGCCTGGACAACAAAGTGAGATGTCATCTCTACAGAAATTTTAAAAAATTAGCCAGATGTGGTTGTGTGTGCCTGTAGTTCCGGTTACTTGGGAAGTTGAAGCAGGAGGATTGCTTGAGCCCTGGAGTTCGAGGCTGCAGTGAGCCATGATCCTGCCACTGCACTCCAGCCTGGGTGACAAAGCAAGATCCTATCTCTAAAAAAGAAAAAAAAAATTCAAAATAAAGGATATGGGTTTATCCCCTCTGTTGCTCATAAGCTGCTGGTTTTACTGAGCAATTGCTTCTGTAAGGTTGTATAAACCTAACTGTGTTCACTTCTACAGAACCTCCTTTTCTTTATCCATGCCAGATATGTGTGACTCAGTTTGTAAATCATTTGAAGACAGTGTCTCCTCTCAACCTCCTTGTACTTCTTATACCAGAGCTGGGGAACTATTTCTTAGGTATCATCAGAGGCTGAATGTCTGGCTTCTTCCCAGATCAATAGGTGCACTGTCACCCTGCAACAAGGCCTCCAGGAAACCAGAGAGAAAGGAACTGCTAGGCAGCTTCACTTCATTTGTACATTCCACTTGGCTATGATTATCAGCCAGAGAATATTCTCCTGAGATGGCTGAGACCAGGTCTATTTCAAATGACTTCGAAAGGACAATGCTCTCATTGCATACTTGAGAAAAATTGCCGGCTGCACAGAGGAAGAGAAGCGACATTCTGAAATGTGATAGTGAAGCATAACAGTAAAATGGAAAGCAATTTAAATGTATTACTGGACAAAAACCATTAGCCCAATGAACATAAATAACCTGACTGAAGAAGGGCACTGTTCCCAGATAACTTCTTGAGTTTGGAGGAAATTTCTCTCTTACTAGAAAACCATTGAGTGTCATTAGAGTGGTTTGCAACTGAAACATGTTATCAAGGAGTCAGATTTTTCCACTTGTGTAAACAACTCTATTGGAATTACTGTGTGACATTTTTGCAGGCAGGGAAGCCAATAACGACTGATATCACCAGATCCAGGCAATTTTGCTTTATAAGAAGGGCTGTCAATTCCTGATTGTTCCTCTCAGATTATCCTCAGCAGATGCTGCCAAATACTTATTGACATCACCCACACCATTAACCACTCCCTGAAAGTCTTTGTGTTGTTAATTCTGTTTTTATTTAATTCAGCAAAAACTAGAAGACAAATCTCTAGACTCTGGAAAGATGCAAAGCTCAGAGACCCCAGTGCTGCTTTAGGTTGGTGGATCCAAGTAGGTGAAGGTTGTGCATGGAAGATGTCATTAGGATTATCCATAGTGCATCGTCATCATAATTTCTTGCTACATTAGTAATGCTCACACTGAAGAAGCCTATTCAGCTTCCCAGTGGTTCATGAATCTCAGGGGGTGTTACCCTCCTCCTGAGACTCTGAAGGTGGTGATCAGCAGCCCCTAATAAATGTGTTCACAACTGATCCAAAATGCAGTATGTCAGTTTGAGAGGTGAAGCCAGCTGGACTTCCTGGGTCGAGTGGGGACTTGGAGAACTTTTCTGTCTTACGAGGGGATTGTAAAATGCAGCAATCAGCACTCTGTAAAAACACACCAATCAGTGCTTTGTAGCTAGCAAGAGGTTTGTACAATGCACCAATCAATGCTCTGTAAAATTGATCAATCAGCGCTCTGTAAAATAGAACAATCAGCGCTCTGTAAAATGGACCAATTAGCAGGATTCTAAACGTAACCAATCGGGAGGATTGAGAAAAGGGCATTCTGATAGGACAGAAACAGGACATGAGAGGGGACAAATAAGAGAATAAAAGCTGGCCACCCCAGCCAGCAGCAGCAACCCGCTCGGGTCCCCTTCCATGCTGTGGAAGCTTTGTTCTTTTGCTCTTCACAATAAATCTTGCTGCTGCTCACTCTTTGGGTCCCTGCCATCTTTAAGAGCTGTAATACCGCAAAGGTCCGGCGCTCAGTTCTTGAAGTCAGCAAGACCACGAACCCACTGGAAGGAACCAACTCCAGACACAAGTTCTTAGGGTTTCATTTTTTTTTCTTTGGTATTGTTTGTTTTGTTTCTGCCAAAGGAGGAGAAAGAGTTTCCAGGACAATCACCTTGGACTCCGAAAAAAGTTTTTTAAATTTCTTGGCTCAAGGTATCTGCCCCCAATGAGGGCGGGACCACAAGCACTCCAGGATGGCGGCTAAGCACTGGCTGGAGAGCATCAGCCTCATGTAAGTGATGTGGGTGGGAGGACTGGACACTCTGAAAATCAGAATCTTCCTTAATACAAACCCACAGCCCAGGACAAGCAACAAACATAAATTCCCCAGGAATCAGTCAGGCTGGGAGGAGGGAGCTGGTTTGTACAGCTCTGCAGCACCTAACTAATGCAGTGCCAACATATCTCTAATGTGGCCATAATAACATCTAGCTCCAGGGGTCCTTTGGGGATGCTATATTACATTTGAACAAATTGTGTGAACTCTAAAATGCTATATAAGAATATAATGGTTAAAAAATTAAAAAGCTTTAAGATAATGAAAAGAGAAGCCATAGACTGGGAAAAAGAAATATGTGCAAACACATATCTGATATAGCACTCGTACCCCACATATACAAAGAAGTCTTAAAACTCAACAATTAGGAAACAATCCAATTAAAAGGTGGGCAAAAGATCTGAATAGACACCTTAGGAATGAGAATCTACAGATAGTAAGTAAGCATATGAAAAGATACTCCACATCTTATGTAATTAGGGACTTGTAAGTTACCACAATGAGATACCACTATGTCCCTGTTAGAATGGCCCAAATCCCATACACTGATGATATCAAATGCTGGAGAGGATGTAAAACAACTGGGACTCTCATTCATTGCTAGTGGGAATGCCAAACACTACGGCCACTTTGGAACAATTTTGTTGTTTCTTACAAAGCTAAACATAGTCCTACCACACAATCCAGCAAATGTCCCTAGATATTTAGCCAAGCGAACGGAAACGTATGTCCACACACACACAAAAATCTGTGCAAGAATGCTTATGGCAGCTTTTATCATAATTGTCAAAACTATAAGCAAACAAGATGTCTTTCAAGAGGTGAATGAAGAAAGAGTGATACATCCAGATAATTGAATATTATATGAGCTATCAAGACACAAAAAGACATGGAAGAATTTAAATGCAGATTACTAGGTGAAAGAAGCCAATCTGAAAAGGCTGCATACTGCATGCATTCAACTACTGTATATGATATTCTGGGAATAGCAAAACTATACAGATGGTAAAAGCATTGGTATTTGCCAGGGGTTCGGGTTCAGGGAGGGGTAAATAGGTGAAGGACAGTGGATTTTTAGAGCAGAAAAACTGTTCTGTATGATACTATGATGGTGGATGCATAACATTATACATTTGCCAAAAAAAACCCACACAGGCCAGCCATGGTGGTTCACGCCTATAATCCCATCACTTTGGGAGGCCACGGCAGGCAGATTACTTGAGGCCAGGAGTTCAAGACCAGCCTGGCCAACATGGTGAAACCCCTTCTGTACTAAAAATACAAAAAAATTAGGTGGGCATGGTGGTGCACGCCTGTAATCCCAGCTACTCGGGAGGCTGAGACACAAATCGCTTGAACCCAGGAGTCAGAGGTTGCGGTGAGCCAAGATCCCGCCACATCGCTCTGGCCTGGCAATAGAACGACTCTGTCTCAAAACAAAAACAAAAACAGAAAAAAAGCACACACAATGTGTGACACAGAAAGTTAACTCTCATGTAAACTATAGACTTTAGCGAATAATAATGTATCAAAATTAGGTCACCAACTGTAAGACACATGTTCCACACTAATGCAAGATGTTAATGATAGGGAAAGTTGGTGGGGGGAGGTGGGAGAGGGTTGGAAAAAAGGAGGGGTATGTGGGTATTCTCTGTCCTCTCTGCTCAATTTTTCTGTAAATCTAAAAGCACTCTAAAAAATAAAGTCTGTTAAGTCAACAAAAAATTAGAAAGCCTCCGCCAAGTGTCTACTCGAATATCACCAAAGAGGAACAGCTGAGCGGCTAAAAAGCCATGCTAATTTTCTCAATGACAATTTTCTGTTTAATAAAGTAGGTAAACTAAGTAAAAAAATATATGGCATTTTCCTCCTTTGGGCCTCAACAAAGGCTTTATTTTTCTACTTTGAAAGGAAAAAACAAATCACTGGTAAACTTGATTTTCCTGAAATGGCTCATATACAAAAAAAAATTGGTAAACATGGTACTTAAATGAAAATAAAAAGAAATGAATCTCTCTGGAGGACAGCCATCACATTTTACACAGGTGCTCTGGCTTTATTTGAGATATGAAATATATATATAAATATATAAATAATATATTTATAAGTATGCTCATCAGAAAGTCCTGATGCAGTTCAAAAAGGAGGCAGTTGTGACTTGGGGTGTTTGACTAAACCACTTCGGTGTTTCAGGTTTAGAAAAAAATGACTTACTAACGTTGTCACTATTGGGACACCCATTTCATAGCAGGTTTGCTAGTACTACATTGATTAGGGACTGAAAAAATAATCTGAGAAGGAGGAATCTATTTTGAGAGGTGGTGTATCTTCATTCTCACACAGATTCACTTATCCATTCACTCAGCAAACATCTACTGAGCCCACTGAAAACTGGGGGAGAGGTCATGTTCATGTGGGAGATAGCGGGGAAAGATCTTATTTCTGCCCTCAACAAAATCACAATCTGTTGGGAGGACAAGAAATGTGATCATTGCAATATAAAATAATAATGCTTTCAGTGCTTTAGGAATGCCGTGGAGGGAGTTGTTCCTTCGCCTGAGGGAGCCAGGAGGCTTCTCAAAGGATATAACTAATTAGCCTGGAATCAGGACAAGCCATCTGAAATCTGTTTCTGACCCAAGGAATCAGGTTTATCACAGGCCACCAAGGAATCAGGTTTATCACAGGCCAACACATCTTTCACTGTTGGCGGTAGAGTAGCTCGTTTATCTTCTGCAGGAAGTACAAAGACCCTGGCATAAAGAGAGAAAAAGCATGGATGTGTTAAAGCAAACAAACAAAAACACAATTTGTAAATTTAGAAAAAGAGGGGAGACTTAGGGTTACAGCCTGCATCGTGACCATCCCATCCCACAGGCTGGAAAGCGAGACTCTAGCGGAGACCAGAGACAGGCACTTCAAAAAACGAGGGATCGGAGTAGGAGCTTTAGGCTGAACAGGTTGGTTAAGCATACATATTCAACAGGTTACAGGAGGAGATATGAATATTCATGAAGATGGTCCTAACACATGGGTATTGAACAAACATGCGTGTTACATCCATGTTCACTTTGGGGTGGAGAATTAACATTTAAATATTAGGCTCTAGGTGTCAGAAGGTCTTTTCAGGACATGAAGGCACGCAAGTGCACAATCTCCATAAACCAGCCAGAACCAGTTGCTGGAAAATTACTGAAATCAGTCTCTTGTCCAATCAAAGCTGTTAGTTATGGCTAGTGGAACAGGGGGCTAGTTACTCAGCATCCGATCTTGAGCTGCAAGTTGTGTTAATATTGCTTATCTCGAGGCCAGTGCTTGTTCAGCTGCCAGAGAAAAAGAAAACCCTTGTGGCAGTTAAGAGTATAGTTTATTCCTTAAGTGTAGGGGGACCGTGACTTAACCCTTGCCCAGCATAGCCTTGGGTCCTGTTTATAATTTAGTATCTTATTGCCATAGTCTGTTCTTTAGGTCTTGTGATGTCTATTTTCACATGAATGCTGGTCAGTTGTGTCTAAACCATAAATGGAAGGGGAATATAATGAGGGGTGTCTGACCTCCTGTGCCGTCTTGGCAGGGAACTCAGTCTTAATGTTTTTCTGGGTTCCCATTGGCCACAAGGGAGCCCGCTCATCTGGTGGAGGGACTTAGGATTTTATGTTTAGTTTACAGGTGGATTTCCAAGTGAGCACAAAAGTTACAAAATTTGATCCTTTAATCATATTTTCTCCACAATGTTTTAGGTTCTTTACAATGTTTCAGCTGGCAGTGCTGAAACCAAATCATTTTTATTTAATTAGATTTTGGTAATAAAATCGTTTATGATCTTCAGTAATACTAAATTAAAAACCATAATCACTCTTTGAATTTTTATAAAAAAAAGTACTGACTATTTGGTTTTAAATATTCCCATCCTGGGCTCCTACGCTTGTTGTCAATGGCCATCTGCCCTTGAGTACATCTACAGTGTTTTAATAATAGAGGGCAGATGCTCTTGTTTTGGAAGTTCAAGACCTGTCCTTCTGTACTGCAAACTGGCCCTCACTTGAAGCACTAGATTACCAAGACTAATTCTCAATATATTCTTAAAGCATCAGCAAGGCTGGGGCACCAAAAGAAACATTTTTGAAATAAGTTGACATGTGCCTGATTTGAATGTGTCATCTATTTCCTGCTGAGACTTGACTAATGCAATAGCAACAGGGTCCCGTACACACTACTCCAAAATATGGCACCTTGGCATAGTAGGGGAGGAAAAAGCACTTTCTCACTAGGTTCATGGCTCAGGCCCCTATAATAGAAGACATTAACAAGAGAAAAGCATACAAACTTATTTATTAAATAGTATAAATTTTATTTGACATGGGAACCTTTATAAGAAAATGAAGACCCAGATAAATGGTGTGCTAGCACATTCTCACACTGCTATAAAGAACTGCCCAAGACTGGGTAATTTATAAAGAAAAGAGGTTTAATTGACTCACAGTTCAGCATGGCTGGGGAGGGCTCAGGAAACTTACAATCATGGTGGAAGGCACCTCTTCACAGTGCAGCAGGAGAGAGAAGAACCAAGCAAGAGAGGAACTACCAAACACTGATAAAACCATCAGATCTCGTGAGAACTCTCACTATCATGAAAACATAATGGGGGAATTGCCCCTCCCTCCTCCACGCCGTGATCCAATCACCTCCCACCAGGTCTCTCCCTCAACACCTGGAGATTACAATTCAAGATGAGTTTTGGGTGAGGACAAAAAGCCTAATCATATCAAATGGCTAAACATGTATGTTTTTATGCTAGATTTTATGAAGAGTAGAGTCATGGAGAAATATGATAGGGCAAAAAGGGTATGATTAAATGGTAATAAACTGCCGTGTGGGGGGGCGGGGGAGCACTTACCAAGGCCTGTTTGTCTAGATTCTTCTGTGACCCTTGATCTCCAGAGATAAGGATGTTCCTCTCCTCTAGGAGGGTAGGGACCCTTTCTCCTGAGGGTCTATGACCTGCTTCAGGGCAAGGCCAGGAAATCCTTCCTAGGTTTTATGATCTGCTTCAGAGGAGAATGGCAGGGCAAGATAAGAGTGGCCTTTCTGCTTCTGCAGTTTTCTTAAATTCCTTCAGCTTAAAATATTAGCTATGCAAGATGCCATATTTTTGGGTAGTGTGTCCTGAACCCTGTCAATATTGTATTAGTTAAGTCCCAGCAGGAAATAGATGGCACAATTGAATAATTTGGTCCTCATCAGTCAACTCCAGCCCAGAATATCAAAGGCTCCCAAGGAAGGACCATATGTTCTGTTCAGTCTCAGTACACTGGCTGTGACCTTGAGAGGGGCTCTGCTGACATCCTGAAGGGCAGGGAAGAACTGTAACCTGTTAACTAGGCCACACATAGGCTCTGCCACCAGACAGACCCCCACACCCCCACAATCTCTGTGTCTTTCTAGTGACAACAGCATACTTCAAACCTGTCAGGGTTAGAGAGACACATATTTAAAGAGGCAAGCTGTCCCACTGGAGAGATAAAAAAGCAAACAAGCAAAGCACGGAGTCAACACACAGCCAATTTAGAAAATAATCGGGGTCAGCACACAACACCCCAGTGGATTTTTCCAGGGGAAAATGTTTGTGTTATTTAATAATGTTGATATCTCTCACTAGCTCTCAGCAGTGAAAAGCAGCAGAGTGCCTTCATCTACGCTACGTACCAAAACAGAACATTTATATTTAAATATTTGAGTTAAACATATCTTGTGTTTGTAGAACATTAATGCTGTTGACATTGTTCCATAGCTGTACTCTTTAGGGAGTTGGAATCTGTCTTCAATATTAGTCAACAAACCTAAGAAAACACTTTAGTAGGAATCAGGACCGTGCAGGCTACTCAAAGAGGCTCTTGAATTGGAGGAGGGGGATGAACTGTGGCAGGATGGCAACAAAGGCAAGGATTGTAGAGAGACACCGGCTGCTATTCTTGCTCCTGCCAATTTCACTTTAGAGGGCATGCATTTGTCCTTGGTACAGTATGGAGCCTCCACTTCTGGAGAAAGACATGGTTCTTTTCCAGAGCAATGTACCTTCTCCTTTCCCCCTGAATTCCTAGAAAGCTTTTCTCTAGCTTCTTGGCACTGGCTTCACACACTTGAGCCCACTTGCCTCTGCTTAACCTGGCCCCTAATTCAGAAACTATGTTCTGATGTCACAAAAGGAAAAGTAATTTACCAGCTGGGAGCTGAGCCATCGGGCAGGTGAAAGAGGTAATAAATGTTTCTGAGAGGTACCAAACTCTATGTCTCACACGTGCCTCTGTATCTGTCATGTCCCCATCTCATTTGCCCTAATTTGTACCTCTGGGACCCTGTATGCCAGCTGAGGTCTGTGGGTGAGAGATCACCAGTCCCCAGGACAAAGGGAGGGTTGAATTCTCCATCCTCCCTATTCTGACCACGCAGCCCTATGAGCTGTTTCTGTTTTAAGAGCATGAGTTGCAAGAATGCTTTACGTTGTGGGCCTCAGGCAGGTTAGGGAAGAAATTAGAGAGCTAATGGCAAACTCTGAGTTGCCATCAGTGACTGCAGCCTGCCCTGGGGCATCTGGTTTGCAGGAGAAAACTCATGAGATGAGATGCCGGTTACCCAGAGGCACAGAGTGACACAGCACAGTGGAAGGGAAGGCAGTGAGGGCAGATGGCACCTGAGACCCCAGGGAGAGGAGTGATGCCAAACACACCCACTCCACCCCCGCCTGCTCTGCCCAGTCTCCCCTCATCGGCCCCCCAAGCACCTGCTCCCCTCCCACCCAAGCTTTCTCCAGGAAAGGGTGGGCAGGTGCAGTGGGCCTAATTCTCCAGATCACACTGCCCCGCATAGAGGAGGAGAGGAGGATCTCCTACCTGTCATTGCAGTTTGAGGCCTGGGATCACGGGAAGGTCAGCATGTCCCAGCAGAACACGTGCATGGCAGCAGTAGCCCCAGTGCCCAGCCAAAACGGAGACAAGGCAAAGGCCATTGTGCTGTTAGGACTTGGGGGTTCCCGGGGAGAGGATATACTCCTGTCAATCAATAGGGCCCAGAAATGTCATCTGAGCATCGTTGTCTAACTCTGCTTCCCAGGGAAGAGGTGTGAGCAGCCAGAGTGGGCGCCACGGGCCCACCTCAGTCCATCACTGGGGAGCTGCCCGCAAACCCCACCCATTTCTTTAACAGTCCCCAAGGGTCCCTGACACTCTTTCCAGCCTCAGAAGTCCCCAGGGACCCAAGTAGCCAATTCTCATCTTCCTTGAGCTGTTTCTCCTGGAAGAACATCCACTTCCGCAACCACTACTGCTGGTTGTGGTTATTAACTACTACTGCGTTAAAAACTCAAACCCCCAAATCTGAAGGTGTGGCCTCAGGGCTCGTTGCCCTTGACCCTCACCCGTCAACAGTCGACCCCTCTGCCTTCACAGCCTTTTCCTCCTCTGACATTCCTGACCTCCCCGTGGCCTGCCTTCCCCTGTCTCCTTGGCCGAGCCATCCTCTGTCACCTTCACTGTTTCCACTAGGTTATTGAGGCCTTTTGGTCATGAGCTCCTGCCACCAAATCAGTGCCTGAGGCTGCTGCATAACAATCTCCTTCCTTGATTAGAGCATCTTAATTATGCTCCAGGAATTTGCTTAAACAGATTAATCATTCTGGAGGACAGATTTAGAAGCTGTGCTAGCTGAGGGATCTGCTCTGAGTGTCCCCGGGGAGATTCTGGTGACAACCGCCTGTTGGGCCTTTGCCAAGGCCTTGGGTGCCTCGGAGACTCGGACACTGGCTGGAAGCTCTACGCACCCCCGAAGGCTTCTCTTTGCTCCTCTGGGCCTGTAGAGCAGGCTCTGAAACTCTTGGATGTGAAACGTGGCAGGAGTTTGAGAGTAAGGAGGCCCTGGTGTCCCCTTTCCCTTCCAGCGGACTCGCTGCACTCTAAGGAGTGGATTTGTGGGCCCCTCCTCAATAAAGTAAAGCCTTAGTCCACTTACTTGTGGCAACTGGGCACCACAGATATTGGAGCCTCACCTCCAACCAACTTAATCAGGATTTCTGGGGTTGAGCATCTCTAATTTTGCAGGAGCAACTGAAGAGCCCACCAGTTCGTTCTAGTATACACCCAGGTTAAGGAATCACAGCAAAATCTGAGCACTATCAGATGGTTTACTTCTGTACACATCAATGTGGAGAGTCAGTCCCAAAGTCCTTTGGCACTGAGGATAGATCTATCTGGTACTAATGGACAATAATTAGCGTGCCCAAATCTACCCAAAGTAGGTGTTTACAAACGCTTAACGCTGGGGAGGCAATGTTTCACGCTGTTCAAAAGCCAGTGCTTTGGATCAGACTATATAGATTTAAGTGCTGTTCCCCCATTTCCTAGCTGTGTGACCTTGGGTAAGTTAACCTCTCTGAGCCTCGATTTTCTCATAGGGACTGTATGCACTTCACAGGATTGTAAAGAAGGGGAATAAGACTGTACATGGAAGGAGCTTAGAGCAGTGCCTGCCATACAGTAAGTTCCCACTTAAAGTTAGCTATCACTACTTGCTCATTCTTCTCCTCAGCATCACCATTTGGCTCAAGGATAGAACAGAATGTTCATAAGAAGCCAGGTCAGGAGGTTTTTCCCAGTGACAACCAATGAGGCTGAACCTGGAGCAAATCAATGACACTAAGCCGGTCCTCTACCAGTCCCCTACCTATGTGAGGACTAACCAGGAAGGAAAATGCATTCCCTTCAGGGCTTAGAGTCATGGGAAGAACCAGATTATTTTTTGGAAATGTTAAGAAATGGTTGGGAAGGGAATCAAAAACAAATAAAGCTGATCTAGCCACAAGAGTGAATTCAGAAAACAAGTACAGAGAATGGTCCTCAGCACCACACACTTGTTTTTCATGTCATCACTGTCCTGATCGAGCCATGCTTTATTCTTGAAATCTTGCCATAGAAGGAACTGCTCAAATTCCATAGTTTTGCAGAATGGTGGAAAGAGTATTGCAAGCACAGGGCAGGAGAAGTTGGTGTGGTCTTGGAGAAGGGCACATAGCTCGGTCTGGTTGGATGTGCATGGTGTCTGCAAGATCAAGCAGCCCTGAGCCATGCCAAGGAGTATACAACTGACTCTGGAGGTTAGGGGACTCATTTAATTATGCAGGGAGAGTAGTATAGAAAGAGTTTGTAAACAGATTTGGAGGAAAGATTGGAAGCAGAGACACTGGTCAGGAAACATGTTTAATCAGAGAAATAGACAAATGCAAAAATATTGAAGCATTTGTTAGAACTGTATTTAAAGCCTTCACATCTTTAGAAAAAAAAAAATAAGTGATGCAAGTTTTAAACTAACTAAGACATATCCTTGGCACCAGGAACTGCATGCTATGTAAAATCACATTTGTTTTCAAAAATAGGGAATTACATTTCTGGATTGAGATAATTTTCCTTTTTCTTATATTAATCTTTGTTGCTTTTATAGACAGTAAATTGTCAACAGAAAGATAGATGGCCCCTCATTTCACTTCAATAAATGCTTTTTGCACATCTGAATATGTATGATGCCATGGGACACTGCAGACTAAATTAAACGTCTTTATAAGGGATGCCAAGGAAGATGCATGTAATTCACCATATAGAGTGTGCTGGCATGTGAAGAAAATAAACTGGATATTAAAGTGGAAATTCTAAAAGGTCTTAACAGGCCGGGCGCAGTGGCTCATGCCTGTAATCCCAGCACTTTTGGAGGCCGAGGTGGGTGAATCATCTGAGGTCAAGAGTTTGAGACCAGCCTGGCCAACATGGTAAAACCCCGTGTCCACTAAAAATATAAAAATTAGCCAGGCATGGTGGCATGTGCCTGTGATCCCAGCTACTTGGGAGGCTGAGGCAGGAGAATCACTTGAACTCGGGAGGCAGAGGTTGCAGTGAGCCGAGATCGTGCCATTGCACTCCAGCCTGAGTGACAAGAGTGAAACTGTCTCAAACAAAACAAAACAAAACAAAACAAAACAAAACAAAACAAAACAAAACAAAACAAAACCTTAACAGACTAGGTGTGCCATTGTAGACAAGGTGGAAAAAGAACAAGATTTGGTATAATGTGACCTGAGCTCAAGTTTTATCCCATGGAGGACCAACATTGTGAACTCTGTGCTAGTTTGTTTTTCAGTCTCAGCTTCCTCTTCTATAAGTTGGAGGTAAAATACGTGGACTGAGTCACGTTGTTTCAATCTTGTACGTATACAGCGTGTTTCTTAGGCCCCAGTGGAAAACTTTACATTTATCTCTGTAGAATTTCATCATCTTGGTAGCAATTTTCAAACATGTGAAGGGTTAGTATATTTGTGGAGGGATTAGACATGGTCCATGTGTCCAGGGGCTAGGAGCAAGACAGATATGGGCAATAGAAAGATAGAGAAAGGGTCAATATGAAAAAGTAATTTTCTAACTTTCAGAACAATCATAGCATGCAGCCTTGGTGTCAGGAGGGGGTGGTTTCACATGATGGAGGTGATCTGGCACAGGTTGGAGACAACTGGATAGGGACATAGCAGAGAGGATTCAAGCATCGGATGATATCTTTTCCAAACACAAAGTAGAATGACAAACAGCTCTAAATGAAATCTCATCCACATGCAGTGAGGGCACGCAGGAGGAGCAGCCTTCTGGTTGAAGACTAATGAGAAGGTTCCATTTAGGAGTCTTACATTGCTGCGAGCTGACTTTGCATCTAATACCTTTTTTCTTACTCTGACTCTTTTTCTGAGTATTCTTTTAAATAATTCTTCTTTTTTTTTTTTTTTTTTTTTTTTTGAGACAGAGTCTCGCTCTGTTGCCCAAGCTGGAGTACAGTGGTGCGATCTCAGCTCACTGCAACCTCTGCATCCTAGGTCTAAGCGATTCTCCTGCCTTAGCCTCCCGAGTAGCTGGGATTACAGGCACCCACCACCACTTCTGGCTAATTATTGTATTTTTAGTAGAGACAGGGTTTCACCATGTTGGCCAGGCTGGTCTCAAACTCCTGACCTCAAGTGATCCACACACCTCAGCCTCCCAAAGCACTGAGATTACAGGCATAAGCCACCGTGCCCAGCCTATTTTAAATAATTCTTTAAATATATTTTACGGGGTGTAAATATAAGACCTCCTTTCTTTCTGAAAAACGTGATTTCAGTGAAAAGTTATTTAACCCTAAAGTACCCAAGTAAGCTTAAAAATATTAGATAATTTTAAATTTCTATTGACATCTAGGAAGATATATAGATACACACACATTATACACACATATATTTACTCATTTATTCATACATTTATTTTTGTAGAACTTGTAAACTTTTAACTATCATTTACTAAAACAACTGAACTATAGGGAAAATGAAATAGGTCATTTCATAAAAATACATTTAATTACCAAGAATTTAGTATAGGGAATTAATTGCAGAAAGCTTAGCTATAATATCAACTCAAATCAGTATTTTTCCACATGCCTCTTATCAGCCTCTTATAGACTCACTCCTGAGGCGATGAGTTTTGAAATAATTGTTGAAAATGATTTATTGTATTCAATCTGAACGCTTGATGAAGTAGAAGCATTTATTGCTCTGTCATAATTATGTATTTATCTGAATGTTCTTAAAGATAATTACTTGGAATATTTATTTCAATGAAACTTACTAGGTAGAGGTTCATATCAACTATTATGTATGTGAAATTCCAAATTCATCCATCTGGTCTAAAATGCTCTCTATAGAGGCAGGCCTTGAAAATGTCTAACCCTACAGTTGGGTCAAGCACCCTCTGACTAGTGATTCTTGTCACCTGCATCCTGACCAGGAGAAGCAGATCTTGGGTGCCAGGGATGTGGGTAATGTCCCATCAAAGGAGGTGGCCACATCTATTCCATTCATTAAGCATGCATGACCTACGCAAGCTATACTGACTAGTTTCTTCACAGAGCTCTATTTGTAGGAGGCAGGTCCCTATAGCTAGAAGTTTTATGTACCTTTCTGTTCCAGCAATTTCTTTCCTGTTTTATGCCTCTGAAGTCAGAGCAGTACTATCCTAATAATTTTCCACCCTGGATGCATATTTTAATCTTTGGAGGTTAAAAAAAAATACAAATGTAAGTAGCTAGAGCAGCAGTTCTCAAACACTGCATCAAACTCACCTGGAGAGCTTGTTAGACGCAGGTGGCCGGGCCTCATCCCCATTCCCATCACCATCTCTAGCCCCAGAATTCTGATTCAGTAGGCCTGGGTAGGCCTGAGAATTTGCATTTCTAACAAGTTCCCAGGTAATGCTGAAGTGCCTGGTCCAGGGCCCACAATTTGAGAACCACAGACCTAGAGAACTGGAATTAATTTGTCTTACATGGGGCCTAGCAGTTAGATTTTAAAAACATGCCAGGTGATTCTAATGTGCAATTAGGGCTGCAAATGACAAATCTGCAGGACTTCTTTCTCTAACATGTACCTTTTTATTTTATATCAAGGTTAAGTGTGATATGAAAAATCTTATGCCAAATACAAAGGTAACATAACACCAACTGCTGAACATTAAGTCTGACCTAATTTTGAATGCACTTACTGATTTAACTATTACACTAGCAGTAACTTGAGTTGTTAGCTCACATTATACTGGTAAGGCTATGAATATCTTCTTAAAATAATTCTTACTGCATATTTAAAAAAATAAAACATAGGTACATGAATTGCACTCCCAAATATTTTTCAATTTGTTCTACTCAGACCTTCCTAAAGTACTTATAAGAGTCTAACAAGGCCGGGCGCAGTGGCTTACGCCTGTAATCCCAGCACTTTGGGAGGCCGAGGTGGGCGGATCATGAGGTCAAGAGATTGAGACCATCCTGGCCAACATGGTGAAACCCCGTCTCTACTAAAAATACAAAAATTAGCTGGGTGTGGTGGCACGTGCCTATAGTCCTAGATACTCGGGATGCTGAGGCAGGAGAATTGCTTGAACCCTGGAGGCGGAGGTTGCAGTGAGCCGAGATTGCGCCACTGCACTCCAGCCTGGTGATAGAGCGAGACTCTGCCTCAAAATAAATAAATAAATAAAATAAATAAGAGTCTAGCAAAATGTTGAACAAACATGGAGAAGCTAAGCAAACAATGTGGTATTGACTATAAATAACATGGGCACAGTATAAAGTATTTTAGATATAATAGACCCATTTCAAGTTAATGCCATCACTAAAGAGCCTATAAACCTTGATTTAGAATTAAATCTTATGTTGTTATCATGTATCACTCTGGATCAATAAAGACAGAATAAGCAAATAGATTTGGGAAATTTTGTTGTTGATAAATCATTGAAACAGCGTATTGGAGAGATATTTTTAAAGGTTCACAGATGTGTTTCCCTGCATACATACCCCAAGATCTTGCATCACGGCTCCCTTTTGAGTACAAGTAGACATTATCCTGGGGAAGATTTTTTTTTACCAGGACGCTGAAAAGTTCTAGTTAGCACAGAGCTTTGCCTGTCAGGGATTATCGGGACTCCAGGGTAATTTGTAATTTCATACAATAGGCATGTGCTGTGAATAGAATTATTTAAGAGAGCTATGATTCAAGTATGGATAAGGGGAACTTTCAAATATTAAGTGGCATTTGAATTTTAAGAGTCTTTTTGAAAAGCAAAAACAAAACCCTGAAGTGAGTATATATACCCACTTGTGAAAGCTTCATTTCTACCTGCCATTAGAGAAGGGTTCCTTCAGATGGAACATGATAGGTAATGTTTTCACAGCACTTTACAGTTTTCAAGACACTTCTACATATATTACTTATAGAATCCAGGCTTAGCTTTAAAAAATCACTTTTTAGAAAGGCTGAGACAGGAAAGTAGCAAATAATTTGTCTGCTTTTGTTCAATGACATTTATCCATGAACTCTATTCGCTTGGTAGCAGCTGAACCTGAGGTAGCAGACAAGTCACGAACAAAGCAGGGAGGAGGAGACGAGGAGGAGCTAAGGAACAGAGCTGCCTGCGGGAAAGATACAGTTAGAAACCCACTGCTCTGGGCAGCGCTGTCCAGGAACGCTCAGCTCCAGAGCTGGATGGCTCTGAAGGCTGCAGATGATCAGGGCAGAATCCCAGGGGACCCTTATCACCCAGAAAGGAATCTAAAACCAGACAGATGAAAATGGACACTGAGGGAAATTCAAGGTCAAGGACACCATAGCCAGAAGTGGCCAAGATACACAAAACAAAAACAGAACAGAACAGGAAAATGGAGAGAAGGAAAGAACATAGAATTAGGGAACCTAGCGCGGCTGCAGGGGCCAGGCCAGCGCATGGCCGCTCTTTTTCCCCGCGGCGCAGCTGGCATCATCCTCTCACCATTTTCTCCTTTGGGAGGAATCAATGCCACGGTTTCAAGCTTAAACTTCCCCCGTTGACTCTTGTCTTGATTCTGAGAGAAACCATGCCTTGGGTAAAGGTGTCTTTAAAGATCTGTTGCATGCTTTCATATTTTCTTTTTTTCAAAATAACAGGCCACCGTCTCAGATTAGCTTAATATGCTTGTCGTATCAGTTTATAATATTAAAAAATATTTTTCCCATAGTTTTTATGTGGTGGAAAGATGGGTCCGGGTTAATGAATATTCTTTGCTACGGCCAGAGAAAATAAAAAAGAGCCCACGCAGTTCTGAAAGCACATTTTTAATCCCCTTCATTACCAAACTAGAAAGGGTATCAGTTCTCTTTTTCCTAGACATACAATAATGAGTACCAGGCTCTAGTCCTTATCGTCCGCCTTCATTCCTATGCACTAAAGCAGCTTACCAAGCCCGATGTTCTCCACGTGACTCGACTCTGCGTTCCATCCACGGAAGAAAGCGCCAGGCTGCGTCCTATTTGCAAGGCCTATTCCTTTCACCTTCTAAGTCACATTTGTTATCTCTCTTGTCACAGAAGCTGATTCGACAACACATATTCAGTTATATCCTCCCCTTCATCTCACTCCGCAGCCAGGATGAAGGGACGCACCTGGCATTTAAACCTGGGTGCTGAAATGCCTCTGCTTGTGGCTTAAACCGCTCGCTAAGGATTCCCACTTACATCTTTGCAACAGCCACATTTTGGTAAATGAGTAATCTGTGTTCTTGAATGGAGAGGCTGGCTATTTCCCTGCAGCCATATTCTCCTTGTGGGCGATCCCTTGAGCATTCTCCTTAAGTGGTGCTTAGAAGAAGATGCCCAGGGGTTCTGAACACAAGGCCAGATACTAGCATCACTTTTGTGCATTGATGGAATTCTACTGCTGATCACAAGACTAAGAAGAAGCAGGGGGGAATGGGGTGGGGCCAAAGCCTGGGTATTGAGAGGAGGGGCAGGGGGCGGAGTGAGGAGGGGTAATTCCGGGTCTCCAGTGGAGCCGCCCCTCTGTAGAACAATCTTGGGAAGTGGGCCTGGCTGCCAGGAGAGGTTCTGGGAGGTCGGTACGGAGGGTGGGCAAGGGGGGCCCAGGCACAGGGTTCAAATACTAAGCAATCTCGGAGGCAAACAGGCAGTACCTCTGGTAGCAAACGAAGCCATCAGGCACCCTGAAGGCTGAGCTGAACCCACCGTGGGATCTCAGGCAGGTCCTCCAAAGGTAGCAGGTGTGGCAGGACCATCATCATGGTCGAGGCAGTGTGCGGGCACACAGGGCCCCGAGCTTGTTTGAGGCTCTGCTGCCGCCATCTTGAAATTTTAAATAATTCTTTCATTACGGGCTTGGCATTTTTCTTTTTTAAATTTTATTTATTTTTTAGTGTGCCAGTCCTAAAAAATGCGGCCTGGATTAGGGAGGGGAGGTCAGTGTTTCTTCTAAGCTAATGGGATCCCAGCCAACAATTTAGGGCTTGGAGTAAAACTTCCCCCAACTCCACAATCTGCATCACTCTCTCTGTCCTTCCCCTGCTTGATGTTTCTTTAGAGCAGTCTTCACTTCCTGAATTAAAGTGGTTCTTGTTTACTTTGTTTATTGCCTATCTCCCTTTTGCCTGTAGGAGGCAAGGACTTTGTCCATCTTGTTCACTGCAGCATCCCCAGTCCCTACAACAGTGCCCGGCAAATGCAAACATGCGCTGAATGAATGGTTAACTTCAGGCCTTGGGAAAGGTAAGACCCCAGGATCCCAGAGGAATTGCTGGATTCCACGGGATGTGGGCAGCGCCTGGAAGTAACTCAGTCCTATACAGAATCTCAGGAAGAAGAGGAGCTCTGTGTCAGGGCAGGAGGATCCTGTGTCTAGGGAGAGAGCTGCCATAAGGGTGAGATTGGTGGGTATGTTGCAGGTGGGAGAATCACTAGGGAACTTGAGGCAGGTGAAGGTAGCATAAATAAGATTGGAGGTTGGTGACACTCAATTTTTTTTTTTTTTTACTAAGAGTAATATCCAAACTGGCAAGTGATATGCCAGCTTACATTGGCTTTTTCTAAAGGTAAAGCTGAAGTGGAAATGTGCTAAGTTGTTATTGCCCCAGCAGAGTAGAAGCAACTTCCAAAGTTTCACAAAAGCATCTACTGATTAGAATTGCCTATGGGGCTTGATTTAAGACACCCAGTGATGAGGCCACCACCCTGTAACGTTTTAGGATTGTCAGAGCACTAGCTTATGTCAATGCACTTATCTGTCAGTGCACTGTGCTTATGAGGCCCTGGACCCCTGAGGTGCAAATGCATGTAGAGGTGACCTGAGCCTGGAGTGTACCTGGGACCCATGAGTGACAGCTCTGAACCTTCGGAACTATTTTCAAAATGTTCCAAATGAAACAGACTTTTCCCTTCCTGATCTGAGCACTTCCAAAATATTTTATCTCAGAAGTAGCCTCCCACCTCCTCCTGACTTGCATGATGGACAAACTGAGGTGCTTTAGCTGTGGTCTTAATAAATGATAAGCTTGTGTCCCTGTGAGCAAACCGTAGTAAATTTTGGGCTGGGTGCGGTGGCTCATGCCTGTAATCCCAGCACTTTGGGAGGCTGAGGCAGGCGGATCACGAGGTCAAGAGATTGAGACCATACAAAAGTTAGCTCGGCGTTGTGGCGCGTGCTTGTAGTCCCAGCTACTCTGGATGCTGAGGCAGGAGAACTGCTTGAACCCAGGAGGCGGAGGTTGCAGTGAGCCAAGATGATGCCACTGCACTCCAGCTTGGCGACAGAGCAAGATTCCATCTCAAAAAAAATTTGGAGGCATTGGCATTGAAGAAATATGTTGATTTCCAATTAACCTGAATGACATGTTGGAAAACTAGTTAAAGCAAAAAAACCCTTTAATCACCAAACCTGCTGCTGTGCCCAGTAGGGTCACTCCTCCTGGTCTCAGGTTAGATGAAACTTGCACCTCCACCAGTCAGAGCAGGTGAGCATCAAAGGATGAGACTGTTGGGTTTGTCATTTAGGCATGATGTGAGTTTCATTTAATAAGAAGGAAATTATGTTTTCAAGTGTTTTGTTTTTTCCAGCTTTATTGAGGTATAATTGACAAATAATTGTGTGTTTAAGGCATACGTGATGTTTTCACATATGTATACATTACAAAATGGTTACCACAATCAACCTAATTAATATATCCATCACCTCCCACAGTTGGTTACTTTTGTGTGTGTGGTGAGAACATTTAAAATTTGCTCTCTTAGCAAATTTCTAGTATAGAATACAGTAACTATAGTCACCATGCTGTGTATTAGAGCTCCAGAACTTCTTTTTCCTGACTAACTAAAATGTTGGGCCCTTTGACCCCATCTTTCCACCCCTGCCTCATTCCCCCGGCAACCATTATTCCACTCTCTGCTTCTATGAGTTTGACTGTTTTATTCTATAGAAATGAGATCTTCTAGTACTTTTCTTTCTGTGTGTGGCTTATTTCACTTAGCACGTCCTTCAGGCTCATCCATGTTGTCTTAGATGACAGGATTTCCTTGTTTTTTAAGGCTCAATAATATTCCGTTGTGTATATACACTACATTTTCTTTATCCATTCATCATCACTGGGCATTCAGGTGGTTTCCATATCTTAGCTATTGGGAATAGTGCTGCAATGAATATGGGAGTGCAGATGTCTCTGATGATTATTAAGTATTTTATTTTTGCCTTCAGCATAGTGGTTAAGACCAAGGTCACTGAAGCCAACATGCCTGGGTTCAAATCCCAGTTCTGATACTTGTTAGCTGTGTAACCTTTAGCAAATTAACTTCTCTGTGCCTCAGTTTCCTTATGTGAAATATAAATTCCTAACTTCTTGGGGAGGATTCAATGAATTTATACATATAAAACATTTAGAATGGGGCTTGGTGTATCCTAAGAATTCAATGTATGTTGGCTGTTCTTGTCATCTCATTATTCTTGTCACCATTTTTTCAGCCCATCTCTTCTGATGGGGAAATCAATGTCTATTCTCTCATTTATCCTATTCCTGTTTGGATTTACAGCTCTTGAGGCAATGGTGTGGATTGAGTTTTATGACATTTCTCATTTATTAATCCATTACTTAGTAAAGATCTCTGCAGTTTAGAAAAAGGCATAGCATGAACAACTTTAGCGCAGGGAATGGAATGAGTGCTGATTCTGACCTCTGGAGGCCTGACCTAATGATCACAGTGTCACAGCTGAGTTTCCTGCCTGTTAGACACAAGCTGTTTAACGTGGTCACCAAACATGGTGACAGGCAAAGAAAGATGAACTATGGATATGGAGAATATCATTTATGATGTTCATTTAGGGTTCCCTAGAGTCAAATCAAGTCTAAGACTCACTGGAAAGAATAAGAACCAAATCAAACCTGTTATCACAGTGAAACATCTCTTTCCAAGACACCTTATAACCAGGCATAACTCCAAGTCATGTAATCTGCAAAACAGAGATAATTACACCTGCCGCTCTGTGTCGCACAGAGACAGTGTGAGGATTAATTAAATAATGACTGCCAAGAACACCGAGCTCCTTTGAGATAAACGCTCTACAAATGCAATCTTAGATGATTAGTCAAAATTTTATTCTGTAAATATCAGGACAGACCTGCAGCTTATGAGACCAGGTTCATAAAGACCACATCTGCACTGCTGGAATTCCCCCAGAGGATAGAAAGCATGTCTGGAAAATTCCTGACCACCAAACTAATACATTTCTAGAGAACCTTTGTTTTATATAGTTCCACATAACTCGACACATGCTTTCTTAACTGTTATCAGAGTCTCACACCAGGTGCCTGCATTTGGAGTCATATCTTCCATAGTGACATTGCTGCCTTCCAAATGAATATCTCTTCTGTGGTTGGGGCCTCATTCAGCTGATTCCACTTTATGTGACTTTATCTTCATCATTGTAGGGTGACCCTCCCAGTTTTCCCAGAATGCAGGACTTTCAGTGCTAAAACTGGGGCTAGTCCTGGGAAATTGGGATCAGCTAGTCAGCCTAACATGGTTTGCAATAATAATGATACTATGTTGCTTTGTAACCTCCTGGAATTTACCTCTGAGTCTTGGTAACCTGTTATATAAAATATTGAGGCCAAAACTGATAATAAGAAATTATTCTGTGCAAGGTGCAGTTCTAAATTATTTATGCTTAATACCACAACTCCTGAAGGAAGGCATTATCATTACATCCATTTGACAGATGAGGCACATGAAGATAAGGGAATTTGCTTAATGTTACTCAGCTGGCAAATGGGCAGGGCTGGAGTGCCTCGCCAGGTGATGAGGTACCAGGCCCCTGTTCTTAAGCGTCATGCCATACTGCCTCTCTAAGAGAACTTCCAGGGCTCAGAGTTGATAATTTTCATATGAAAAGAAGCCATTTTGTTTCTTTATTTCTATCTATTGTAACAACTCAATAAACTAAGGGGACATATCTTCTCTTTTTCTCTGATTAAAAAATGCAAAACAGGGCCGGGCACGGTGGCTCATGCCTGTAATCCCAGCACTTTGGTAGGCCAAGGCGGGCAGATCACGAGGTCAGGAGATCGAGACTATCCTGGCTAACACAGTGAAACCCCGTCTCTACTAAAAACACAAAAAATTAGCCGGGCGTGGTGGCGGGCGCCTGTAGTCCCAGCTACTCGGGAGGCTGAGGCAGGAGAATGGTGTGAACCCAGGAGGTGGAGCTTGCAGTGAGCCGAGTTCGTGCCACTGTACTCCAGCCTGGGCGACAGAGGGAGACTCCATCTCAAAAAAAAAAAAAAAAAAAGTGCAAAACAGCTTAGGACTCCCTATGCAGAATGAGCAGCAAATCTGTTCTCTCTCTTTTGATTGCTCCTTTCCCACTGAACTGGCCTATCTCCCTTTTGCCTGTAGGAGGCAAGAACTTTGTCCATCTTGTTCACTGCAGTATCCCCAGTCCCTACAACAGTGCCCGGCACATGCAAACATGCGCTGAATGAATGGTTAACTTCAGGCCTTGGGAAAGGTAAGACCCCAGGATCCCAGAGGAATTGCTGGATTCCACGGGATGTGGGCAGCGCCTGGAAGTAACTCAGTCCTATACAGAATCTCAGGAAGAAGAGGAGCTCTGTGTCAGGGCAGGAGGATCCTGTGTCTAGGGAGAGATCTGCCATAAGGGTGAGATTGGTGGGTATGTTGCAGGTGGGAGAATCACTAGGGAACTTGAGGCAGATGAAGGTAGCATAAATAAGATTGGAGAGATGATGCGCCTTGCTTGACTGGCTGGAGCTGCAGCTCTCTATCCACCGGGTCAGAAGTGGAACAGGCATCCAGCGCCTCATGAATGCAGACCTTTCCCGACTCTACTCCTCAAAAACTCAGGTATCTTGGGGTCAAGCTTCTTTTCCTTTTTCAAACCTCAGATAAAAAGTGCTGGTTACAACTCCTTTCCATTGCAATTGAGTTACCAGCTCACAGTCCAAAGTTTGGTCAAGCAAGGAGCATCATCGCTCCTGTCCTGTGTGGCCTGCAGCACGGGCCGATTCAGTGGGAGAGGAGCACTCGAAAGAGAGAGAACAGATTTGCTGCTCATTCTGCACAGGGAGTGCTCGTTATGCGGCCGCCGTAACAAAACACCGTAGACTGGGTAGTTTAAACAACACACTTATTTTCTCACAGTCTGGAGTCCGGAGGTTCAAGATCTGGATGCCACCACGGCCAGGTTCTGATGAGGACCCTCTTCCTGGCTGAAGGGTTAGCTGGCTGCCTTCTCAGATGAGTAGGAGTGAGAGGGCGAGCCGGTGAGCTCTAGTGTCTGTCTCCTCCTATAAGGAAACGAATTCCATCATGAGGGGCCCACCGTCATGACCTTATCTAAACCTAATGATCTCCAAAGACCACATCTCCAAATAGCATCACATTAGGAATTAGGGCTTCAGCGATATGAATTTTTTTTTTTTTTTTTTTTTTTTGGTGGCAGGGGAAATCACAATTCAGTCCATAGCAAGAGCTAATTGAATATCTTCAGGGTAATCACTCCCCTCTAATAGGGGGAGAACTAACTCTGGTAACTTAAAGGTTATTTTCTTCCCTTATTGTGCCTAAGCCAAAGTGGCTTTCTGATCTCTGTCTTGTTTCTGCATAAAAAGAACAAAAAGTCATTTTAATGTGCAGGAGACGTTCTCATTCTACCTGTGAAAAATAGTATCAAAATGATAACTCACTTAGTTTGGGGCTTAGTGCTTTAAGGATGGTAGCTCCAAGAGGCCTTGGCATATAACATTCCTACCCTCGATTTTGAATTCAAAATTCAGATTGAAGTGGCTCAAAGCAAAGTATTATTTTTCTCCATTCTATAATTAGCCATCGCCAATAGCTAGTTGTCTAGCTGTTAATTCCTGTTTATATCCTGTAGTTCTTCAGCACATGCAGAATTGCTCTCACAAATCAGGGAGCGGAAGACAGACATCATGTGAAACAGAGGGGAATGTGATTGGCTTGTTGAGCCAGAAAGATCAGGCCTCTGAACAAGTGGTCTCTGATTAACTCTGAATTCTGACTGATTGGAGGTGTTTCACACATCAACAAATTCCACTGATGTTTCTATCGTCCACCGTTTGTTTGTTTGCATCACTATGCCCAGCCATCCCACCACTCAAGCTTTGGTTTCATGAAAAAAGCAAAACATTAAAAAGTTTAAAATGTGTTTCTGCTATCATGCCACCTCCCTGCAAACACCAGTCATTTTCTTAGCAGAGTAAAAACTAGGTTAATTATGGCAGCCTATGCCAGAGGTGACCTGGCAGGAATCCCACCCTCCATGCTTTTTGTTGGTTGTCTTTGTCTTAGGGTTTTTGCAAGAATTAAATAAAATAATTTGCATATGTAAAGCGCTTAACATGGTGCCATGCGCAATGAATATTAGTTCATTTAATTATTTTCATAATCCTGTGGAAAAAGTTATTTTCCCTTTGTATGACATAAGAACAGGCAGCTGAATGAATATTTGTTGAATGAAGATTATCTAGACCAATGGTTTCCGAAATTTCGGATTTCAAGGCTCATTAAAACTAAAAAGGAAATTGGGATTGATGCAGGGCTGCTTTTTATTTTTCTAAGCTGAGGCATGTGAAAATTAATTTCCAGTTACTAGCAACAATATGGTGTTACAAACAAAAGAAGTTGTACAGCAGATATAATATAGAATTAAAACAGAATAGATTTAACTTATGGAAAGGCATGTCTTTTCTCCTGTTTTTCTTGATTTGCTGAGGAATGGTGGAAGTAAGGTGGTCTGGCAGAGGACACGAACTCACATTTAGAAATCTCTAATCCCATCCAAACCTTTGCCTCCATAAACCGTCTGAGCCAAGTGGTTGTTGCTCCTAATTTTAGGGATCCTTGGGCATGAAGATTTCACAGTCTTCCTGGCAGCTTCTTCTAAAGTTTAATCATGCTTAAGTTATGTTTGAGCCTGAGCCGCCCGGAGGATTGAATCCAAGCAATGAAGAAAAAGCAGCCTGACCTGTCTGCCTTCTGGGTGGGCTGTGCCTTCTGAGGTGTTCACATGTATAATCAAATCTCCTTGTGGTCATTCAGATTTGAAGATGAGCCTCACTCAGAGCAAGCACTCCTAGAATTAAAAAGAAAAAAAGTAAGCAATATGTGACTCTAACTGAAGGCTTTTTGCCCATTCTCTCTGGAAACATATAAGAATTCTGGAATTTGAGTCTATATAATATCATCCTTATGTCAAGTCATGAGATCTTCAATCAGAATAAATATGAAATTACAGTAAATATGAAATCAGAGTAAATATGAAATATGTCATGGTCTGGTATACCTCAACATAAAACCCCATACAGCCATTTGAGCCACTGGGGACATTTTACTTTTCATAGAAATTTCTGGGCCTCATAAAAGGACTTTTCATGTAAAGTAGTTATAATAAAATGAAGTCAGACTCTCTCCACTTGACATTTGTCACAATCATTGCAATGATATAGTTTGGGTATTTGTCCCCTCCAAATCTGATGTTGAAAATGGATCCCCAAAGTTGGACGTGGGGCCTATTAGGAGGTGTTTGGCCCAGTGGGACAGATCCCTCATGAATGGCTTAATGGCCTTCTCATGATTAAGTTCTCACTCTTAGTTCCTGTGAGATCTGGTTATTGAAAAGAGTCCGGCACCTCCTTTCTCTCTCTCTCACTTCTGCTCTCACCATGTAACACACTGGCTCCCCTTCCCCTTCTGCCATGATTGGAAGCTTCCTGAAGCTCTTACCAGAAGCAGATGCTAGCACCGTGCTGCTTGTACAGCCTACAGAGCTGTGAGCCAAATAAACCCATTTTCTTTAGAAATTACCTGGCCTTGGGTATTCGCAGGGGTTTCCAATCTTTTGGCTTCCCTGGGCCACACATAAAATACACTAATGGTAGCTGATAAGCGAAAAAAAATTGCAAAAAAAAAAACAAAACTCATAATGTTTTGAGAAAGTTTACGAATTTGTGCTGGGTCGCATTTAAAGCTGTCCCGAGCTGCATGCATCCCATGGGCCGCGAGTTGGACAAGCTTACTTTATTGCAACACAGACTAAGATATGCAAGGATCTGAAGTTTGTTGCTACTCAAAATGTTCAGTAGTAATCTGGGAGGCTATATATTCCCTTTGGGGCAGGGTCAAGTAAAATAGGGGGACTGACTTTATTTGTTAAGAAGATTAATTCATGTTACAGATAAGTTCCACGATGGGGCTGAATTTTCTTTATCCTTTTAAAATAAAAGCACATTACCAAAAATCCATCATTTTTTTTTTGTTTCTTTTAAGTTGGGTCTATACAAGGCAGCTAGTTACAGAATATGTTTCATTATTTGCACCCATTTGGTGTCTACATACAGCCTGAGAATGGTGAGAAGATTCGAGAGAACATGAATTTAACTTGAAGTAAATTTAGAGGACAATCAAAGGAATTATTCTAAGACTCTTCCTGATATAACAAATCAATAGGAATTTTGAAGTAAAAGTTGGGCTAAGGCTTTCTTACATTTAGTGTCTTTTTAAATCATGTTTTACAGTCATTTACCCTTCAGTCCTTACCTAAGATGACATCTTTTCTGTAGCCTCCAATCAGGCAGATGATTCAACAGAACAGTTGAAATTTTTATTATACTAGAAAGCTTCAACATGTGGGTTCACTGTATCTGAATGTGAACAGAAAACAACATTATAAAATATCAACCTGTAGTCTCAATCATCAGGATATTTACATATTTTAGTGTTTTTTAAAAAACCACCTTAAAATGAGTCTAATGGATTTCTATACACACATACAGACACAGACATTCATGCCATTAACCAGGGAATTGCCAAAAGCACACTCCCCATTGTGACTAAATGTTACCACTATATTAAAATGTTTTCTAGTTCTGAATCAATAAAGAAAGGCTTATGTTAAAAAAAAAAATGCGGCCGGGCGCTGTGGCTCACGCCTGTAATCCCAGCACTTTGGGAGGCCGAGGCGGGCGGATCACGAGGTCAGGAGATCGAGACCATCCCGGCTAAAACGGTGAAACCCCGTCTCTACTAAAAATACAAAAAAAATTAGCCGGGCGTAGTGGCGGGCGCCTGTAGTCCCAGCTACTTGGGAGGCTGAGGCAGGAGAATGGCGTGAACCCGGGAGGCGGAGCTTGCAGTGAGCCGAGATCCCGCCACTGCACTCCAGCCTGGGCGACAGAGCAGACTCCGTCTCAAAAAAAAAAAAAAAAAAAAAAAAAAAATGCTCCCAAGAACCCAGCAGACACCTAAAAAACAGGAAATATGTTGACTTTAATCAATATACACCATTTTAAGTGAAAGCATCACTCCTCAGAAAAGGGAGTGTGCTTTGGAGAAGGCAGAAAGACATTGTTCTGTGGGGGGATTTCTCTTTATCCAGGTGACTCTTTGCAATAAATTTTGAAAACTAAAATTAAACAGTAAATGTAGATTCCCTCTATGATATGTGGGTGTTTTGAGTAAAGTCCCAATTGTGCCCTTTGTCCTCCTCCCTCAGAAAATACAATCTTTAAATAAACATGGAAGGGCCCAAGACTGTACGAATTCACTCAATAGTACTCTTGCCAAAAGGAAGATGTATCACTGTTAAAATAGAAATGGCTGTAGTGGGCTTTCACAATCTAATGCCCCTGCTTTTAGCAAATTCAAGAAACTAGGACATTACTGGGTCCATATACTATCAAGGGATTCTCTTTTGAATACAAAGCACAGCCTAGACTGCATGAAGGACATCTGAGAAGGCCACAGAAACACTGAGCAGGGAGAATGGCGGTAGTGTTTAAAGGAAACCTTCACTGGAGTGACTGGAAACCGGGGCCATGTAAGGATAATGCTTTCCAGGATGGTTTAAACAATCATCCTCAAAGGTGCAACTCTCCAAGTGAGTATGGACCATGTCTCCCTAATGCTGTGTCTTTGCTAATGTATTACAGCATTAGTGCTATTTATAATCAATAAAATTACTAACACTGTAATCATGTGGGTTTGGTGATAGTAATTATGACAGAATAAACAGTAGTAATAAACAGCAGTCAGAATGCCTTTGCTGCAGTTCTTGATGTTGATGGCAAACACAGCCAAGGAAGGTTGGTTTTGTTTGTTTTTTCCTTTTTTAGGGAAGCCATCCAAGCGGGCAGAACCTGCAAGTGTTGGCCAGGAGAACGGTTTTATATACCTTTTAAAATTAGGCTTCCTGAAAGGAGATGTCACAAAGATTCATTGGCTAAGATTTATAAATAGTTCACTTATTTTAAAAAATAATCACATATATGTTTCTGTAAATTATACTTGCAAACATATGGTCACCATTCCCCCTCGTGGAAAGGCTGTGGCTAATCCATATTTGGAGCTGACACCCTTTCTGGGTTCCCTCTTTAGCCAGATCACGCACATTTGCTGCTGCCCCACCGAAGCGCCTGCGCATTAGAGTTCCTTCTGTACTACTCTGAGCAGTTCCTTATGCGTCTGTTACCACTGATGTTGGGTAAAAAATAACATCCAGAGGCTTTACTATCTATAATTAAGAGCTCCAGTGCTACTAGTGATATAAGGATTGAGCTGTTTGAGAAACAGACATTTTATCTTCTGGTTGGTTTTATTTCCTTGTGTTAAATTATGAGTGAATGTTTCTCTCGTTTCTTACTTTCCCTATAAGTAGTCTTTTCTACAGCAAAATTACTACTCATTCTTAATAACTACCAGGCAATAAAGTGAGCTGTCTATTTGAGAGACAGTGGGTGTGCATTCCAACTATTCCATTCATCGTGTTTGCAGGACAGCAACGGGGAGGGATTTCTGGGGCCTCTGGAGAGGGTGGCTTAAAAGACTACAGGAAGTTAGTATCAATGTTTTGCTTCTTGATGGAAGAGAGCTTCATGATAGCTCTGGGATTGAATAGGCAAAGGCAAATAAAATAAAATCAATCGCCTTACAGTTAAGAGCTCTGTTAAACAGAGCACTTGTTTGAGCTTGTTTTTAAAAGTCCATGCCCTTTGACTCAGCAGTGAACATTTCTAGAGATTTATCTTAAGGAAATAACCAGATCAGCAATGAGCATTTCTAGAGATTTGTCTTAAGGAAATAACTAGATCCACGGCAGAGATGTGCATTCAAGGATATTGTCCACATCATTGTTTATCAGAGTCCCTATCTTGGCTCAGAACAGGAGAGATTAGGACTTGTCTGGATACAGGTAGTTTATTTCCAACATGATCCTGGGAAGCAGGAGGGAGAGAGTAGGGAAGAGGGAAAAGCAAACTTAGTGAGGCTGATGCCTTGGGCTGCTGGGACTCAACTCCACAGCGCCCTCTCGCGAAACACTCACAAGGTCTCCTGAAGCATTTATTCACCAGTCCGTCCCCACTGGTTTAAGGTTGTCTAGGAGCAAGGAGAAAGACTCTCCTTTGCCTCAAGGCTCTTTAGCATCGGAAAAGCCCCTTTGCTAGCTTTTCCATGTGAGTCTGAGCTCTCATGACCATGTTCATTGCAGCTATGGCTGAAACCAGAGGCAGACCAAAGAACACAACCCTGGGAACCCGAGGCGTCCATTATAAGCCGAACTGGAAACACCCAGAAGATCCACTCACTGGAAACTGTTTAAATAATTCTTATAGATACACACAGCAGAGGGTTTTGTAGTCATCGGCAATTATGACGTCTGTATTTATTTATGGACATAAAGAGGCATGTGCCAACAAAAAAAGCATGTTACAAAGCAGGATATATACTATTTTTTAAAATCTATAAATGTACAGATGTACCGCAGGTTATGAAACACACAACAGATACAAAATTGTTTTATGCAAATTGCTCCATAAGGTACATAATTTAATTTTAGAGATGTGGACATTTGTACATCCAGTGCAAGGCTAAATGTGGGAAATGCACTTCAGAGCTCCACAGCCCCTTCCCCATGCCCCTCACTGGGTCCTCACCTGTCTCCATTACCTGCTGTGATCTCTGTGTGTCAGCCACGCTAATTCCATGTTGTTTGTGTCATTTCGCCTTTACTGCCTTCTAATTTCAACTGGAAAGTGCTGATAAGGACAGAGGCTAGCAGTCTATTTGAAGGCGTAAAGGGAAAGATACAGCACCCCTAGTACAAAGTTGGTGGCTAGGCATGGGTGGCTCAATAATTTCAAAGACCTTGTCTTTTTTTTTTTTTTAAATCATTTTAAAAAGGAACTGTAACACCATGAATGGTGATACAAAAAGCCGCAGAAGCAAATCGAAAGCATTTCAATGTATATGAAATATGATTTACTTAAGACCTTTGAAAAACAGATGATTGTATAAATTGCATAAGTTGGAAGATGTCTCTATTCCCTAGGAAAAGTGATTTTCTCTGGATGGTGGAATTTCAAATTATATTTCTTTGTTGGCATTTTCCCAATATTTCTCAAAAATTATGTTAGTTAAGAAAGCATGATGATGACAGAGACAGGGATGAAAGACACAGCATCTTTTTAGTCACTTGCAGTTATTGTGGGAAATTTCCATTAATAAACACAAAGAGGCCGTTCCAGAGCATCTATGTAGGGATCTGTTGGAAGGAGCAAGCTGAAGCTGTGTTTCATAGCACTTTAGATGAAACAGAAAATGGCAATTCTGATTGTCTATGTTATCAATGAAGGAGAGTGGCTTATAGAGATTATGGACAAAGCTCCTCCTCGCCACCCCCTTCAATCCCTGACATCTCCTCTAGCCGTCCTAAAAGGTGACGCCCAGGTGACCTTGCACGCGGCAAGTGTCTGGCTGGAATCTCACCTCTTTCCATGATAACACAAAACCAGCCTTTTGACCTCATAGCAGAGCAAGGCCAGGTGGTCTGGAACATGGTTAGCCACAAGCTGACTTTCTAACCAGCCTATTTTTTCCCGACAACACTGGGCAGTTTAGTGAGTCAGATGGTGATTCCCTACATGCGAACTGTTTTTCTATGTAAAATAAATGCCAGCTGTTTCTAGCTGTTGATTATGGGTCGTCCTTTAGGAACACTCTTTCTGGTTACTTTTTAAAACTAGATAGTATCTTACATCTTTAGAATACAATCACAATTATTTCCTAATTATTTTTAAATGATGCTATTTAAAAAGTGCCATGTAGTTAAAAAATGTGTATGTGCCCTAGCTGAATGAAGCTGTAATAAATCCTGTGAATTGAATAAATATTTAGACTTTTCAGTGCATTAAAAAATGAAGGTTGATGGGCACTGAGAAGAACGGGGACATTATTTAAATGTTATGCATTTTCATGGAAGAAATAGTTTGGTTGTTGTCCTCCCTTTCTTCAAAGCAATGATTTTCAGGCTTGGATTTTCAACACCCCATGCACTCACCAATTATCCCGAGGGAGGCCACAGAATTGCCATTGCCTTGTGTTCAGCTCATCGCATTCATTGATTTAATCCACCTGGACATTTTTCAAAGCCAGTAATTGAAAATGTAGCCTGACAGGTTAGCAGGAGTGGCAGGGCCTGGGCGGCAGGGGTGGAGTGGAGGAGGGTAGCTACTTTCTCATCAGCAACTGTAGCAGTTGCATCAGATGCTAGCACCCAAAATGCTGACCCAGGGGCTACCCAGAGACCACAGGACAGAAGACAGGTGCATCCCTTCTGGGCAGTGACCGGCCTCAGAGGAGAGCTCAGAGGCAGGTGAGTGGTAGGAGACTCATGTCCCAAAAGCACCCAGTTTGCCACAAATCCAATAAGGTTCAAAAGCAACAATGTTACAGAGGCCATGTGTTATTTTTTTCCTTTTCTTTTCTTCATTACCTGAAATTCTTTTGTGTGTGTGTGAGATGGACTGTTTCAAGCTCAGCTAATCCAGATCTATTTCTATGCATCCATTATTATTGTTGGTAGCAGTAATGGGATTTTAAAATATTAACGGATGTTTCCACCTCTCTGCAGTGTTTTCTGCCGCTGTCTCCATTCCTTCAGGTATCCAGGCAATTGTGTGCTCATTATCTCAGGAAGGATGTGATTCTGTGGGAAGCAGGGGAGAGAGAAGTGTGAGCAAGCCGAACCTCAGGCCTCAGGGGAAATTGTGAGGGCTTTGAGGAAAAACAAAATATTTGGGAAGAAGGATATTATAAGGGAAGCAAGGCTCCTCTGAGGACTGGAAGGGATTTCCCAGACTAGATGAGGAGGCCAAAGAGCAGAGGACAGGTGTTTCCTTCCTGTTAATACCTAGCTAGCCCTAGAGATGATCTTAGAATGAAGTGACAGATGAGAAAAGCTGACTGAGCCCAGGGACAGGAAGACCCCAGAGAGGGACTTCAGAGAGAATATAGGAAGAGGGGCTGTAGATAGCCTCACAGGAGCCTGTGCACCTCCAAGGAGGCATAGACACAGCAGGGAGGTGGTGGGGCCTAAACGTGCCATTTGGACAGAAAGAAAGGATGTCACTTGCAGCCTGTTGTGGATCAACAACTGAGGGCAAGTGGATGCCCCAGCAGACATCTGTGTGGAGAGATGACCCTGGCAACCAGGTGCCCCCGACTCCTACCACATCCACACCCTGGGACTCTGTGAACCCCCAGAATTCCACAGGAAGGAAACACAAGAGTGACTGAGATTGAGTTTCTAGGCTTAAAATAGACATTAAGTTTAGTGGTAGAAAGTTTACATTTTTTTGTACATTTGAATTATGAATAAGATTCATGTCACCTAGTGTTATTTGTCCTTACCATATGGTGTGGATGTTAGAATTATGAAACCTATCATTATAGATTTCACTGTTTCAAAACATTTCCATGCACTTTAAAAAAAGTGATCTCCTCCAAAAGTGTGTGAGGTTTGGAGGAAGGCTATTATCCTTACAAGCGAGATGAGGATGCTGGAAGACAGGGAGAGAGGTGAAGGAATTTGTTTAACATCGCACAGCTGGCATCCACATCCTGTTTCACGAGACCCTTTTAAATCCATCCTACCACCATCTTCTCCCACCACCTACCACTTCTTGTACCCCTTCCCTACCATAGAAATAACACATTTCACATCCTTTTTAGCATAGCAAATCTTTTTAAAGATTTTGCAGTCTTTTAAAACAAATCAAATGGTGTATTTGAAATAAAACCAAGGCATCAAGGCAATGGAACAAAGCACTGCTCTGCTTTCAAAGCCCGTTTCACCTACCCCCACAGCTCTTAAGTTAGTATTACCACATTAGTAAGTCTCCAGAGACTTTGGAGATCACCTGCTACAGTCCCCTTCCACCTAGAATGAGAAAGGTAGTCATTGTTCAAGGCCACACAGCCAGGCAGGGGCAAACTGAGGGGGCAATAAAACCTGGCCTCCTTATCCGCTGTTCAATACTCTTTCCTATACACAAGATTTCAAGTTAGCTTGAGCAAAAATAAGTTCAAACTTTGATGAATTTAGCAATGTTCCCCAAACTCTATTTGTAAAAAATAGCCCTTTAACCAAAAAAAAAAAAAAAAAAAAAAAGTTGGCATATAATGCTCTCTTTACTTGAGATGCTTTAAAAATTTCTTCTGTAGAAAAAAGTAGTCACGATAAATTTCTCATATTGAAAATGTCAAGCTCTATTTGTTATATGATGATGTCAGTGACTATAAAATATGAATTTCTGCTTGAGGATAGAAACTCTACAAAGATTTGGATTCTAATATCTGTTGAGATATGAGTGATAACTAGGAAGTTGCTTTGCTTGAGTTGTTTTGAAATAGTTGTTATGACTGTCATTGTTCATTGCGAGTCTGTATATGTGCATGTCTGAAACAGAGATTGCAGTTGCTGATATTTGTACTCATATTTGTCACTGTCACCAAACTCCAAAACGGATATTGCCAAAGGGTTTCATTCTCATGCAAGACCTTGTGGCTGACAATGGGCAGGACAGAAAACTAATATTTGTTGAGTATCTACTATGTGTGGGACCATACCAGGAAGACAGGGAACTTCTACTTCTGTAGAAAATTGGCAGAGCTGAACAAACATTTAAAAAATTGCTCAACATCACCAATGATCAGAGCAATGCACATCAAAACCACAATGTGATACCACCTTTACTCCGGCAAGAATGGCCATAATCAAAAAATCAAAAAATTATAGACGTTGGTGTGGATGCAGTGAAAAGGGAACACTTCTACATTGCTCGTGGGAATGTAAACTAGTACAATCACTATGGAAAACAGTGTGGAGATTCCTTTAAGAACTAACAGTAGAAGTACTGTTTGATCCAGCAATCCTGCTACTGGGTATCTACCCAGAGGAAAAGAAGTCATTATATGAAAAAGATACTTGCACACGCATGTTTATAGCAGCACAATTCGCAATTGTAAAAATATGAAACCACCCCAAATGCCCATCAATCAAAGAGTGGCTAAAGAAATGTGGTATATATATACGATGGAATACTACTCAGCCATAAAAAGGAATGAATTAATGGCATTTGCAGCAACCTGGATGGAACTAGAGGCTAATATTCTAAGTGAAGTAACTCAGGAATGGAAAACCAAACATCGTATTTTCTCACTCATAAGTGGGAGCTAAGCTATGAGGAAGCAAAGGCATAAGAATGATACAATGAACTTTGGGGACTCAGAGGGAAAGGGTGGGAAGGCGGTGAGGGATAAAAGACTACAAACTGGGTTCAGTGTATACTGCTTGGGTGATGGGTACACCAAAATCTCACAAATCACTATTAAATAATTTACTCATATAACCAAATACCACTTGTTCCCCCCAAAACCTATGGAAATAAAAAATTTTAAAAAAATAAAAAGAAAATTGGCAGGCCTACAGTGGCTTGAAGATGCTATGACTAACTCACATGCCATTTATCAATATATCCATTCAACAGATAGTCTGCAAATATGCACTGGGCTCCTAGAATATTACAGGTATTGTTCTAGGTGCTTGGGATACAGCAGTGAATGAGGAGACAAGTTCCAATATCTCCTGGAGGTTACATTCCAGAGAGAAAATAAAAATAAAAAATAAGCAAATAAATGCACAAGCTAACTACTTTCTTTCTGCGTTGTGGTAAGCATCTAATTGCATTGTATGTGGGTACTACTATATTCATTTAATGTTACAAATGAGTAAAATAAAGGAGAGAGAGGGTAAATAACTTGACCTAAGTTCTCAAAGCTCATGAGAGGCAGAGATGAAATACTAACTAGGGAAATCTTATTTCGGGGCTTATGTTCTTAACCACTATAAAACTGCTGTAGCTTAAATGTTTGTGACCTCTTTCCCCCAAATTTATATGTTGAAACCTAATCCCCAATGGTATGGTATTAGGAAATGGGGCCTTGGGAGGTGATTAGGTCATGAGGGTGGAAGCCTCATGAATGAGATTAGTACTCTCACGAAGAAGGTCCCAGAGAGTTTCTTTGATCCTTCTTCCATGGGAGGACACAGCAGAAAGACGGCTGTGTATGAACCAGGAAGAGGGCCCTCAACAGACACCCAATCTGCCAGTGCCTTGCTCTTGGACTTCCCACCCTCTAGAACCGTGAGAAATAAATTTTTGTTGTTTATAAGCTACACAGTCTATGGTGTTCTGTTATAGAAGCCCAAATGGACTAAGACAAAAAGTTTATTAAAAAACAACCTACTAAATGGTAGGACAGGTGAGGAAGACAGAAAATGATGATACTATGCAACAGTTAGTATACTTAGGTAAGCAAAGCTAGAGTAGGGGCATATAGGAAGGGCAACTCATCCAGAATAGAGGTGTCTGAAAAGGATTTCTGGAGAAGTTGAAGCCTGATCTGGGCCTTGAAGAATAAATGGAAATTAATGAGGACAGGGAAATGGAAAAGCATTGCAAACCATAGGCAACTTCAATGTCATGCTTCAGGTTGTGGTAGTGCCTTGGGGAGCTGTGAGACATGAGCGGAAAAGAAATCAAGAGCTAGATTCAGGAGGGCCTTGGGTACCACTTCAAGGAGGACTTTGGAGTTTTCCTCTAAAGATAATGGGAAGCTATTGGCTGATTTTAAGATATGATCCCATTTGCGTTTTAATTTTTTTTTTGAGACAGAGTCTCCCTCTGTTGCCCAGGCTGGAGTGCAGTGGCCCCATCACAGCTCACCGCAACTTCCATCTCCTGGATTCAAATGTTTCTCTGCCTCAGTCTTTCAAGTAGCTGGGATTACAGGCGTGCATCACGACACCCAGCTAATTTTTGTATTTTTAGTAGAGACAGGGTTTCACCAGGTTGGCTAGGCTGGTCTTGAACTACTGGCTTCAAGTGATCCGCCAGCCTCGGCCTCCCAGAGTGCTGGGATTACAGGTGTGAGCCCCTACCCCAGCCCCATTTGCATTTTCAGTAGTTCCCTGTGGGATCCTAATCCACTAGGTATTTGGAAGAGTTAAATATCTTTCTCTCCTACTCCCTAACCCCCAGCTCCCAGGAACAACTTGGGCCAGATCTTTGATATTCACCCCAGACATCCTACCACCAGTAAAACATGCTACTATTGACATAAAGAAAAAGATTTCAGGCAATACTTATGAAATTATTTAAATTCTGGGTAAAAGATGATTAATAGCCATAGTTATTCCTGAGTTTGATCTTGACTTAACGTTTGCTCCTAGTTTCAATTTAGCAAATTTTTATGGAGGGCCTTCTCTGTACCTAACACTTTAAGATGCTGAATGGGCTTCTAAAGAAATACTGCATATAATTTAGTTCCTGTCCTCGACAAGACAGTTTTTCCTCTTTTGACAAAAATATACAAAGCAGCATGTGGGTCTTCACTTACATGTCATAAAACACCAGGACAGGAAGAAATCCCTGGATGAGGTTGTCATGGAGAAGAGGAGCCTCAGATGAACTTGGAAAGATTAGTCTCTCAGGATGTAAGAAGATACCAAAATGAATTATTTTCAGTAATCTCCATTTCTTCATGACTCAGACAGACTCAAATGTTAATTGTACTTTGCACTGGAAAAATTAAACAGTGGATATAAAACCATGCAAACACTAGGACAACTAAATCTTTGTGCTTAACCATTTGTTCCTTGGGAAATCACCTTTTTATAATTAATTGTTATGGGAAACTGGGGGCAGGAACTGGCCTCTGAGAACAGCAAAATAAACTCTCTGAGGTGTGAAAATGAAATCTCCTTCTACTTTTAGCTTTGGAATTGTAGTGGACACAACAGAACTCCCCTGGGTGTTGGCAGAGGCTTGTCATGAGCACTCTTGGGCAAGCTTGAAAAATTAGCTAAGAAGTGTTTTGAGGAAAGTCAGTTTGAATATTCACCATTATGTAGATTATAAATTTGGTAAAGGCTCTTAAACAATTGTCATCTTTACTGACAGCAATGTCTTTTGATTAAAAAATATATATATATATATATACACACACATATCCACATATATACACACACATACACACATATGTATATTCAAATAGTTTCATAATTTAAAAAACCCAATCATACATTGATAAAACTGACACCAGCTATCCCAAAGCCACAAATCACCACACAGAGGAACCTTGTTCCCTCCTCACTCTTCTCTGGTTCGTGGGCACCCACCTTGCTGACCATCTCCATGGAGAGCATCAGCAGGATTGAACCTGAAGGAAATGAGAAATGCAAAGCAGAGAGAACAGGGTTGTGCCTCTGATAGTCACGTCTTTTGTAAAGTGCATTTCTCTCTCTGAACGACAAGAGCTTATCTTTAAGCCTAGAAGCCAAGGGCGATTCCTTCTAATTAGGCCAGTAGTCACCATTCTGGTTCCAATAAAATTAATGAAATGACTAATTAGATGCAGAATATTATGCTACCGTTACAGTCCACTAAGGAGTAAAAACGTGACAGTCTCTGCTTAAGAAGCTTATAGCCTAAAGGAAATACAAACAGACCTCAATTTCTTTTTTTCTCACTTGAGTGAATATATCTTACACCGTTCTGTCAAATCAGAAATGCTCTGTCAGGGAGAATAAGCTCCTTTTAATATGTATGCAGAAAGAAACCTAAAGAGTTAGAGCAGTGAGCACAGCAGAGTCACCTTTTCCAGAGGCTTAGGAAAGTCCTAACAAGAAACAGCCACAGAATAGGTTTCTGGTCCCCTCATTCCCAGTCTTGAATCCAAAGCACGCACTCTCCATCTAAAACAATGCAGAACGTAATTTTTGAAAGACAGAAAATTAATGGTTGTGAACCCTCTAAAAGGATGTTTTATTTTACTCACCTAAATTATTATTTTCATTGCAAAATCATGGTCCTTCGCTCTGCTGACTTAATGCTGTAATGCTTTGTGTACCTGAAGAGACAGGCTTCAGATACCTCAAGAGCTGTCTGTGTCTGATGGATAAACGAATAAGCCCTAATGCTCTTCGTGGAGGGCAACCCTCTAATTTCAGTAAGAAATGAGCTATGTGGTGCTTTTATGTGAGTAACCCAGAGTGAAGGTCTGCTGATTCTGAATGGAGGAATTAAAACATTTCTGAGAATAAACACTGATGATACCTACAAGGATGGAAGGATGGTTTTCCCTAAGCCGTATTTGAGTAAAAATTTGGAGGCATCTGTTTAAGAATTCTGTTCAGTTGTTCTCTGTGGGTTCCTACCTTTCTTTCCCTACCATGTGTGAAAGGTGCTGGTGCCAAAATGGAGTCACTTATGTCAAACTGTAACAAAACAGAGTGAGTCAGGGGAGGCCATGAAGAAGAAGCCTTTACGCACACATGCCTGTAACAAGCCTTACAGAAGACACTCTAGCACATAGATCAGTAACGGGACCTATCTCAAGAACTTCCTCGAGATGGCAGTATTCTGGATAAGCCACTCACACAAGGACAGGTACTTAGCAACAGTCTCCACCAGCGAACAAACACTAACTGCCATGAGCTTGTGACCTATGAATGTTACTAAAAAGCAACTCACATGGACTTCTCTTTGTCTTTAAAAGCTTCCCCTTTGCCCTGACCCCCTTGGATGTGCGTGTGATCTGTCATGGCACACATATCCTGTATTGCCATCCCCTGCTGTTGCAAAATAAACGTATTTGTTCTGGAGGGCCCATCTCTCCGAGTTTCTCCTCAGGCGGACCCATGCCAGTTTCCTGAAGTTAATGACCAACAGCATGTAGCTCGTCTAAGGATCTGCACTCAATTTGTACACATGAAAGAAAGGATGTATAGCAAGAAAAATCCTCACAGATCCTTGTGTTACGCCATGTTAAGTTCAGACCAAGCGACCTTCTGGAAAGCGAAGGTACTCTCAGACCAACGGACCCTAAAACCAACTTGAAAACCTTGAGCTGCTTTGTAAGCCCCTTGGAACTTGTCCCCTCCCACCTGGACATGATTTGGAGTTTGTGTTGTTGGTCCTTGGATTTTGGCTTCTGCTTTGATTCCGGACCCACCTTTCCTCCAGCCCTCTGCCTCTTTCTTTTTTCTCAGAATCTCTTAATTGGCTGAGGTCAGCCCTTAGTGTCCGGTTTTGTGCCTCAGCTATATACTTTGTGCCTCTTCAATTTTATACTGTAAAAGCCTTCAATTTTGTACTCTGAAAACTTTCCCTTTTATAACTCTAGGGAGAAAATGCAATATCCCTGGGGCGGAGAGCCTGTTGTAGCTTCTAGCATCTCCCAGAGACCTGCTACAGGTTTGTGACAGGTGGGGGCTATTGCTTTTGGGCTCCTGTCAACAGTATTTTTCAGGAAACTGGGCACTCCAGTTGGTATTAACTATTTGGGCTATTTGACAGAAAAAAAGCAGAAAGCAGAATACATGTACCCTGGGAAAAGTACTTGGAAAAAGCATGTGAAAACATCTGAGTTCTGTGTCAAGGTGTGTGATACAAATTGCTCGATTATCGTAAAGGGTGAATGTGACAAAAAATTAAGTGGGACCAACATCTGGCCATTCCCATGTATGGAATTAATGAGGTTTAAAGGCCCTTTTGATCATCAAATACCTCCCCAAGTGGCCTGTCATTTCATATGAAAACTTACATTTTCCTGTCCAGAAGGCCTCCATTCAAACACAACCATCTTTTTTGGAAGGTACACATACAAATTAATCATCATCAATGTATGAGATGGAGCAAGTGATTCTGTGTCCCAGCAGAACAGGCTCTGAAAAACAAAACATGGAAAAAGAACATTTTAAGCACAGAGTGAATTGAGAATGTTTTGGAGCTATGCTGTTTAAAACGATGGACACTAACCCTATGTGGCTATTTAATCTTAAATTCAAATTTAAATTAATTAAAATAAAATAATTCAATTCCTCAGTCACATTAGCTACACTTCAAGGGCTCAGTAACCACATGTGGCTAGTGGCCGACATATTGGAGAGTGCAGATACAGAACATTTCTGAATGTGCTGAAAGTTGATTGCACAGCTCTGGTCTAGAGTGTAGGGGACTTAATGGGGAGAGCATGTCTAAATACATTGTTTCTATGTTGTACTTGAAATCCAGAGAACAGCCAAGAAAGTACTAGAAAAAATGTAGGTGGGGGAGGGGAAGAGCTCCAATAGAGAAATAGGATCACATAAAATAAGAGTGGTAGGGAGACCAAAGGCAAGCATTGCCTGTTTCACAGTGTTGCTTGGAGTCTTCTGCTGACATATTCTATGAGGAAAAGGCAGAATTTCCCAGCAAGTTATGGCTAGGTTCAAATCCTGGTTTTGCCAAATATTAGTTGGGTGGTTGTAAGCAAGCCATTTAACTCTTTTTAGTTTTTCCTCATCTGTGAAATAGAGATTTTGATTCCTACCCTGAACCACTGTCATGAGGATTAAAGAAAATATATGCAAATCTGGTATATCGTAGGTCCCTAATGAATTGGAGCAATTATATTATAACGCCCATTACCCTGCTTTGAACCACTGACTGTCACTCACATCTTTGTATCTGTCTACATGTCCAGCACATAGCAGGCATTCCATAAATAGCTGTTGGATTTAATTGAACTTGAGGACACTGACCTTTCCCCCCCGCCTCTCTGTCCCTCACTCCCTTTCTCTCTCTCTGCCCTCTCCTTCCCCTCTCTCTCCCTCTTTCTCTTTTCTCTTGTTTTCCTTTTTTTGAGACAGGGTCTTGCAGTGTTGCCCAGGTTGGAGTGAAGTGGTGCAATCATAGCTCACTGCAACGTCGGACTCCTGGGCTCAAGAAATCCTCCCACCTCATCCTCCCGAGTAGCTAGAGCTGTTCCAGTAGGTAGTCCGGCAGACACGAGCAGGACAGAAAGGTCCCCACCTCACCCCACTGGAATATCAGGCAACCATTAGGTGATGGTCAGGTGGTTGTTAAACTCTCTCTAAAATAATAATTGGTTGTAGGTGGTGCCAGGAAAAGGCAGTCTCCCAATAGGTAGAAACACCTGAAGTTGGTGATTAGTAGCTTCCCAATAAGATCTCAGGAGTTGGGCCAGTGGGCTCAAGCACTAAGGGGCATTCTTCCCTTACCAGGAAAGTATTCCTAGAGGAAGGTCGTATACCAGTTAAACTCTGCTATTTTGCCTCTTAGTTGTCTGATATTCCTTATGGGGGAGGGGGCTTTCCTGCCCTGCTCATGTCTACCTAACTTTCTGTAACAGGACTATGGGTGTATACTACCATACCCGGTTAATTTTTTTAATTTTTATTTTTAGTAGAGACAAGATCCCACTGTGTTGCCCAGGCTGGCCTTTGTTTTTGTAAGCTCTCATCTTCACTACAAATGAAGACCCAGTGAAAGAAAGATGCTGTCCAAATGCCAGTGTTATTGGTATTGCAAAAGTAATTAATATGAAATAGGATCAGAAGACAACAGTCCCTTGGAAGCTAATCCTTTTAAGTTAATGGAATTTAAATATTATAATTCATGAAATAGCACTTAAGTAGTACTGCTTGGACAGTTACTGCTTGTTAGCTGTATTTGCTGAATTTAAAAAATTACACCCTTCACAGAATTGCTTGAGGGCACAAGTACAAAGAATTAATATGTTAATTATCATAAGTGAATCATTAAACAGCAACAGTAATTAACAGCTTAAGTTAATATCTGTAAAAAACCCACACAAACCAGTAGTCTTAGTGCTCTCCCACTGGGAAAAGAGCTGGAAGAAGAGCTGAATGGTGGAATATCGGATGTGAATGTGTAATCATGCGAGTTCATCTGGTCCCTCCTACTGCCTTCATATTGAACCACTGTGGACAAATAAGCCCTCACTGTAATGGTCTTAATAAGACATTTAATAATCTTTGCCTGGTGCCATGGTTAATACTGAGTGTCAACTTGATTGAAGGATACAAAGTACTGATCCTGGGTGTGTCTGTGAAGTTGTTGCCAAAGGAGATTAACATTTGAGTCAGTGGGCTGGGAAAGGCAGACACACCCTTAAACTGGGTGAGCACCATCTAATCAGCTGCCAGCGCAGCTAGAATATAAAGCAGGCAGGAAAACATGAAAAGACTAGATGGGCCTAGCCTCCTAGCCTACATCTTTCTCCTGTGCTGGACCCTTCCTCTCCTTGAACATCAGACTCCGGGTTCTTCAGTTTGGGGACTTGGATTGGCTTTCCTTGCTCCTCAGCTTGTAGATGGCCTCTTGTGGGACCTTGTGATCGAGTGAGTTAATACTTACATAGTGTGAGTTAATACTACTCCACTTTATATTTATATATATATATATCTCCTATTAATTCTGTCCCTCTAGAGAATGCTGACTAATACACTAGGCCTGCACTTATTATTGAGACTTTTTCTTTGTATCGTCAGTGTGTATTTTTTCATAGATACCTAACCTGTCAAATGAGATGTTTGAAACTTTCAGAGGAGAAGTTTTAAATGTGGGCTCCAAGGAGTCCAGAACCACTCAGCAACTTGGGGAACAGAAAGCGAGGTAGGATGTATGAGCAGGAACAGATGTGATTTACTCTCTTACCAACCCTAACACTCCCCTCCCAACCTTGATTAAGCTAGCATAACACAAATTTTATATATTTAATTGGCTTGCTTTAATTAGGTTTGAAGAAGAGTCTCCAACAACTTAATGTCTTTTCTATATCTTGTATCTTCTTTTTTATATCTTGGTAAATTATTTTGAAAATCACCTAATTTGATCTTCCTAAATTTCCTGTTCACTTAAGTCCTTAGTTCTGAACCCTCGCTGACAAATTATATCCACACGTATTCTGATTCAGTAAATTTATGCGGGACCCTAACATTTTAAAAAATCTCCCTAGAGGATCCCAACTTGCAGCCAGGGTTGAGATGTATTGTTTAGTCCAACTGCACTGATTTCCTTCCAGGTAGAAATGGGTAGGAGAAGCATTTCATTTTTTTTTTTTTTTCTGCCAGAGGACAGTTTTCCCAGGAAAATGTGTGTTTATAGAGCTTAGTTTATTCTTTCTTTCCATATTCCTATATAAATCAACATTCCCATCTTGACGTCCTTCAAGTAATAGCTGCTATGACTCTCAAACCATTGACTTTATCATTTAATTTTATGAATTTCTATCTGTTATCGAGAAGAGATGGGTTTCATTTAATTAAGATGATGTCTTTTGGCCAGGCGTGGTGGCTCATGCCTATAATCCCACCACTTTGGGAGGCCAAGGCAGGTGGATCACCTGAGGTCAGGAGTTCAAGACCAGGCTGGCCAGCATGGCAAAACCCCGTCTGTACTAAAAATACAAAAAAAAAAAAAAAAATTAGCTGGGTGTGGTGGCATGCACCTGTAATCCCAGCTACTTGGGAGGTTGAGGCAGGAAAATTGCTTGAACCTGGGAGGCAGAGGTTGCAGTGAGCCGAGATCGCACCATTGCACTCCTGCCTGGGTGAGGGAGTGAGAGTCTGTCTCAAAAAAAAAAAAAAAAAAAAAAAGATGGTGTCTTTTAGTAAATCTATAAATGTCCACCAACAAATGTTAGTGTTGAGATTGTTATACAATGTTAGAGCATATTTTTACCTTACATGTGTTTGTTTTGTTTGTTTGTTTGGTGTGTGTGTGTGTGTGTGTGTGTGTGTTTTGAGACAGGGTCTTGCTCTGTCATCCAGGCTGGAGTGCGGTGGCACAATCACTGCTCACTGCAGCCTTTGCCTCCTGGGCTCACGTGATCCTCCCACCTCAGCCTCCCAAGTAGCTGGGACCAGAGGTGCATGTCACCACGCCTGGCTAATTTTAGTATTTTTGTAGAGACAGGGTTTCACCATGTTGCCCAGGCTGGTCTCAAACTCCTGGGCTCAAGTGATCCTCCTGCCTCAGCCTCCCCAAGTGCTGGGATTACAGGAATGAGCCACCATGCCCACCCAATGTGTTATTATTATTATTTTTTAATAACAAAAACGTATTATTATTATTGTGTCTTGCACACAGTAGGCTCAAACTGAATGATTAATGTCACAATAAGAATCTAGAAATAATTCTACCTGTTACAAAATGTGTAAACATTCAGCTGCTACCATGTACCCGTACTCTGAGCTGAGTGTTTTCCATTAATGTAGAACCAGGATTAGCTAACAAGGGCAGCATTCCAGGGTTTTTTTTCTTGTCACCACTTTTGTGTTCCAGTTAAGTGGCAACAAATTTGGTAAACAGACAACAGCTGAACTAGAGAACTGGTATGATCTTCCATTCTGAACAGCTAGATATAGCACTGGTATGAGTGACTGAGTCAGTAGGAATAGACTATGATTCCCTCCCTCCCTTTCTCCCTTTCTTCCTTCCCTCCCTCCCGTTTCTGAAAATCCAAGGAAGCAGAAAAATATAGAAAATGATATTGCAAATACCCTTATATCTGTCACCTGACTTTAAGTCTTACCATTTTTTGATATTTCATCCAATACTTACTAATATGGTTTGGCTCTGTGTCTCCATCCAAATCTCATCTCAAATTGTAATCTCTGTTGTGTCAAGGGAGGGACCTGGTGGGAGGTCACTGGATCATGGGGACAGTTTCCCTGGTTTCCCACATGCTGTTCTCGTGAGAGTGAGGGAGTTCTCACGAGATCTGATGGTTTTTAAAGTGGCAGTTTCACCTGAGTGCTCTCTGTCTCCTGCCACCACGTAAGACCTGCCTTGCTTCCTCTTTGTCTTCCTCTATGATTGTAAGTTTCCTGAGCTCTCCCCAGCCATGTGGAACTGAGAGTCAATTAAACCTGCTTTCTTTATAAATTACTCAGTCTCAGTTATAGCAGTGTGAAAATGGACTAATACACTTAGTTTAAGAAATAGAAATTCACAATTAGAATTGAAGCTACCTTTAAAACGACACTGCCCTTAACTCATACTCTTTCCCAGACTTTGCTACACATTAGAATCACTTGGAGAAATTTAAAACTCCCATTTCCCAGGTCTCACCTCCTACCAATTAAACTGGAATGTCTGGGAGAGGCAGCCTTTAGTATTTTGTAAGCTCTGCAGGTAATTATTACATGTGAAAAGTTTGGAAAATACTGTCCTATTTCCCACTCCAAAGGTAACTTCCATCCAATATTTGATGTTTATATTTTTACTACATATGTGTATTTATAAACAAAATACAGTTTTGCATGTTTTAAAATATACATGTTGTATAATTTTATATTCTATAATGTGCTTTTTATACTCAACTTGCCTTTTTGTGGTTTATCAATATTTATGCATGTAGTTATAACTTACTCATTTTAACGGCTATATAGCATTCAACTTTTAAATAAACCATGTTATTTGTCCACCTTCCTATTGGCAGATGTTAACAATATGACTTTGTGTTTATGAATTTTGTTCATTTATTCATTTATTTAGGTCTTTTATATGTCTTGGTAAAGATCTTGCACATCTTGTGTTGGCATAATTCCTCGATATCTGGAGTTTTTCTGCTATTGCACATGGTATCCTTCAATCACGTATTTGTCACTGGTCCATATGAATAAAATCAGTTTTAGTGAGTTGATTGTGGGTCCAGCAACTTTGCTGAATTTTCTTATTAGCTTAAGGAGATTTGGTGTATATTCTCAGTTTTCATTTGGAGACAATCATATTACCTGTAGTGATAGTTTTCTTTTTTTCTGAGCTTTATAAATTTAGTACCTTTCTTTTATCTTATTGTACTGTTTAGAACCTCCAGCATAATGTTTGGTTAAATCTGTGATAAAAGAAACTCTTAGATTCTTTCTAACTACAAAGGGAATGCTTCTAATGTTTTAATTTTAAGAATTATGTCTGCTATGAGTTTTTTGTGAGTTCCTATTATATATATATCCTTTATCAGGTTTAGAAAGTTTTCTTCTTATTTTGCTAAGATTTTTATCATTAAAAGATGCTGAATCTTATCATGTGCTCTTTTTTTCATCTACTAGAAGATTATATAGTTTTTTCTTTTAATCTGCTAAGAAGATACATTTATATGACTATACCCTGTTTTAAATAATATTATATGAAAGTAATACATACACACACATAGTTTTAAGAATCAAATTATACCACTAACATTATAATGGAAAGCACTTGGTACCTGGTCATCATCCAATATCTGAGGCAATCATTTCCAATTATTTTATGTATTTCTTCTGGTATTTTCCTTCCTATTCAAATAATAACAAGTATATACTGACTTATTTTTATTCTGAAGCCTATTTTGCTTAAAATTAATAAAGATACTTCAGTTTTTTAAATTAGCGCTAACATGTTATGTATTTCTCTATCTCTTTCTTTCAGTTTATCTGGGTTTTTATATTTGAAGTGAGTTTCTTGCTGCAATGTATAATTGGATCTTTTAAAACCCACTTTGACAATCTTTGTCTTTTAGCTGCTGTATTTAGATAATTACATCTAAATACATAATTATATCTAAATATCAACTTATTGATGTTGCTGAATTAATATTTATCATGTTTATAACTTTTCTATCTGTTGCATTTATACTTTCTTTTTTCCTCTTCCATTTCTGCCTTCTTTGCTTTTAATTGAGCATTTTATATTATTTCAAATTTTTCTTCTCTTAGAATATCAATTACACTTTTTTTACACAACTTTTTTAGTAGTTTCCTTTGAGTTTGTTGTATACACCTACAACAAATCCAAGTCTACTTTCAAATAGCCCTATTCTACTTTAGGGGTAGTGCAAGGACCTTACAAGAGAATATTTTAAATTCCTTTCTCCTGTGACTTGAGATATTGCTGTCACTGATTTCACTTTTTTTTTTTTGAGATGGAGTCTTGCTCTGTTGCCCAGGCTGGAGTGCAGTGGCACGACCTTGGCTCAGTGCAAGCTCCGCCTCCCGGGTTCATGCCATTCTCCTGCCTCAGCCTCCCGAGTAGCTGGGACCACAGGTGCCTGCCATCACACCTGGCTAATTTTTTGTATTTTTAGTAGAGACGGGGTTTCACCGTGTTAGCCAGTATGGTCTCGATCTCCTGACCTTGTGATCCGCCCCCCTCGACCTCCCAAAGTGCTGGGATTACAGGTGTAAGCCACCATGCCTAGCCTGATTTCACTTACTGATATGCTATGATTACCCAATAAATTGGTGTAATTATTGTTTTAAATTATCTCTTAGATCAACTGATAAATTGGTATGGTTTATGGTTTACTTTCATCCATTCTTTCTCCGATGATTTTCTTTCTAAAGATCTAAATTTCTAACATGTATTATTTTCCTTCTGCCTGAAGAATATTTGAACATTTCTTGCAAAACAGATGATGAATTCCTTCAGTTTTTGTTTAAGCAATCTTTTTTTCATTCTTAGTTTTGAAGGATAATTTTGCTGCATATAGAATGCTGGGATGGTGGGGTTATTTTCCAACATTTTAAGTCTTTTACTCCACTCTCTTTTGCTTGCATGGTGTGCAATCAAAATTTTTTTTATAATTATTATTCTTCGTGTTCTATAGATAAGATTTTTCTCCTGTTTTTTTTCCATATTTTTCTTTTTGTTTTTGGTTTTATACAATTTGAATATGATATGCTTAGTCCATTTTTGGTGTTTGCTTGGTGTTTCTTGAGCATTCAGAATTTGTGGTTTGGTGTCTGTCATTATTTTTGAGAAAATGTCAGCCATTATTACTCCAAGTATTTTTTTCTACTTTACTTTCTTCTTTTTCTTCTTCTAATATTTCATTTACACACGTTATGCCTTTTGCAATTGTTCTACAATTTTTTTGAATGTTCTGTTCTCCTTTTTAAATTATCTTTTCTCAGAAACCATTGTACCAAAAGGATACCTTCACTCATGTTTATCACAGTACTATTGACAATACCAAAGTGGAATTGGCCTTAGTGGCCATTAGAAGATGATTGGATAAAGAAAATGTGGTGTGTGTATATATACACACACACACACACACACACTATATAAATATATATGACAGAGTACTATGAAGCCATAAAAAAGAAGGAAATGTCTTTTGCAGCAACATGGATGGAATTGGAGGCCATCGTTTTAAGTGCAACAACTGAGAAACAGAAATACCACCTCTTCTCACTTACAAGTGGGAGCTAAATAGCATGTGCACATGGACATGGAGTACAGAATAACAGACAGTAAAGACTTGGAAAAGTGGAGAAGATTGGAAGGGGGTGGATAATAAAAAGTTACTTTGGGTGATGGATACACTAAAAGCCCTGACTTCATCACTATGCAATGTATCCATGTAACGAAATTACATGTCTACCCTATAAATTCATATAAGAAAAAAAAAAAAAAGGCAAATGTGAGCACAACTTCTTTAAAAAATACATACATTCTCTTTTCTCATTGCATTTTAGTTTAGGAAGTTTCTGTTGACCTATATTAAGGCTCTCTAATTTTTTCCTTATCTGTGTAACATCTACTGTTGAGCAAATTAAAGGTATTCTTGATTTCTGTTACCAAGTTTTTGATTTCTAATATTTCCTTTTAGTTCTTTCATGGAATTTCCATGTCTCTGCTTACATTTGCCCTCTGTTTTTACACAGTGTATACTCTTTACATTGGAGTCTTTACCATTTTAATCATGGTTATTTAAATTCTGTCTTATAATTTCAACGTTTTCATATCTGAGTTGGATCCTGATGATTGCTTTATTTCTTCAGATTGTATTTTTGTTTCCCATTTGGTATGCTTTGTAATCTTTTGTTAAAAGCTGAAAATGTTGTGTCAGGTAATATGGATTGAGGTAAACAAGCCTGTATGAGGATCTGGCTAGGAATTTACCTGTGTTATGGCCTAAATGTTTCTGTTCTCGCCAAATGTTGAATCCTAATCCCTAGTGCAATAGTATTAAGAGATGGGGCTTTTAGGAAGTGATTAGGTCTTGAGGACGGAGCCCTCATGAATGGGATTGGTGCCCTTATAAAAGCGGCCCAATGGAGTTCATTTATCCCTTCTGCCATGTGAAGACGCAGTGAAAAGGCACCATCTTCAAAGCAAAAATGATTAATACCCAAGCTCTTGCCAGATGCTGAATGGTGAACTCCAGCCTCCAGAGCTGTGAACGAAAAAATTTCCATTGTGTATAAGTTACCCAGTCTAAGGTATTTTGTTACAGTAGCCTGAACAGATTAAGACAGATTGTGTTTAATGTTTTCTGTAGCTGTAGGTGCCAGAGGCTTCAAATTCGTCTAGTGTCCTTGCTTTGTCTCCACTCGTGACTTAGGGCTTTCATTATCCTCAGTCTCTGTTTTGCAGCTCCTTTAGCTGTATCCAGTGTTATTCTGGAGCCCCGATTGTGTGGCACTAAGATGTATGGGAGGGAAAATGTTCTATAATCTTCCAATTAAATTAAATCTCAGTCCATTATTGAGTCTATGTTTCAAGTCTTTTACCTTCAGAAATATTTCTCCAATAGTATAGCTTCCCCCGTCCCGCCCCCAGCACCAGTCTCCAACTCTTTTCCTAGCTGCAGTGTTCCCAATCTACTTCCTCAAACTCTGACTTCTATTCTCCCTCCCCATGCCCCAAGCCCCTTTACAGAAAACAAGAAGATTAAAGGGAGCTAGAGTTGGAGAAATGTACTTTCTCTTTCTGGGATAAGGCTCTGACAAAGTCTTTTCCCCGGGAGATCTCTGGGTGTATTTCACAATGATCTCCTGGCCCACCCCTGCCCTCTTCCCAGCCAGAGTCAGAGTCATCAGGGAATCTCTCTTAGATCTTCACCAGGAGAATCTGGTAGAGTCCCTGGAGGTAATGACCCTGAAAAATGTGCCCCACCTGGGCCCCAATACTATGTCTTCCAGGAGTTTCTGACCCTTAGGTTATTCCACACTCAGCTTCCAGCAATTCATTAAAATTACCTTTTAAGTGTTCCTAATGGCAGCTTCTATTTCAGGTAATTGGATCTCAGCTGAGGATCTGTGGGTGCACCTGCCTTTCCAGATTTCAGGGTAGTGGTTTACTCTGCAAACTCAGCTGTATAGTGAGTCCAAGAAAAGTCATTGATTTTCAGTTTGTCCAGCTTCATTTTGTTGTAAGGGCAATAGCGACAACTTCTAAGCTCTTTACATGTTAGAGAGGAAACACAAAGTCTTGATTCCAGACTTTTACAGTCCATTCCAAGAATCCTGGATTCATGTGGAAGAGGAATGGACACAGTTTCAGTCCTCCCTGCCTCATTATGTAAGTCCCAGTTCCTGTTCCTTTATGGGGTTAACACCCAAGCCCCTAGGTAATGGAAGCAGGCACCATTCTATCTCCACAGCTGGCACAGCATCATCTCATGCATTTTCTACTCTGGCTTCCAGTTTCCTTTTTGTTTTTGGCCTTTGGGAATTTTCTTTACTTTCTACTATTCTCAAATGAAAATGTATAAGGATGTGAATTTATGTTCTCTTGGCATTTCTTGGTAGATGGACAATTTTCAGATTATTTAGTCTGTAACATTGCTAAAACTAGCCTCTTACCAATTTTTCTATTCAAATATTTGGTGAGCTGGTGGGTGCTGTGACTCCTGAAATCCCACTGGCCCAGGCAAAGCCCTAGGCAGGGAATTGGGACTCCCTGGTACTGCTTGCTGTTCTGCCCCTGACTACCTGACTACCGTGTCATGGTGCATGGAGAAGCCTCTCAGCACTGTCAAGTCCTGGGCCCAGTGGGAAAGCAGCAGTGCTATGGTATTCACAGCAGATTTGCCTGAGCCCAGTGGATGCTGTCTACCCAGCTTCTCCTGTGTGTGATCCTGATAATACTTATCTTCTTGAGTACCACAACTCTCCACTTCTGGGTTTCTTTGGAGTGTGGCTCTGTTGCACTTGCCTCCCTCATCCTAAGCAACACTGAGCAAGATTTTGACAGATTCAGATCAGCTTTTCCACCTCTTCCTCCCCCCTCTGCCTTATCCCAAGACTTCAGTTTATGACTTCTCCTCTAGAGAAGGGATTTTGCAAATCCCATCTCCTTCTTGGTGATATAGCTTGCTCTTTTTCAATATATAGCTTTGACCCAGGGACATATTGCAGCCAAATCTGCATAATTACTTGGAAGAACTGGGATACCCAAGTGATCAGTCTTTGGGACTTAATTTGAGTAGGCACCCCAAGCCTTATGGGGGAGGGGAGGTGCATGTGAACAAGAATTAAAGGATTTTGTCAAATATTCTAGTTTAGTTCCTGAAAAAAGGAATGGATGAGCATGACTCAGCAACTCCCAAGAAAGAAACCCTATTGTGTTGGAGTGTAGAAGCCTTAGTATCTGAGTATTTAAGAGGAGCACTTTATTTTTAAGTATCTCCTTTTTCTTGAGATAAGAATATTAAAACCTTAATTTCTGGGCTTCAGGTCAAGCTCCCTTAACAAGCACTGTGGGTGGGATGTTTTCTGGTTCCTCTCAAGGAGCTGCTCATCAAACAGTCTTTTGAAACTGAGCCAGCAGGTAGAGGCTGCAGAGAACAAGCTAAGGTCACCCATGCAAGAGGTTGGTTAATTCAATTATAAATCAAATTGCAAAAGGACAGCAATTTGCTGTAAGTTCTTGAGATGCTCATAATGTGGAATGCTTTTTCCCTTAGAAGGACTTAAGCTCACTGGCTTTAAATAAATCCTACAAAACTCAAGTCCATAGGTGCATATTTCTGTGTAAACATTGTGGAGTAGTTAGTGATTAAAAGAGATGTAATCTCTTAGTAGGGAAAAGAGGAGGAAATTAAAAAATGGTGCCATATCCCATGTAGGTTTACAATGGTGTTGATATAGGTGATCTTAATTCTCAGGCAGAAACTTTCAAGATTTCATCTATTATTAACTGAGACACAGTCAAAGACCTTGCAAAAACGTTAAAACCCCCATTTTAGAACTAACAGGCTCCTCTATATTCCCTGTTTTCAGGGGCCCCTCAGGATTTCCCCCTTTATAGCTACCTTACTGGCTTTATTAGACCATATAATTCCTGGTTGTCATTTCAGCATCAGATGGACCTCACCTCCCTCAGGAATCTTTCCTGATTTCTTTCCCTACTCCTATTGCCCACTTCAAGGCCCCTGCTCTGGAGCTGCCACACTATCTCTCAGTGACTCACTATTATTTAAAATCTCATCCTTGAATGCCAGTCTCCTCTCAAGGCTGTGAGCTGCTACAGGGCTCTGTCTTCATTATTTTCTTCTGTCACTCAGTACCCAGCATATACAAAATTGTTTGGTTTATTTTTTAATGTAAAATTTTAAATTAACATTACCCAATGTAGAAAATTACACAAGTCATACATGTACAGCTCAGTTGATTTCTGACAGTAAACACACCCATGTAACCAGCACTCTGGATCAAAGAATGGAACATTTGCAGAGCCCTGGAAGCACTCCTTATGTTTTCTTTCAATGCCTCTCACTTGCTCGAAGCTAACACCTATCTTGAGTCCTAATGCCATACATTCATTTTGCCTATTTTTGAGCTTTATGTAAATGGAATAATACAATTTTGCATCATTTTGTGTTTCCTTGTTTCATAAGCCATTATGTTTGTAAGATTCATCTAAGTATTTTTGGGTGTATGGCTGTAGTTTATTTTCCTAGCTTGATCACTTTCTATTGTATAAATACACCATAATTTATCCAGTCAATTGTTCTTGGACCTCTAGGTTTTTAGTTTTGGACTATTATCAATAGTGTTAATAGTGTTGCTATAAACATTCTGACACATGTTGTTAAAAGATAAATTTAGACACATTAAAATTTTGAAGGGTTTATTTGAGCAGACAACCATTCATGAATTGGGCAGCATCAGAACACAAGCAGTTGGGCTCTACTCACAGGACATGAGGGGGAAGCTTTTATAAGGTGTTCTTGGAAGCAACACCAAGAAAATATATTTGACTGGTTAAAGTGGAAAGTCCTTAGTTAGAGGTTAGTTTGGTGGTTTCTGATTAGTTAAGCTTAAGTTTCATTTTACTGTTTACATTGAGTTGGGCTTTTGCTTGCTTATGTAAAAGACCCAAGGCAGTCGAGCCAATTCAGCCTAAGGGCCTTCCATCAGTTTTTCTTAACAATGTATTTTGGTGCACATATATTTGCATTTCTAAGGCAAAAATTGATAAATAATAGGTTTCACATATTTCCAACTTTCATAGAAATCACCAGTTTTCCAAAGTAGGTTGCACCAATTTTTATCCCTAGCAGTTCAACAAATGTGTTTTGAATAAATTAATTTCCTCCCTAAGCTTGACTCTTTAGGGTGACACAATCTCTATAGCTACCTTGAAAAGAAAAAGTCTTCTGTTCCTTCCTTCTTTTTAATTTTCTTCTTATATCTGTTAATAAGTGACTTAAACTAGGGCTAAATGGAAATGTCTATAAATGTTACATATGAGAAAATTCCCAAGTCATTGAAATAACCTATAATGTGGATATTTCCTTTCCTGTCTTTATTTTGTAATTGCTGAACACCATTCTGGGAACAATTAGCTTTGCTGAAATATCAGGTTGTGAATAATTCTGAAAGTATATTTAATTTTTCAGACAAATGTGAATAATATATATCTTCCTTTGTGGGATTACTTAGTCTCTCATCTTGCTGTAAACATATCCTAATCAAAAGTAATTGTGAATTTAAACAGTGGAGACCAATTAAAGTGCAGTTACCATTCGTTATGTGAGTTCACCAGTGTAAATGCCCCTCTGTGAGGGGATTTTACTTTCATCCAGGCAGCCACATTACATTATCTGATCTGAGCATCATCGTATCTCAGTGGGTGAGAATTGAGTCAAGGGGAAAAAACTGAGTGTTGCTAAGAGGTAAGGTAATTTATTCAGGAAACATCACTGTTCTCTGAGGATTGATATTTAACTGGCTTTCCTGCTTGAATGTCTATGTAATTTGCTGGAGGGCAGCTTACATTTGAGGATAGAATCAACACAGGATGGACTTTCTCAGTTCAGTACAATTTTACTTATTCATAGGGTATCATCTTTCATGCATATCAGGGGAACCAGTTGAGTAGCCTCCTGTGCTGGCCCTATGTTGGGACTTATCAAGTACAGTCACATGTTGCTTAAAGCTAAATGGTATGGCCTATTGGTCCTAGGCTACAAACCTGTATGGCATGTTACTGTACTGAATACTATAGGCAACTAAAACACAATGGTAAGTATTTATGTCTGTAAACATATCTAAACATAGAAAAGGTGCAATAAAAATATGCTATAAAGATTTCAAATGGGCTGGGTGCGATGGCTCACACCTGTAATCCCAGTACTTTGGGAGGCCAAGGCAGGTGGATCACCTGAGGTCAGGAGTTTGAGGCCAGCCTGGCCAACATGGTGAAACCCCGTCTCTACTAAAAATACAAAAATTAGCCAGGCGTGGTGGCGGGTGCCTGTAATCCCAGTTGCTCAAGAGGCTGAGTCAGGAGAATCTCCTGAACCCGGGAGGCGGAGGTAGCAGTGAGACGAGATTGCACCATTACACTCCAGCCTGGGCAACAAGAATGAAACTCTGTCTCAAAAAATAAAATAAAATAAAGATTGAAAGTGGTACACCTCTATAGGGCACTTACCATAAATGGAACTTGCAAGACTGGAAGTTGCTCTGGGTGAGTCAGTGAATGACTGATGAGTGAATGTGAAGGCCTAAGACGTGATTATACACTGCTGTACACTTTATCAGCACTATACACTTAGGCTACACTAAATTTATAATAAAAATTCTTTCTTCAATAATAAAATGAGCTTACTCTAACTTCCTAACATTATAAACGTTTTAATTTTTTAAAACTTGACTCTTTTGTAATAACACAGCTTAAAGCATAAACACTTTGTACAGCTGCACAAATATATTTTCTTTATAGCCTTATTATGTAAGCTTTTTTCTATTTTTACATTTTTTACCTTTTAAACTTTTTTGTTAAAAACTGAGACACAAACACACACACTAGCCTTGGCCTACACAGGGACAGGATCTTCAATATCATGGTCTTCCACCTCCACATCTTGTCCCACTGGAAGGTCTTCAGGGGCAGTAACACACACGGAGCTGTCATCTCCTATGATAACAATGCCTTCTTCTAGAATACCTGACATGCCTGAGGCTGTTTTACAGTAAGCATTTTTTTTTTTTTTTCTGAGACAGAGTTTCACTCTTGTTGCCCAGGCTGGAGTGCAATGGCGCGATCTCGGTTCACTGCAACCTCCGCCTCCCGGGTTCAAGAAATTCTCCTGACTCAGCCTCCCAAGTACTGGGATAACAGGCATGGGCCACCACGCCCAGCTAATTTTATATTTTTAGGAGAGATGGGGTTTCTCCATGTTGGACAGACTGGTCTCGAACTCCCGACCTCAGGTGATCCTCCCACCTCAGCCTCCCAAAGTGCTGGGATTACAGGCGTGAGCGACTGCGCCCGGCTACAGTTAACTTTTTTTAAATAAGTAGCTGGGCACAGTGGTGCCTGCCTGTCCCAGCTACTCAGAAAGCTGAGGCAGGAGGATTGCTTGAGCCCAGGAGTTCAAGGCTGTTGTTGGCTATGATCTTACCTGTGAATAGCCACTCCACTCCACCACAGCACTCCAGACAACATAGTGAGACCCCTTCTCTAAAAAACAACAAAAAAAGCAAAAGTACACTTTAAAGTAACAATAAAAAGTTTAGCACGGTAAATACATAAACCAGTAACATAGCTATTTATTATCCAGTATTATATACTGTACATAATTGTATGTGCTATTAGTACAGTAGGTTTGTTATAAACAAACGCCAGCATTACCACAAACACATGAGTACTGTGTTGCGCTATGACATTACAATGGCTACCACATCACTAGGTGATAGGAAATTTTCAGCTCCATTATAAACTTATAGGACCATCATTGTATACCATTGTTGACCAAAACATTTTTATTTGGTGCATGACTGTAATTGTGTTGCTACTACTATAACGGTAATGAGAAAAACCTGTTAGCCCTGCCTCATTTCACTGTCTCTGTAGCTCAGATCCACAGCCTTGCCTGAAAACCTAGTGAAAGTGGGACTGACAAAAGCTCATGATTTACTTTCAAAGATTAGAGAAAATGTAGTGGTTACATGTGAAGGTTTTAAATCATTGGGCTTTCTTTCCTGCCTCAAATGTCCTTAAAACATAGGTCCCCAGCACTTTGGGAGGCCAAGGCAGGCGGATCACCTGAGATCAGGAGTTTGAGGCCAGCCTGGCCAACATGGTGATTATAGATCCATGGTCCCTACTAAAAATACAAAAATTAGCTGGGTGTGGTGGTGGGCGCCAGTAATCCCAGCTATTCGGGAGGCTGAGGCAGGAGAATCGCTTGAACCTAGGAGGCAGAGGTTACAGTGAGCTGAGATCATGCCACTGCACTCCAGCCTGAGCGACAGAGCAAGATTCTGTCTAAATAATAACAATAATAATAATGATAATAACAACAATAAAATAAATAGGCCCACTCAGGGGCAGGGCAATGGTGTGCCTTTGCCTACTGACATAAATAGCAAAATACTCCATTTCTGAATTGTGGTCTCTAGCACAAGTAGTTCCTGTAAATGGTGAGATGCAAACTAAATTAAGCAGGCCAGAGAGTTTCATTGTCTTTAAATTGGATCTTTGTGGATTAATAGAATTCAATTCAACTGACACTTATTAAAAAGGCACTGTGGAAGAGACAAATAAAAAATTTCTGACTCCATCAAACTTTTAATCTCATACTATATTGACATGAAATAGGCACACTGATCCCTACTGGGTCTGTGCCTGTCTTCTCTGGGAAGTAAGGCTTTTCTACCCCCATGATAGGTCCAGTCAAAAGGACTTCAGGACCTATAATCATGGCCCCTTGGATTAAGACGTCCAGGTAAAGAGGAGATATCAAAGACTATCTTTTAGTCCCTAGGGAAAGTACCCTGATATGGATAAATTTAAAGGTGATTTTCCCTTTCTGGACATAAGGTTGTCATTAGTGAAGCATCAGGAAAGAAAAGCTTTTTCTCTATTCTCTTAGGTTCAGAAACTGGGGGCCTAAATACTAAACTACCAAAAGACATGTTAATAGGAGAAAAAACACACAATTTGTATTAATATTTTATGTGTACAGGAGATAAAGAAAATAAGTAAAGCTCAGAGAAGTGGTTTGACCAGGAAACTTGTATTCCTTTCTTGACAAAAGAAAGAGAGTTTGGGCTTCAAGGGATGATAAACTGCGGGGAAGTGACTAGGAAATATATGGGGGGAACTGACAGAACATAAGAGCTATTTTAGTAAGGTCTGTTTATGCAAACTCATCTTGGTATTGACTCCCCATTTTTGATGACAAGATTCCCTTTTCTCTTCCTGGTACAGGGTGGTGGGTGCAGGGTCAGGGTACCTTCCTCAATGGGAAATTTATGCCTTGTCCTTAGTCACATAAGGGAAGGGCAGAGAACTTGTCTAGCATCTGCTGATTCTCAGTTGTCTTCAGCTCAAAATAATCCTGATGCCAAAGAGGCTTCCTTTGAGAAAGCACATTCTGATTCCTTTCAGAAGGAGGCACATTGGTGCCATGTGTGGAACTGTAGTGAGTAGCTTCCTGGTTCATCTCTGGGATACCTTGCCTTAAATCTTCCCTGGTGGCAGCAAAATAGAGAATGTGGAACCCTAAGAAGCACAGACTTTGGGACCATATGCAAACCTTCTCAGATGAGTGGGAGAAGGTCCTTTGAAGCCTAGCAGAGGGAAGAAGCAGCTCCAGAAACAGAAGGTAGGATTGGAGCAGTTGTCAACTGGTGCAAGGAGGTGCCAGAGATGGAGTCACTAGGAACAGCAGAGCCTGGAGATGATCTGAACATCAGATCAGAAGACACCCTGCTGGACCAGGCCTCCAAAATTCCCAAAGATAGTGGAAGGAGATTAGGAGGTGGTTGTTGTTGTTTTTTCATGAGAACATTTTCTCAGAACGAGAAAGAGGGAAATTTAATACAGTTGAAACCCCTGGAAAGCTGGGTGAAGATTTAAGCCAGGTAATGTATGAAGCAAGATCCAACCTCGGATTTATATCAGCAACTGGATCCTTAGAAACTGGGTCAGATATAATGATATGACATAATATAACCATGTCCTTCCATGGGTATTCAGAAACTGAAAGCGATCTTTCCTTTAACTGGGGCAATGAAGATGGGAAGAAAAGGTGATCATTCCATGTAACGTGACTACTCAACAGGCAAATTCCTCATCAAGTTCCTTCTGATATTGGGTAGAATGGAAGGAGATGGTGAAAATGTGTAGCTGATTCTCAAATGACAAAATGTGAAGACAGAGAATAGTCATGATTACTACTGGTTGCTTTTTTCCTCCCTTCTCACATCTCTAAGACCAAAGAAATGATCACTTGATCAGACTATTTGGGTAGAAAAGGAAAAATATCTGAGGGTTTGAATTAGAAGACCTAGGCTGAAGAATATTCTGGCTAGGCCATTTATTAATTATATGACTTGGGGCAATACATTCAACCCTTTTGATTTTAGAGAAAATAATATCTATCTCACACACCAATTGAAACAAAGAGTTTATGTGAAGGTGCTTTGTACTAAAGTTGCAAAATGCATACAAATAAAAGTAAGATAGTATATGAACAATTCAAACTAAAAAATACAATGATGCTATAAAAAAGACATAGTAAGTGTCGGTGAGGATGTAGAGAAGCTGAAATACTTACACACTGCTGATGGGAGTGTAAATATTATAGCCACTTCAGAAGACAGTCTGGCAGTTTCTGAAAATGTTAAATATAGATTTACCATTTGATCCAGCAATTCCACTCCTAGGTATATGCCCAAGAGAAATAAACACATATGTCCACACAAAAGCTTGTACATGCATGAATAACACAACAGCATTATTCACAATAATAAAAGGTGAAAACAGCCCAAATGTCCATCAACTGATGCATGAATACACAGAAGCAGTACATCTGTACAATGGAATATTGCTTAGAAATAAAAAGGAATAAAGTACTGATACCTGCTACAACACGAACAAACCTTGAAAACGTTATGCTAAGTGAAAGAAGCCAGTCACAAAAGATCACATATTGTATGATTCCATTTACATGTAATGTCTAGAATAGAAGAATTTAGAGAGACAGAAAGTAGGTTAGTGGTTGCCTGGGGCTGGGAGCTGGGTGGGGAGAAATGAAGAGTGACTGGTAATGGATATGGGGTTTATTTTGGGGGGGAATATAAATGTTCTGAAATTGACTCTGGTGATGGCTGCAAAACTCTGTGAATATATTACAAGCCCCTTAATTGTACACATAAAGAAACTTCAGTGAATTCTAATTTCCTCTGTGAGCAAAACCAGTGCAACACTAAATTTATCAGCAAGAAAAAGAGAATTCAAAATAATATACTTAAATAGACATATTTGGGTATATTTTGTACTGTTTTCATATTGATAAATTTTTGATTTCTGTATTTATATAGACATGAGATTTGTGGGACTGAGAGATTGTTAGTTACTCACAGTAACAATCTCCTCAGCTGCCCTTTTTCCCAATGCTTCCCTTTGGAGTGATGTGAACAGAGCTGGAGGCCACTCTACATGTAATGGGGTTGGTACTGTCGTGAGGAAGCCCCAAAAATATGAACCTGGGAGCGTGTATAAAATTTCCCCTTCTGAGGATGAGAAGCAAACTGAATCTACCTAATGTAAACAAATTCTCCTTGAGAAAAAAAGGAGGATTCTGGGTTGCTGCTCTTTGAAATATAAATACATGTCTCCATGAGGAAAGAAGACACAACCGTCTCTGAGTTTACAACCTCTGGAATGTCTCAAAGGCTTTGGGTCTCATCCCCCACTTGAAATGAAAACACAAACCTCCTGGAAGGAAAATCTCTTACCATCTAGTCAGTCATCATTTCACTTCCAAGACCTGTCTTTCAACCGGGTCCCAGTAAAATTTGCTCGGAAAGCTCAGCTCTAACCGTGCGGAAATATACAAGTATTCACTTTCTGACACACATTGGAAACATCGCTTTTACTCAAATACTTGTTTAAAAGGAACATCGATAGTGTATTCTTCTTTCTAAATCAAAGTATCATTTTGAAAAACATTTGTCTATTTAGATCAGAGTCAGAGATCCCAATATATATATTATGTTATATATATATTATATTTTGTGGGAAATTTATGAATTTGTAAATCATCTTGATGTCTTCATTTATTCATTTGCCGTTCCTGTAACTTTCACTCTACCTCACAGGGCTGAGGGGCCGTATATTTAGTATTCAGTGCTCCTGAAAATAGGCATCTGACTAGTATGTAATAAAATACCCTCAGTCCTCTAATAACTGAAAGTTGAGATTGCCTTTCATGGCAGATTGTGTTTTCCAGAACTGCAATAATATTTCCTGTCCCACATTCTCCTCCAGAACCTGGCCACATCTGCATCAAGAAGCAGAGCCTACTCCCCCTCTTTTTGAACCTACCTGGGCCTTTGTGTTTGTCTTGACAGTTAGAGTATGGTGGAAGTGATGCTTTGAGACTTCGGAGGCTGGAGAATGAATGGTAATACAGCTTCAGCCAGGCTCTCTCTCACTTAGGAAACGAGCCTTTGGAGCCCTGGGCCATCCGTAAGATGTTCAGCTACGCTGCTGTTGCTATGCTGAAGAGACCACACAGAGACAAAGAAGCATTCCTAGGGTCCCTAGAAGTTCCAAATTCCAGCTGTTTGAGTGGTCCCAGCCCACATGCCAGCCACGTGAGCATCAAGCATTCAGAATATTTGAGTGTCAACCATTGTCTGACAGCAAGTGTGTGAGACACTCTGAGTGAATACCGCCTAAGTGAGCTCAGGCAACTTCCCAAACTTGTGGGAGTTAATAATAAAATGATTGGTGGTATTTTACACCACCAAGTTTGGGAGTGGTTTGTTATGGGGCAATAGGCAACCAAAACACTCTTTGATTGTTAAACTAGCAAAAGCAATCCATGAAAGGATGAGATTATCTGTAGAAGTAACATCAGATGATATCTATTAAGTGTGCATTGGAGGAGACTTGGGAACACCAAATTCAATAAAGGCAAAATCTCAGGAAGGAAGGAACAGAAGTGACTGTCATCATGAAAGCTGATTCTCTCAATGGTAATGTACCAGATCTGCAGAAAGACTAAAGAGTGAGGAACATGAAATCTACATAAAAGAGAGTTACCAACAAGATTATATTGGTTTCTATACCACATTGTTTAATAAAGAAAGACATTGAATCTGGTGAATTATGGGAACAGGAATGATTTGTGGAACTTTTACTATGACCTGGGTTGTGTGTCCTCTAACACTAACTTCTCTTCCTTATTCTGACCCCCTGCCCACCGAGGAAGCTGATTAATGCTCGGCTCCCCCTTTAAACCTGCCCACAAGGAAAAAATGTGATGATCACATCAGCGCACAGTACTGTGGTGACCCAAGTGGCAGTTATCATTCTGTTGAGTGACACATTGTACATCGGGTTTATACATCAGTGCCTTCTAAGATTCGTTAACGTAAATCAGTCTCCTATAACGTTATCATCTCAGAGTGCATTGATAAAAATTGATTTTCTAGATGTGCACATCTGACAGGTGGAAAAGCAGCCTGATAACTCCTGAAAGGCTTTGTCACTCTGGCATCTGAGGTGGTATCACACACAGCCCTAATTATTCAGCTTACATCTGTTTAACAGAATTGCTATTTGTAATGATTATTACTGTTTAGCAACATTGTACACAAGACATTTTACTTGATTAAATTAAAATATTGAATTTATAGAATCAACGAAAGTTTTGGACCCTTACATTGACTAGATCCTAATCTTGGTTCTATAATAAATGAAACTATTTCTAATTTATTTTTGTTTTTCTATACTTTTGTCACCTTAGTCAATGGTAACAACAACAACAACTAACATTAATGTCACTGAGTGCTAGGCACACTGTTCATGAGGATGTTTTTAAAATGTTTAATCAATATATAATGATATCATCAGTGATTTTTTAAAATGTCAGGTTTTTAAGGTATAATTTACGTGGAGTAAAATGCACCCTTTTAAAGTGTACAGTTCTATGAGTTTTGATGAATATGTGCCATCATGTAACTAGTACCCAATCAAAATACAGAATATTTTCATCACTCCGAAAAGTTTACTTGTACCCCTTTGTGGTCAGTCTCCTACCTCCACCCCTAGACTCTGGCAACACTGAACTGTTTTTGGTCCTTCTAGTTTTACCTTTTCCAGAATGCCATATAAGTAGAATCCTAAAATATGTAACCTTTGAGCCTGGCTTCTTTCACTGAGCAAGATGCTTTTGAAGTTCATTGATGTTGTTGTGTCTATTGGTTGTTTGTTCGTTTTTATTGCTGAGAGGTATTCCATAGTATAGCTACATCACATTTTGCTTGGTCATTCAACAGTTGATGAACATTTGGGTTATTTCCAGTTCTTGGCAATAATAAATAAAACTGCTAAAAAATTGTGTACAGGTTTTTGGGTGGCATATGCCTTCATTTCTCTCGGGTAAATACTCCCAAGAGAAATGGGTAAATACTCCTAAATATTTACCCAAGAGAAATGGGTAAATATTTACCCATTTCCTAAGTATTTACCCAAAGAGAAATGGGTATTTACCCAAGAAAAATGAATTGTCAGGCTGTGTGACAAAGCTTGAAATCTATCTATCATCTCTGTCATCTATCTATCTATCCATCTATCTATCTATCTATCTATCTATCTATCTATCTATCTATCTATCTATCTATCATCATCTATCTATCATCATCATCTTTAAATAGAGATGGGGGTCTCACTATGTTACCTAGGCTGGTCTTGAACTCCTGGCCTCAAGCGATCCTCCTGCCTTGGCCTCCCAAAGTGCTGGGATTATAGGCATGAGACACCATACCCAGCCAAAGAGCTTCAAATATATTATGTTACTTAATTCTCACCAGCAGTCAACTGTGGAAAATATACTATTGTTAGTTTTTTGGGTTTTTTTTTCAGGAATCAAAGCTAAGACTTACAGAGGTTAGGTATGCCTAAAATTACATGGCTAGTGCAGATAAACCCAGGGTGTTTTTTTTGTTTGTTTTTTTTTTTTTTTGAGAAGGAGTCTCACTCTGTCGCCCAGGCTGGAGTGCAGGGGCATGATCTTGGCTCACTGCAAGCTCCGCCTCCCAGGTTCACGCCATTCTCCTGTCTTAGCCTCCCGAGTAGCTGAGACTACCTGCACCCACCACCACGCCTGTCTAATTTTTTGTATTTTTAGTACAGATGGGGTTTCACCGTGTTAGCCAGGCTGGTCTCAGTCTCCTGACCTCATGATCCACCCGCCTCGGCCTACCAAAGTGCTGGGATTACAGGCATGAGCCACCAGGCCTGGCCCAGGCTGTTTTACTATAGAGAAGCAGGCCTTAACTGTTACCTCTTCTGTAGTTACTACTAACTTTACCCAGGTAATGGCTAACCACCATGAAAATAAAAGTAAAAAGTATAGCCTCATCACCCCTGTGATCAAATGTGGTAGATTTGGTTTCAGATGGAGAAATGAAAAGATTCGAGTATAACATGAAAAGGCTATATAGAATCAATATGGAAAAACTGATGTGGGTCACAAAGTGACAAATATATGGAGATGAAAGTCAATTCAAAGCTCAGTTCAAAGATGTGTCCTGACCTTTACCTTTTTATCCAGTTCAAATAGTATAGGATTGTGCCAAATGTAGCATTAAAATAGAGCTCTGGTCAATGTTTTCTTATAAGGCTTCTCTGCTGTTGACACTTACTAAATATGTTAGCATCAAACGCAAGCATAAACAGTATATCCCCTTAAAACATACACAAACATTTGTGAATTTCTAACATTCCTTTGTCACAAAAATAATAGTAATAACTTGAGTATAAGAATAATTTACATCTTTAATAGCTGCATTTTCTATTCAAATAATCTATTGCCTTGGATTCCAAAATGATATTTGTGATATGAACAAAAGAGAAATTATAGTAAGATTAACCTCTAAAAATGTATTGTGAAGATTATGCAGCTGTTCTGTAGAATTGGAAATAATGGAAAATTGACAGTGAAATATAAAAGTAGATCATGAATAGTTAATACCCAATTTTTCCATGATGAAGGAATTAAAATAATGACTAAGTAGTCACCACAGTGACAATTTAAGACAAATTTGTCATCTCCCAGCGCCTAGCACAAGGTCTTGCATTTATTATGAGCTGAATAAACATTTGCTGGTCTAAATTTAATCTTTCCAGGATGAATGTTTATAGGCATAGTGAGGTAATAGTGCAACTATTCTGTATAAAGTCTACGGGTTTGGTATTAATAAAGGCAATACATTTTTGTCTTACTAACAAAACAAAATGGAATACAAGTGTTTTAAGTACGGTAACCAGCTTCCCCAAAGAAGTTAAAACTGAGAGTGATTGTTGACGGTTGTGACTGATGCTTGTTCTTGCCCCAAATGTTTCAGCACTAGTGCATTCTTTACTCACAGAATTTAGGTTCTGAGGAAAACCCTCATATGTCTTTCTGAGGATCATACACAGGAGACTTTAGCAGAACTAAAGCAAACGCAAAAGAATCCAGAATCTGGAATCTTCTGCATGTGATGCCACAGGTGACATTCTCCCACTCTGGGATGAAATAGACAGTTTCTCCCTTGCTTCTCCTGAAACCAGTACATTGGCTCAAGCTGTAGGCTCTGCCTGCAGGATGCACCAGCTCGTGTTTGAATTAAATACAGTGACTTGAAGAAGGAAGAACTCTACAGAGTCTACTCTGGCAACACCGGGAACAGAAGCAACAGGACATTCAGCTTCCAGAAACTGCAGCGGTGCAGTTCCAATGGTTTCTGGCCTCTACAGCCTGTATTCTTAGTGGTTTATGCTCCAATTTCTATACACATTGTTAGTAGCAGCGGTGTCTTCATGAGACTAATTCCGTGGTGTGATATTGTTTGAGGATGCTTATGTTCGTAGTCATGGAAATTTAGTGATTGCCTCCCCAGCATTCATTCTCTCTGTTCCCTTTCTGATGGGGACATGCAGATTGGTTGGGACTAATCTCACAGCAGCTCCAGGGATGGGCCCTAGTTACAGTGGTTGGGATGGCATTATGATCCAAACTTTGTCAAAAAGAGAGAAGATGTTTGATGGGGAGCATCTGGAGAATAAAATTATTCTGTCTTTCATGGATGCTAAAAAAAGATGCTCCCTTCATCCACTGGTTGTGAATCAGGAAGCAACCACCCCAGTTGTTCTGGTAACTATGTTGATATGGTGAAGCTATCAAAATAGTTTTAGGGCTATTCTGCCACTGGGGAAGGCTGAGACACAGAAAGGAAGTCGGTCCTGGGACATCATTAAACTGCTGGAGCAAGCTTACCTGAAGGGTCATCTGGTAAGCAGATATGGAGATGGAATTACCAGTGTCCAAGCTTTATTGAGGTAATGTTTGTGAAAGATAAAAGCAAGGCACAGGAAATATATGGGCAGCAAAACCCTTCAGACCTTGATCCAGGCCTGACACCTGTGAAAACAAAGGGAAACCCCGCAGGATTGGGCAGGAAGGGCCTCAAACTGTGATGCAGATTTCATAAAGTCTCTGCCAGCACCAAAGGGAGATCTAGAGCAAAAGCTGCTTGTTGGAAGAGTATGACAATGGGCGGAAATGCCCAGACACTAGTACTCCCACTGTACTTATTCGCCAGGGCTGTCGAGAAAGCTCAACACTGTTGTTCCAACTCAACACTGTAGAGGACCCTTAATGCCCACTGGCTGGCGGCTGTCAGTTACCGGCATCCTGCACACGTGGATAGTTTGTTCTTTTTTGAAGGGAGATCCAAGTAAGTAGTACACCTCCTTCCATTTCTGGGTTTCTTAAATTACTTGAACCACAAAATCTTTATATTATTACTGTTGTTGCTGTTATTATGATTTAAACAGTTAGACCGATTTTCTGTTACCTGTGAGCAAAGGAACTGTGATTGGTATGTGAAGTAATATTTTTAGATTTAAAAAGATTGTCAGTTCAGTTTAACATATACTTAAGAGGCAAGATACTTTAGTTATATTATCTCTGACCTTCAAAAACAAACAAATGAACAAACTCACAAATGCAGAGCTTATCACAGAACTGTTATGTGGTTGGAACTAATAAATGATAGCTATGATGATTCATCTCCATTTCAGTTATATTGCTCTTCAGTGTTTAATAATGGTAATTGGGTTTTTAGTTCCCAAAATGTGACTTTTTTTCTTGCACAGAAGTTAATGCTGATAGTTTCTTATGATTGTGTTAATGTTGAACTGACAAAAGGTATAAATTTTATAACTTAGTTTTTATAAGCCTTTACTTTTAACTCACAAATCTTGTTGCTATATTTGCAAATCTAATAATGGTGTAAGAATTTTAAGCACTTAACTTCATTTGTTATTTAATTAATGCTCAATTAGTTTATAAATTTTATGGATCAGATCTCTCAAATGTTAACAGTATATAGAAACTTTATTAACTAGATATTTTTAGACATTTCAAACAATTATTACCAATTTGAAAACCAGTTCTCCCAAATAATTCAAACACCTATTAAGCAAACTTACAAGTCTAACATGCAAGATATTTGCAATCTTTGTGAAAATCTAATAAATTTAATAAATTAGACAAATTTAATAAAGCAGATTCTCTTATCCATTTCAAACATCTTAAAGCAGATAAAGCATATATGAAGCAACACAATGACTATAAAATAGCTTACACATGCAAAAATCAATTCCACTTAAATCTATACTTCCTGGAGTTGGACACTTAGTTACCCAACTAAGAGGATGGTTACCCAAGTAACCATCATCAAGGGCCTGCTGTGGTTACTTGTGTAAAACTTGGGATCATCAGAAGGTTACCAACTCAGGTTGGGGTAGGGACTGTGGCCTGGGGACACTATCTAGGTGTTACTTAAAGAATGGTACTTCCTAAGCCACCAAATAATACCTTCCAAGTCTCCTCCTATAATCTGGTTTTAGTTGCTTCATCCCTGGCACACTCCAAGCTTGTAGATCTCAACTGGGATACAATTTAGTTTCACAACTCAATTTATCATGTGTCTGTCAAGTTTCATCTTTACCTACATTTTCAACTTTGTATTATTTGATTTCCATAGATGGAATCTGAATTCTCTAGCTATATTGTAACTTACATCTTTGCTGCCTGATTTGACATAAGAAATTCAGCACCCTCTTTTTTTGTGTGTCTCAGCTCTATCCCAAAGTAATTTTTGGAGAACAAAAACATCTTTTCTGCTCTTAAGTTGTTATCATTCTAGTAGAGAGAGCCAAGACATATACAAAAATCACCTACACTAAAAGGCAAAAATGAAGAAGACCATAAAAGTGTTGTAAGCAAATTTCTGTAAGATCACTGTGATAGAATTCTAAGATGGTCCCAATGAACGTTGCCCCCTGGTGTTACTCCTGAAATTATGTTACCTCACGTGGCAAAAAAAGGATTTTCCAGAGTAACTGAGGTTAGTAATTAGTTGACCTGAAGACAGGAAAGCTTTCCAGGTGGACCTAACCTAAACACATGAGCCCTTTAAAAGAAGGGAGTTTTCTCTGGCTGGTAGCAGAAGAGGAAGTCAGAGAGTAAAGCAAGAGAGAGAAGGAATGTGCAGGAAGCTGTCTGTTGTTGAGATGGAGACAGCCCCAGGGGAAGGAGCTGAGAGTGGCCTCTAAGGGCTGAGAGTGGTTCCCTAAGTGACAGCCTCCAGGGAAATGGAGATCTCCATCATAACCACAAGGAATGGAATTATGCCAACAGTATGAATGAGTTTGGAAGGAATTCTTCCCCAGAGACTCCAAAGAAGAGCCTAAACTGACACTTTGATTTTAGCTTTAGGAAACCCTAAGCAGAGAACTCAATTGGGCCTGCCCAGACTTCTGACCTACAGAACTCTGAGCTCATAAATGGATGCTGGTTAAAGTTGCTATGTTTGCAGTAATTTTTTATGCAAAAATAAAAAACAAATACAATCACAGAAAATTTCTACTTCGGCTTAAAGACTCAGTTTATTAAATTTTAACATGTGCGTGCGTGTGTGTGTGTGTGTGTGTGTGTGTGTGTTTATATGAAAGCATCTTTTCAGGTAGGGAGATCTCAGACTCTAACATCTAGTGTTTTCACGTGGAACTAGTTGATGAGACTAAAAAGTCGAGATTTCGTTGAATTAGGGAGGGTTTAGGAATCTGAGTAAGAAAGTTTAATTGAAAAAAATTTCAAACAAAGCTACGGAATTTTCCTCTTTTGGCCTTGTTATTTTCTTTTTGGCATAAGCCATTAAAATGAAATGTCTGTTTTTTTCTTGTAAATTTGTTTGAGTTCATTGTAGATTCTGGATATTAGCCCTTTGTCAGATGAGTAGGTTGCGAAAATTTTCTCCCATGTTGTAGGTTGCCTGTTCACTCTGATGGTAGTTTCTTTTGCTGTGCAGAAGCTCTTTAGTTTAATTAGATCCCATTTGTCAATTTTGGCTTTTGTTGCCATTGCTTTTGGTGTTTTGGACATGAAGTCCTTGCCCACGCCTATGTCCTGAATGGTAATGCCTAGGTTTTCTTCTAGGGTTTTTATGGTTTTAGATCTAACATTTAAATCTTTAATCCATCTTGAATTGATTTTTGTATAAGGTGTAAGGAAGGGATCCAGTTTCAGCTTTCTACATATGGCTAGCCAGTTTTCCCAGCACCATTTATTAAATAGGGAATCCTTTCCCCATTGCTTGTTTTTCTCAGGTTTGTCAAAGATCAGATAGTTGTAGATATGCGGCATTATTTCTGAGGGCTCTGTTCTGTTCCATTGATCTATATCTCTGTTTTGGTACCAGTACCATGCTGTTTTGGTTACTGTAGCCTTGTAGTATAGTTTGATGTCAGGTAGTGTGATGCCTCCAGCTTTGTTCTTTTGGCTTAGGATTGACTTGGCGATGCGGGCTCTTTTTTTGGTTCCATATGAACTTTAAAGTAGTTTTTTCCAATTCTGTGAAGAAAGTCATTGGTAGCTTGATGGGGATGGCATTGAATCTGTAAATTACCTTGGGCAGTATGGCCATTTTCACGATATTGATTCTTCCTACCCATGAGCACGGAATGTTCTTCCATTTGTTTGTGTCCTCTTTTATTTCCTTGAGCAGTGGTTTGTAGTTCTCCTTGAAGAGGTCCTTCACATCCCTTGTAAGTTGGATTCCTAGGTATTTTATTCTCTTTGAAGCAATTGTGAATGGGAGTTCACTCATGATTTGGCTCTCTGTTTGTCTGTTGTTGGTGTATAAGAATGCTTGTGATTTTTGTACATTGATTTTGTATCCTGAGACTTTGCTGAAGTTGCTTATCGGCTTAAGGAGATTTTGGGCTGAGACAATGGGGTTTTCTAGATAAACAATCATGTCGTCTGCAAACAGGGACAATTTGACTTCCTCTTTTCCTAATTGAATACCCTTTATTTCCTTCTCCTGCCTGATTGCCCTGGCCAGAACTTCCAACACTATGTTGAATAGGAGCGGTGAGAGAGGGCATCCCTGTCTTGTGCCAGTTTTCAAAGGGAATGCTTCCAGTTTTTGCCCATTCAGTATGATATTGGCTGTGGGTTTGTCATAGATAGCTCTTATTATTCTGAAATACGTCCCATCAATACCTAATTTATTGAGAGTTTTTAGCATGAAGGGTTGTTGAATTTTGTCAAAGGCTTTTTCTGCATCTATTGAGATAATCATGTGGTTTTTGTCTTTGGCTCTGTTTATATGCTGGATTACATTTATTGATTTGCGTATATTGAACCAGCCTTGCATCCCAGGGATGAAGCCCACTTGATCATGGTGGATAAGCTTTTTGATGTGCTGCTGGATTCGGTTTGCCAGTATTTTATTGAGGATTTTTGCATCAATGTTCATCAAGGATATTGGTCTAAAATTCTCTTTTTTCGTTGTGTCTCTGCCCGGCTTTGGTATCAGAATGATGCTGGCCTCATAAAATGAGTTAGGGAGGATTCCCTCTTTTTCTATTGATTGGAATAGTTTCAGAAGGAATGGTACCAGTTCCTCCTTGTACCTCTGGTAGAATTCGGCTGTGAATCCATCTGGTCCTGGACTCTTTTTGGTTGGTAAACTATTGATTATTGCCACAATTTCAGAGCCTGTTATTGGTGTATTCAGAGATCCAACTTCTTCCTGGTTTAGTCTTGGGAGGGTGTATGTGTCGAGGAATGTATCCATTTCTTCTAGATTTTCTAGTTTATTTGCGTAGAGGTGTTTGTAGTATTCTCTGATGGTAGTTTGTATTTCTGTGGGATCGGTGGTGATATCCCCTTTATCATTTTTTATTGTGTCTATTTGATTCTTCTCTCTTTTTTTCTTTATTAGTCTTGCTAGCGGTCTATCAATTTTGTTGATCCTTTCAAAAAACCAGCTCCTGGATTCATTGATTTTTTGAAGGGTTTTTTGTGTCTCTATTTCCTTCAGTTCTGCTCTGATTTTAGTTATTTCTTGCCTTCTGCCAGCTTTTGAATGTGATTGCTCTTGCTTTTCTAGTTCTTTTAATTGTGATGTTAGGGTGTCAATTTTGGATCTTTCCTGCTTTCTCTTGTAGGCGTTTAGTGCTATAAATTTCCCTCTACACACTGCTTTGAATGCGTCCCAGAGATTCTGGTATGTGGTGTCTTTGTTCTCGTTGGTTTCAAAGAACATCTTTATTTCTGCCTTCATTTCGTTATGTACCCAGTAGTCATTCAGGAGCAGGTTGTTCAGTTTCCATGTAGTTGAGTGGCTTTGAGTGAGATTCAAAGTGGGCGAAGGACATGAACAGACACTTCTCAAAAGAAGACATTTATGCAGCCAAAAAACACATGAAGAAATGCTCATCATCACTGGCCATCAGAGAAATGCAAATCAAAACCACTATGAGATATCATCTCACACCAGTTAGAATGGCAATCATTAAAAAGTCAGGAAACAACAGGTGCTGGAGAGGATGTGGAGAAATAGGAACACTTTTACACTGTTGGTGGGACTGTAAACTAGTTCAACCATTGTGGAAGTCAGTGTGGCGATTCCTCAGGGATCTAGAACTAGAAATACCATTTGACCCAGCCATCCCATTACTGGGTATATACCCAAAGGACTATAAATCATGCTGCTATAAAGACACATGCACACGTATGTTTATTGCGGCACTATTCACAATAGCAAAGACTTGGAACCAACCCAAATGTCCAACAATGATAGACTGGATTAAGAAAATGTGGCACATATACACCATGGAATACTATGCAGCCATAAAAAATGATGAGTTCATGTCCTTTGTAGGGACATGGATGAAATTGGAAACCATCATTCTCAGTAAACTATCACAAGAACAAAAAACCGAACACCGCATATTCTCACTCATAGGTGGGAATTGAACAATGAGATCACGTGGACACAGGAAGGGGAATATCACACTCTGGGGACTGTGGTGGGGTCGGGGGATGGGGGAGGGATAGCATTGGGAGATATACCTAATGCTAGATGACACTTTAGTGGGTGCAGCGCACCAGCATGGCACATGTATACATATGTAACTAACCTGCACAATGTGCACATGTACCCTAAAACTTAGAGTATAATAAAAAAAAAAAAATTAAAAAAAAAAAAAATGAAATGTCTTCTAGGTTGGATAACACATTTTGCTATTATCAGTGAGAGACATATTTGGCTTATATGATTTATCCTTTTGGCAAGTTACTTAGCAAGACTAAGAGAATGGAGTTCGGGGTAGGTTAATGCTGCTAGGGAAAGACAGGAATAGAGAAGACAAAGACATAGAGTTGTTCTTGGGAGACAGGTACAGGTGGGATCTACAAAGAGAAGCTTTCGCACCATGCAGAGGCAGAGGGTACAACACAAAAGGGAAGTATAAGTGCAGAAAATATGATAAAGGAGGACAAGGATGTGTGACTACACTGTCACTTTTGTACAGAGCTTGCTTGCACCTAAACATGAGAACAAACCCCATGTGCCTTTTATTTTCCTCATGAAATCCCATGTACAAAGAAATGGAAAAAAAGTTATAAAACGACTACTTTTATGTTGTATATACCTTCCCCCCCTTATCCTTTCTAGGAAGCTGTAATGATCAGCAATGTCTTTAACTCATGAGCACTTTTAACTTTTTCAAAGCATAGCCTGTACAAAGATCTTTCATTTCCTGACTGGTCATGAGGATGAAGTTTATTGTCTTTTTATTGCTACTATTTGGACATTTTTATACAGTTTTCTCCACATAGCGTAGAACATGTTACCCCCTGTAATTGCTTTTATATACTACTTGACTTAAAGATTGTTTCAAACTTTCTTACTCCTAAATCATTTTTATTTTTAGGCAGTTAGAACAACAGCTAGATGGTTCTTGAAAAGTACCTGAGTATTAAAGTGGAGGGTGTTTTTTATTCCTTTCTTATGTTCATCTACCTAAAATAAAATCGGTACTTTTCAAAGGAATGAGATGAAAAATATTTTGAGCCTTTACCCTATTTAAGCCCAGTTGTTATTATAAGTAATACTTGTATATGTATATTAAACTTTCTGGCAGATGAATATAATTAACTTTCATGTACTTTGCTTTTATATTAGTTAATACTTTTTATTTTACTAAGATTTAGATTGGACAGTATTCTGATGATCTCATCACTGGTACTTTTATGGGTGATAATAACCATTACCATCTGTGAGATGTCCTTAGGGTACCAAGAGTTTTATAGAACCTATAACATGGCAAATTCCTACTCACAGTCTTATTCAAAAACATATTATTCTATACCCTATCACTTTTAATGGTGAAACAATAACTCAATTTCGCAAAATATTTTATCCCCAACTCTTTACCTTTGTCATCCACTAAGGTTTTTAGTTTTTAAAATTAATGACTTCAATCTTTATTTTAATAACATTTTTATTATAAAAACTCTAACTCCGAGAAATGGTTATAAACTTACACTTTTCCTAATAGGAATGTAAGTTTCTCATCAAGCACCAGGCACTCAAGTTACTGGAACCTCAGTGTGCAGGCATAATTTCTCAGGTCCACAGTCCCTGTTCTCAAGGGCTCAAACTGAAAAAAAAAAAAAAAAGGTATGCAAATAAATAAAGGTAGGTAAATAAGCTTTGGACTGTATATTCATTATATTGCCAATGATTACGTGCATTCATCTATACAAATATCTATATTGAAAGACAATATGTAAAGAGTTTCATGAATAGAATAAGCCAAGTTCTGTAAGAATGTGGGGGAGGGAGGGTTTGGGTAAGGAGGAAAGAATGGAGTCATTGCCTTAAGATTATGGGACTTGGCTGGGCCCAGTGGCTCACGCCTGTAATCCCAGCACTTTGGGAGGCCGAGGCGGGCGGATCACTTGAGGTCAGGAGTTCGAGACAAGCCTGGCTAACATGGTGAAACCCTGTCTCTAGTAAAAATACAAAAATTAGCCGAGCATGGTGGTAATCCCAGCTACTTGGGAGGCTGAAGCAGGAGAATCACTTGAACCCAGGAGATGGAGGTTGCAGTGAGCCAAGATCATGCCATTGCACTCCAGCCTGGGTGAGAGAGGGACTCAGTCTCAAAAAAAAAAAAAAAGATTATGGGACTTGTCCTGACCCTGACTCCTATTAAAGAGACTTTGGACATATTGTTTCATAACATTTCTGGGCTTCAGTTTCCCCATTTCTAATTATAATTATTGTAATAACAACAACAACAATTATTATTTATGAGGAAGTTAAGAATAAAAGCTCCTGATATATACAAATTGATCAATAAGTATTATTTTATATTTTCCTCATTTGTTGTCTATAATGTCTCTAAAATAAAAATTAATATTAAGCTTCCTTATGAAAAAGATTCTTAGTCCCAAACAGGTTTTGATCCACATATCACATAAGGTGACAATGTGAATGGAGAGAAAGGAACTTGCAGGAAATCTCTTCCAAAAAATATTTTGATGACTTACTGATTAACCAAAATTTACATTGATATTTTCTAAACCAAAAACTAAAACAAAATTTTTGACCTATGGTTATATCTCAATTTCAAATGACCTGGGCTGCAAACAGCAATACTTAATCAATACAGATATTTAATTATTTTACATGTCAGTGTGTTGGTAGTAGGTAGGCAGTTCCAGCTTTGATCCAGTGACTCAGTGACCATAGTAGGGACTCAGGTTCTTTCCATCTATTCACTTCAACATTCTCAACACAGTCACATTTTATCTTCAAGTTGTCACACAACTGCCACCATAGTCTGTGCATAATGTCCAGATTGCAGAAATCCTTTTCACTACACATTAGGAGAAAAGAAAATCCTACCCTCAGAGCTATTTAATATAATACTCGGTGATTATGATTAAAGAAATTACAGGTCAGTTCCCTGGGATTAATGACACCTGTGCAACAGAGCAAGCATGTCAGAAGAACAATGAGATATAGGATTTGTGTTTTTTTCTACCCTGACATTTTGCTTCCTGTTGCTTTTAATCATATTACACATGCAGTTATTTAGCTCTCTGCATTTGTAAGTCAGAAGCACTGTACTAACATTAGCTTAATAGCTGTAAAAGCCTTGAATTGAGAGGCTATTTTAAATGTAAGTGGAAGCCATGGGTCCTCCACCTCTTTAATTCTGAAGAAAGTTTACATTTTCTAAGTGAAGAAGTTTGAGTGACAGGAGGGAATAATGCCACAATATTGTGGTTCTCTACCTGCCTTTGCCCTGAAGCTCGTGCTATTCTGTGATGCTTGGATGTGGCTGTTGGTTGGGGGACAACTACTTTCCTCTTTGTGGGGCTTTGTGTATGTCCACAACCAAAACACGGTTACCTATTATCAACACACAGTGAGCACTGACTGTGCGCAGTTTCCTCATCTCTAGGAAAGCATTCATCCCATATGGAACGTGATGAACTAGACTCAGTTATAATGCATCCCTGGAAAGTTTAAGGTTAAGGGATGCAGGCTGCACAAACGTCACAGCAGCCATCAGCCTAACAAGTAGGGCTAGATGTTCTCTGGGATTTTAACCATGGTTTCTGAAATCAGTTAGGTAAGCCAAGAAGCTGCAAATTCTCATCTGAAAGTGTAGAAGCATAATTGCTTTTTAACCTTTGGAAACAGCCAGGTTCTGCTCTAGCATTCATATTATTCTATAAATAGCCATAGAATGGGATCATACATGACTTTCATCTCTACGGCATCTCACTTACCAGGTGCTAAGTGGGAATCACCTGGAAGACTTAAGATGCAGATTGCCGGGTTGTCCCCCAGAGTTTCTGATTCAGGAGGTCTAGAGTGGGTTTTTTTCATTCCTTTATTCTTTTCTATTTTTTTAAATTGACAAATAAAAAATCATATGTATTGGGTATGTACTATATGTTTTGGAGTATGTACACTGGAGAATTTGTATTTCTTATAAGTTCCCAGTTAATGCCAATGCTGCTGGTCCAGGGACTACACTCTGAGAGCTACTATCATAAGGAAATGATTTAGAATTCTGGTTCTCCCCATATCCTGCTTTTTTGGGTGAGTCTCATTTATCCAAGTGTAAGTTGGATTTTTTAGACGACAGTGGGTCTAAATTATTCAAACACTTTAATTGTGAGTCAGCACTGGGAAGAGAGCACTGGCAGTGACATTGGTCTTGCTGAAATTGGAGTCCGTTTGTGCCCTTAATGCAATCTGGCTAAGCCAAGGCATGGAGGCCTGAAGCTAGAGAGGCTGCAGGTGTGCAGCCCATGTGTGTAATTCAGTTAGGGAATGACAGCAGTGTCACACAAATCCCCGCCTTGGCTCCAGATAGGAAAACACATTTCCCCTGCTCAGTGGCAGGGTTTTTCATACCTCTTTGTTTGGGGTTTGTAGAAGTGGCAGGCTCCCAGGGAGGTGTTGCTGTCTGCGAGCTCTCAGTGGTGCAGCAAATTTTATCTTTCCATAGGTTAGATCGACTTGACCTGAGGGGGGCTGCATTTCCAGGAGAAGCGCTGTGTCTTCCTGGGGCACAGAAACGGCTCCACACACCTACCACTGTTCTTTTATGAGAGGAGATTGATTTCCCTGTGAGTGTATGGATGTGTGTGTGTGTATTTAAGAAAAACCTCCAACACCTTAATTGCAGGTTCCTTAATAGCACTGTATGAAAACAGTCGTAGCCTACAGGCATTTATATAATCTGGGTCCTTAGAGTATCTCTTACACAGCTTTTTGATCTTTGAGGGTTTTTTTTTTCCTCATCTACTCTGCTTAACTTAGATGAAATTTGTTTTCCATCTGTGCCACAAATTTCCTGTTAAAATGTCTAAAAATTTCTGTATGGGAAAAGCAGGATAAGCCTCTAGGTTTTTGACTATATTGATGCTCTGTGATCTCTACTTTTCCTTTGTGTGTCTGGAGCGCTATGTGGAGAGGAAATGCCTTGTTCTCTGAAAATGAAAGGAGCTTCTCTTGATGCTCCAGATAAAAGGTTAGGCTTATTATTTAGGCATCTGTGAGTGATCAACTCAAAAACCTTAACTATGCGGGGATAATTAATACTCTCCTAATTCTGTACTTCACAGCCCAGGTCTCTCCCAGACGAGAGTGTGGTCAGAAGGAAGTCATGTATGTCTGTCATTACATCAAACTCAGAGGGCTACAGAGGGTCTTGTTGGCACATACATGTTATTCATGTATGTCAAAGCATCTCTATTCCACATATGTAGTTAATGTTTGAATTCCTTCAATCAGCCTCTGCTTGGACACAGAGAAAAGGAACTTCCAGCTTCCTGGGACAGCCCAATATATTTGAAGAGAACTTCAATTAGGTGTATTTCATTCATGTATTTGTTCATTCATTCAACTGTCACAAAGCACATACAATGTGTCAAACAATCCTAAGTCTTTGGTATACAAAGATGGATAAGACATGATTTCTATTTCGAAGAGAGAAAAATCTAACAGGAGAGAAATGCATGTAAAAAAAGAGTAATCAACTAGTGTGAGAGGGTTGTTGTACATACTTCAGGTAGGAGGAAGGAGCTAGGGGCCACAGCACAGGTAGGGAGCAACTCTTCCCTGGATGGCAGCTGGGTAGGTAGAAGGTGAGAGAAGGATTGGAGGAAGCTTGACAGAAGAAGTAATCTGAGCTAAACCTTGAACGATAAAAAGGGCACTAAGGAAAGGAGGAGTCAGGAGATTCCAGAGACCCAGGGCATGTGCGAATGTACAGAGTCATGAAGCTATGTGGATCCATTGAAGAAACACCACGTGCCATGGCCTTGGTGGAGTAAGCATGGAGTAATGAAACAGGGGCTGGAAAGGCATTCTGTTGCCACTTATAAAAGGTCTTGTACATTACGCTATGGAGTTTGGACTTCATTACCAGTAGTCTCCAAAGTGAGATAAATCAGTCTACACAGAGTTATCTACTAGGCTGAGAAAGAAAATATGAGAACTTGTATTGATAATTATTTTTTTCAACAAATAAGAAAGAAATTAAGCTTTGCTAATCTGTACTTTATGAACTGAAGGTTGGTACATTAGGCAAAAGCATTTTCCCTAACATATATTTCTGTTGGGGAATATAGTACGGACACTTCTAAGATAAAATGGACAGAACTTGATGACTGAGTAGTTATAGAAGTGATGACTCAGTGTTTTCAGTTTTGTTTGAGTGATAAGGAGATGGCGGGACTGCTTACCACCAACAGTTGTTCCATCTGTGTCCTTCACAACGATACCCAGCAGAGGGGGTGGGAAAGCTAAAGTCTTCTCCGAGCACCACTGTCCTCTCTGGTGCTGGGGTGAAGCAGGCTAGAGAAGTGCTGTCTTTTGTTAATTCATCCAAAACCCAATGTGTGCCCATAAGGTCTCTGGTAGTGGTTCCATCCAGTGGCACAGAGATTGAGGAGGAGTGGGTTGAGGGTGTAGGGAGACTCAGGTTTGATTTTAGGCATGCTGTCTCTGTACTTATTAAGGACTTACAGCTGGGATGTCTAGTTGACAATCAAAAATACGGATCTAGAGCTCAGAGGAGGGCTGGGGTCCAGAGAAGAGAGCAGGATTGTGAAACTCATCAGAGAACAGGTGGTAATTCAGGTCATGAGCATGATTAGGATCATAGGTGGGCATGTAGAGTGAGAAGAGGCAGGCATGACCTAACTGAGGGGGCAAGCAGATGGTAAGGAGCCATTAGTGGGACAAGAAATAATCTAAGGCAGAAAGCAAACGAGGGAGGGTGGCACCACAGGAGCTATGGAAGAAGAGAACTTTAAGAAGGGAACGGCCAATGGAGAAAGAGCAAATCAATGAGAAGAAAAGTTCTCTATGGGATTTGGAGTTAGGAAATTGTTAATTCCCTTAGAAAATTACTTCATTGGAGCAATGAGTGCAGATACTTGATTAAATGATTAAAGACTGAAATGGAGGGAAGAAAATCAAAATTGGAAATGTAAAAGATATACATTATTAAGAAGTTTGCATAAGAAGGGAAGGATAGAGATTAAGGTCATATGAACCTTCTCAGAAGCCCTTGAAATGTCATTGAACAGATATTGATTTCTTCTTAGCCCAGTGTTAAGATCTGTGTCTCCCCTTATGTGTGAATCAGGCTCTCTGACCTCCCAGGATATTTTCCCTATTCAGTTGCTTCGCTACATTTCATGTCCAAAATTGAACCAGTTTTCCAGATATGCACACACCACGATTTTGTCTAAAAGTTAAAGACATTTTCCAATTTGTTTCTGGTTCTCACTCTAATGATAACTAGAGCTTAGTGTCCCTTTTGGCTTTAGCAACACATTGGCCCCACATCTTCAGGATACTTTGTAAAGCAATGTTGCCCTGCTCCAGAATTTGCATACATGTACCTTGCACATAAAAGACACTGAATATTTGTTAATTGAACCAATTATGTCAGAGACTATAATTTTGGAAGCAATTTTTCCTCTGAGTGACCCATCTTGAAGCTCTCATGTCATATTGTACTCCATACAGACTCAATTGATTCCTTCAGTTACCATTAAACCACCTAGAAACATCTACTGTCTTTGCAACCCTGAAGGTATTCCTTCTTCTGTATTCCCTCTTCCTGATCATTTATAAAATATATTAAGTGGCACTTTTTTCCAGAGATGCTACTTTGTATGCTTCTTTCTCCAGAAAAACACTTATTCGGCCCTAAACTTTGACTTGTTTCAAAATCTCTTAATGAACATTCCCCCCAATAAGTCCCCACCCCAACTCAGGCTGACAATGTTTTAAATTAAACTTTGACTTGTTTCAAAATCTCTTAATGAACATTTCCCCCAATAAGTCCCCACCCCAACTCAGGCTGACAATGTTTTAAATTACTTTTGAAATAAAGCCTTGTTTAAGGTTTTTGAAACATGGAAATAAATTGAGTTTCCTGGAATCTCATATTTTCACGCCTACCACCTCCAAGCAGTCTGGTGGCTCTATCAGGAATAATTTCCTCTTATAAAAATTGTAATGCTTTATTTGTGATACATGCTGAAATGTTTAGTGATTCTATGGTTTATGGTATTATAATTTTGCTCAGTTTTCCTGAGGTCTGTCTGCCGGGGACCTCATCGACTGTGGCAGGATGCCTGTTTTGATCAATATGTACACAATTCTGGCTATAAATTCCCTCAAAATGCTTGGGTGGGTGCCCATGATTTATTTATTTCCGTTTGCCAATTAGGTCTAGAGAGCCTTCCTAATAGACTCACTGGAAAAAAAACAGAAAGAAATCTTGGAAGGAAAGAGCTGAACTGAAAAAGAAAAACCTTTCTGCTCTCTAAATTTAGAATAAATCCATCACCATTTTTGTTTTACCTCAATTAACTTTATCCCGCTGAATTCATCTAGTCTCCAAAGAAATCTTACAGCCTGGAGAGTTCCTCCATTCGTCTGGACTTTTAAAAGTTCTTGTGAAATGTATAGTCCATGTGATCAGGAAATCTGAGTATACTGGTAGTTCATTATTATGATGGCGCTTGTGGGTGTCAGGAACGATAATGTCTGTATTTAATGGTATTTGTGGCTTGCCCCTGGCTTGCAATTACCTGCCAAGTGTAGTGGCTAGATTGAAAACATGATTGCAGCAGCCCATTTTCTCTTAGAAATCCTACTGGCTCCTTGATGATAATTTGACCTAAAGCATTGTGAGTGTGAGAGTGTGAGTGTGTGTGTGTGTATGTGTGGTGCTGTCACTTCCTCATTCCTCCTGTGCAATAAAAGGAAAGTTCCCAGGGAATTGAACAATTCAAATAATAAATTTTTTCAATATTGGCCTTGCTCAGCCAGCTGAATATTCTTGATAAAACAGCAGTTGCCTGTCCTGAACCCACACCTTAGGCAAGAGACACCTGGTATGTGGAGAACGTGCTGAGTTCACATGTGGCCATGACAGCACAAGGCTGTAACCGAAGTGTCTGGTCTCAGGAGAGGTTTATTGTCCACAGGTCTTAGGGTCTGCCAGGAGCTGCTGATGATTCAGCCATTTTGTATTCATTTGTCTATTATGAGTGGGACAGCAGCTGTTACTGTTTTATACTCTTAAAATAAAAAAAAAAACGCTGCACAGTTTAGACAACTATACAAGATGACCCCCACTGCTAAAAGTTGAAATACTGATGTTGCATTTACACAGAGTTGGCTGTGAAAAAACAGAATGCAAGGCAGGACTTCGGATTCCCACTGCTGTGCAAAAGGAGAGATAAAAATAATAGCAGCAAAAACTCATGCAAACACATCAACCTCAAGGCTAAGAAACTTAATGCTCCTGAGTGGAGCAGTAGAAAGCTTATGACCATTATTCTCTATTTGATGTATTGCTTGGACAGTTTTAATTATTTTATTCCCATTTAAAATAAAGGTTAATTAAAATGTCTACCAGCTATTAATAGTTCACATGTTAAAAAGAACTTTTTTCTATGTTTTATACGTTTTTCTTGTAAAATCAATGTACAATCACTATAGACAATTAGGGGCAAGAATAAGCAAAATAAAAGAACATGAATATCTAACAATTATATTCCTCTTACAGCATGCCTGGCAAAATTGTAAATGATTTTTACATATAAGCTCATTTAATTGTCAAAGCAACCTTATGAGGTAGGTTTTTACCTATCCCTATTTTACAGAAAAGGAAACTGAGGCACAGAGAGGTTAAACAACTTGCCCAGAGTCCAAAAAACAGCCTGGCTCCAAAGTCAGCGCTGCTCACCACACTGTTGTACTTCTCTCTACGACCATCCACAGTGCCCCTCCCTCAGGGATAACTTACAGTTAAGCTTAGCATATAGTTTTCCAGATCTTTTCTTATTAATATAAACAAGTAAATATATGGTACACTTGCATATCATGCATCAATATATTGTCTATGTATGTTATATTAATTTCCTAGTCTGACTCTCAAAATAGTCTTTTTAATTTTTCTGACCTTATGAATGAGGAAACAAGCTTAGAGGGGCCGAGTGACTTGCCCCAAATCTCATAGTTGTGGTGGAAGAGAAACCTTTTCCCAGGTCAGCTACCTCCATCAAAGGGATTCTTTTCTCTGCACTAAGCTGCCTCATGGTCTTTTAATTTTGACTGTGATGAAAGCACACAATTTCATCGTGGTGGGATGCATCACCAGGTTGAAGATGATTAGGTGATGTAGTGGGGGCTCTCAGTGCCCTGCCAGCTCTGCCTTACCAGCTGGTGCACCTGTCTCCCAGCGGCTGCAATGCTGGCTAGTAACCATGCCTAGCTGTCCTCCTCTATAGAGAATCGCCTTTGGTCACTTCACCCCTTGCAGGGTCTCGTCTAGAAAACCGGACTTGGGACAAGTGGTGTTTGATAACATGACCCCCCTCTGGGGAACAAAAACCAGCACCCACCTTGAGGCAAGGGCTGCCTTTTGGAGTCCTACAACAGTTTTCATAATTTTTAGCCATACAGTTTGCCTTGAGTCAGTAGGGCTTTTTTCTTTCAAAAAGTCCAGTGACTATTTTTTCAAAATGATTTATTTAAATATTTTGTTAAGGTGACTTACATGGACCAAAGAAAGCCCTAAAAACCATTTCAAACACGTTTAATTCAGGGTCATTTCTCATGTTTCCATATTTCTAAGCTTTAATGCTTTTCTATTTCAAATCAATTACTTTCTATTTATTCTTTAAGCACACATATTTCAGAGTTATAACAGAAGAATAGCTATGAATAACTACCCTGCCTCCTTCTTTAATTTCACAGTACTCCCATCTGCCTTCCATCTCCCTTGCTGAAAATTTTCTCTGCTCCATCACCACAATTTCACTGTTAGCTTTCTCCTACCAACTTCTGGTACATCTCACTATTAAAGTTTTCTCTGTTATAGCCATCCTGTGTGCCCTCTTCTAAATGAACACTTCACTTCTGCCTTAACTGTCCTTTTGAAATCATATCTAGGCACAAAGTCCACAAATTTTTAATTGATTCTTTAATCTAGTTACCATCATGGTTTTATAAACCCGACTTTCTGAGGTTTGCCAATAGAACTATCACGTAGAAGCAGATCTGGAATATTTGGGCAATACTGTAATTTTTCAGAAGTGGAGATTATACTGCCATGCAATTTAGTGGTGTTTGAATTTTCCTGAATTTCTGTTTCTATCCCCATCCCAGCTGACTCATAATTTATTTATTTACATTATTGCAAGAGCCTCTGAGCTGAGCTTCCTGTCTCCCTTCCCAATCCAATCAATCCATCCTCTATAGAGCTACAAAAGAAACCTTCCTAACTCTTTTTCTCACCATGGTACTTCCGTGTTCAAAAACCCATCCCTGGCTCCCCATTGCCTAGGGAATGCTGTATTAAAAACGTTTTAGGCCATCAGACATTGGTATAACATTTGTAGGACTGCAATAAAAATACAAATAAGGTCTCTGACTCACCCCTCTTCTCTCTCAATTCCACAAGGGGCCAAATAGGCATGTGTGTGAATAGCCACCCTACAGTCAAATGCTGTCCATAACCCTCCAGCCTCCACCTGCAAACAGTCACCTCTTGGCCATTCTTGGATTTAGGGATGTATGCTGGTGGTGTGGTCTATCCTTAAGAGGATGGACTAGAAGAAGAGGCTTGTTCAGGACCTGGAAGTGGGGTAAGGCCATGGAGGCAGCAAATTCCAGGGTCCTGAACATGAGAATGAGCATGGTCTAGAGGGGGAGGACAGTGCTGGGAGAAGGTGGACATGGTCCCTTATCCCTGTGGATTACTAATCCTGTGTAGAGGGGTATGGCTGGAGGAGGGTCAGAGCAGGGCCTTCTCAAACACGAGGCTAAGGGAAAGACTCTCTTGCAAGATTTAAGGGCAATTCCGAGTCTGGCATGGAAGACTTTTCATGATCTGATCCCAACTTACTTTTTCAACATCATTTCATACTACTCCCAGGTGTGACCCATCCACAGTGACCAGTTTAGTCCACTTACATGTCTTTGGGGCATGATCTTCCTCATCCACCCATGTGACTTTCCTCATGCTATATACCAGATCCCAAGTTCACAGGGACAGGTTAAATAAATGAGTGCCATAGGCCAAGTGGGGCCCACAGAATGCTAGAGAGAGCAAGCCTCATCTAAATGGCGGTGCCAATTTTCAACTCCAGTCAACTGGTAGCATGAAAGACTGTGCACCCAGTATTGTCAGGTCAGTCTTCTATTAGGTCAGAAATACAGATTTTTCATAAGAAATCTCTTGATTTTGAAATATTGACAACTAATTAAAATTAAACAAGAAAAACACTCTGCTGTCCAAATCAAGCTCCACTGTGGCTCCAATTTGGCCTGTGTATGTTCTGTAACCTGATATTGTCTGTATGCTTCCCTCCAACTCTGTGAATCTTTCCTTTCTTCAATCATGGACTCAAATTCTACCTCCTCCTTGAAGCTTTCCTGGATCACTCCAACCCATAGAACTTTCTTTTTTCTCTTAACTGTTCTAGTACTTATAATCCAGCCCACTAATTTGACACCATTTGAAATCCTCTTTTTATATCTCGAATTGAATTGAGATTAGAGAGTAACAGTCATGCCTTTTTTTTTTGTTTATCTCATAGGGTCTAAGAGTTCCAGTCTCATGGTATTTGTTAAATCACCAATGAATAAAAACAAAATTGTACCATGCTTTAAAGAGTATATACTTTAGACCAAGGAATTTAGCTTCTGAGAATTTCAGTTAGGGAAAAAACATAAATTTGTGCAAAGATGTATGCATGTAACAGGATATTTGTCATAGTCTTAGTTATTAAAACAAAAATTTGGACCAACTAGGTATTCAGCAAAACAGCTTGAATAAATTAAAATTGTAGTATACAGTGTAATTGCTTGAATGTCTCTTAAGTCTCCTTTTCATCTATAATTTTCTCCTCCATTTCTGTAGTGTGTGTTTACTTGATAGTTTTTTTGTTTGCTTGTTTTTTTGCTGTGAAGAAGCTCTAGTTCAGTTAGGTTTCACTCATCAATTTTTTTTGTCACAATTACTTTAGAGGACATAGCCATAAATTCTTTATCAGGGCCAATATCTACAATAGTAGTCCCTAGCTTTTCTTCTAGGATTTTCTTAGTTCGAGGCTTTACATTTAAAACTTTAATCCATCTTGAGTTGCTTTTTGTATATGGTATAAGGAAGGGGTCCAATTTCTTCTACATATGGTTAGCCAGTTATCCCAGCATCATTTATTAAATAGGGAGTCCTTTGCTCATTGCCTATTTTTGTCAGTTTTGTTGAAGAGCAGATTGTTGTAGGTGTGTGGCCTTATTTCTGGGTTCTCTATTATGTTCCATTGGTCTATGGGTCTATTTTTGTACCAGTATCATGCTGTTTTGATTACTGTAGCCTTATAGTAAGGTTTATAGTCAGGTAATGCGATTTCACCAGCTTTGTTCTTTTTGCTTAGGATTGCTTTGGTGATTCAGGCTCTTTTTTGGTTCCATATGAATTTTAGATTTTTTTTCTAATTCTGTGAAAATGATGTTGGCAGTTTGATGGAATAGCATTGAATCTTCATCTTGCTTTGGGCAGGATGGCCATTTTAACGACATTGAGTTTTCCAATCCATGAGCATAGAATGTTTTCCCATCTGTTTGTATCATCTATGATTTCTTTCAGCAGTGTTTTGTAGTTCTCCTTGTAGCGATCTTTCACCTCATCGGTTACATGAATTCCTAGGTATTTCATTATTTTGTGGCTATTGTAAATGGGATTGTGTTCTTGATTTGGCTCTCAGCTCAAATGTTATTGGTGTATATAAATGCTAGTAAATTTTCTACATTGATTTTGTATCCTGAAACTTTACTAAAGTCATTCATCAGTTCTAGGAGCCTTTTGGTGGGCTCTTTAGGGTTTCCTATGTTTATACTCATATCATCTGTGAAAAGAGATCATTTGACTTATTCTTTTTCCTATTTGGATGCCTTTCTTTCTTTCTCTTGCTTGATTGCTCTGGCTAGGACTTCCAGTACTATGTTGAATAGAAGTGGTGAGAGTGGGAATCCTTGGTCTTACTTCAGTTCTTAAGGAGAATGCTTCCAGCTTTTGCCTGTTCAGTATGATGCTTGCTGTGGATTTGTCATAGACAGCTCTTATTATTTTGAGGTATGTTCCTTTGATGCCTAGTTTATTGAGCATTTCTCTCATGAAAGGATGTTGGAATTTAGTAAAAGGTTTTTCTGCATCTATTGAGACGATCGTGTGGTTCTTTGAAAGGATAAACAAGATTGATAGATGGCTAGCTACATTAACAAAGAAAAAAAAGAGAGAAGATCCAAATAAACACAATCAGAAACAACAAGGGTGACATCATAACCAATCCCACAGAAATACGAACGATCCTCAGAGACCATTGTGATCACCTCTATGCATACAAACTAGAAAATATCGAGGAAATTAAATTCCTGGGAACAGACAACCTTCCAAGATTGAATCAGGAAGAAATTGAAACCCTGAACAATTGGTTAAAAAACCAATATTGAGCTCCAAAATTGAATTAGTAATAAAAAACCTACCAACCAACCTGTGAACCAGATGGATTCACAGCTGAATTCTACAAAACGTACAAAGAAGAGCTGGTACAAATTCTGCTGAAACTATTCCAAAAAATTGAGGAGAATGGATTCCTCCCTAATTTAGTCTATGAAGCCAAAATCTGGCAAAGACATGACAAGAAAAGAAAACTATGGGTCAATATCCCTGATGAACATAGATACAAAAATCCTCAACAAAATACTAGCAAACTGAATCCAGCAGCACATCGAATAGTTAATTCTCTGTGATCAAGCGGGCTTATTCTGGGATGCAAATCAATAAATGTGATTCATCACATATACAGAATTAAAACCAAAAACCTGAATCATTTGGACTTCACCCTAATATTCCTGCACACGTTCTTTGCTTTCTGATATATGATGTTTCAGGCTTATCTTGTTCTTTTCTTGCCCCAGACCTGGAATCCAACATTTCTTCAATTAATCCTATTTTCTTTTAGTGAAAAATGGTATTTGGAGTCTATAATGTTGGCATTAGAGGTGTTCTTTGCTCCTGGGTTAGTCATTGTCTCTAGGCTTTTTCAATATGCAGAGCTTAAAAAACTACAGTTTTTGTTTCAGATAAAATGTATTGTGAGTTCATATTAATACTTTCAATTTAAACTCAGAGTTTTGGCCTAATCTCTAAACATCAAAAATCTGATCCTGGTTCAAACAGTTAAAAAATGATATGACAATCGGGAAAAAGTAAGCAGCATATTTATATTTCATGATACTAAGAAATTAATTTTAATTTTTAAGTGTGACCATTTTAATTCTATTCCTTAGAAGAATCCCGTGTCTTACAGAGATACATACATATTGAAATATTTGTAGATAAAATTCCCTCATGTCTGAGATTTGCTTCAAGATAATCTAAGGAGTTGAGTAGGAGAAAGTAGATAAGTGTATGGATGAAAGAAAATTGGCCATGAGTTGATAATTGTTGAATTTGAGTGATAGGAACACGAGGGTTATTATTTTGGTGTCTCTCTATTTTCATATGTTTGAATTTTTAATTGGACATTTTAAAGAAAGATATGCTAGAATATTTCATGACATAGATAATGTTCATATATAATTAAGTAAAAACCTAGTGTTGTAGGACAAAACTGGATTCTTGTCACACGACCAGGAAAGATTTGGCTCACAGCCACTTTGAAGGGTGAGGGGGAATGGAATGTATTGGGCGAAAAGGATAAAAGGAAAAACAGCTCAGCAAAGTGCGATGGAGTCCTGCTAACAGGCTGTCCACCTCACTGACTGAATCCCAGGTTACCACACAGGAACAAGACGATCCAGACTCCTCCCTGCTGCAAATGGCATGAACTTCCCCAGGCTCCACCCCATCCTCCCAGTGTGCAGGCCAGTAGGAGATCCTCCGGTGACCCCGTTTTACTTGGCTGTCTCATTAGCTGTACTACTTTCATAAAATAAGCTCAAATTTCTAGAAGAAATGTAAATAGATATAGATGAGGCTAAAAGGACTTACCCTAAATGATGAATGTTCCTCTATGTGTTACAGATTATTTTCATTTTAGTCTTTGTGTCTTTCTGCATATTCCAATTTTTCAATATGAAAATGTACTACTTTCATAATCAGACAAAAATATAAATGTTATTGACTAAGTGACTTTAAAACAATGAACAGTACTCTATTTCCTTGTTTGTATGCTTTTATGATAATGGCATTTTCCATTTTCAAGCTATTACCAAATGCTTCCACACTGTAGCTGCTTGAAAGCCTGTATGCCCCCTTCTCCTCTGTCATTTTCCTCCTCGCTCCATCTTCCCTGCCATAGGAGGTTCTCATCTTTCTTCCGCTGTTGAGTGCCCAGAGTCAGAAAGTCGGGACCTTAACTCAAAGTGAAAAAGAATCTAACTTTACTCCTCTCTGCTCAGTGTTTCTTCTCTGTTCTCTGGCTTAATTTTATTTTTCTGTCTCTAGTTTTTCTTCCTTATAGCTTATGATTTTTATCAGTAATATGAATAAGAGTACATGGTATTTATAGCTTTTGCTAAGTACTAGACAGTTTGCTAATTAGTTGACATATATGAACTTTTTAAGTCCTCAAAGCAGTCTTAGGATGGAAGAATTACTCCTAATCCTCACAACAACTCTAAGACATAACGATTTCTAGTCAAGCTGAATGGGTGCAGCTCACAGAGACCTTAGGCAACTTCTCCAGCCACATTTCAGGAGTGAGACAGAATTGGTTCGAATTCATGTGTGTCCAGGTCCATAGCTCATAGTTTTTTTCATTGTGACTTGCTGCCTTCTTTTAAAAAGAAAAGAAGGGAAAAAAATATCAAATTATTCTAAAGCAGAGATCTGCTTTAAACAGATAGGGTAATCTTATAAAAAATTTTAAAAGGGATTATATTTGTTTAATTGTTATGTGTCCTATGTGTATTTCACATAGCTGTTTCATTCTCATAAAAGTAGAATTCAAAATGCACAATAATAAATTTTCGGGTTAAACAGAGTCTTATTAGGAAGGATACAGGGAGCCAGCAATCTAGGGGTGCTCTGTGCAGAAGGGAGAAGAGCCCCAAGGCCAAGGAGAGCACTCCCAGGGAGGCTGGAATGAGAAGGGGAAAGGAATTCAACCCCAGTACGAAAGGAAACCCTTGAGTCCTAGGGCTGTGCCTGTCTCGGGGATTCTAAAAGCAAGCAAAGGAATGAAAACACATCCTTTTCAAGGCAATGTCTGCACGTCAACTTTAACATTCTGAGTAACATTATCTTGGGCACAGTTCTCCTTAATGAAAACATGTTCTTCTAAGCTGCAAAAAATAGAAAGTCCCTAAAACATAAAGCATGCCTTTTAGAAATGAATTCCAAAACTAAACAGTAGATCTCATTGAAGGCCCTTTGCTAACAAGTTGAGTTCATCTTTGGTGTTTCTCTCTTCACCCTTTGGAACAGTCTGTCCCCACTCTTCCTTGTCTGATGGCCCAGTACTGCCATGATCCCAGCATAGAGTATCATGCATGGACAGCCCCCTTCCTTGGGCTGTTAGGGCCTGCTGGGCAGAAGGATTTTTCTTCTTATCGAACCACACTTCTTCTTCCTTCACAGACTAATTTGGTGCCCTTGAGAGCCTGCTGCCACACTGTGTCAAGGAGGAATCTAACAAACCATGGAGATGTTACCCATGAGTCAACTTTCCTAGGGGAGATCACCTGTATTTGTACAGGAGTCTTTAGGAGAAGATGCCTTGAGCCAGAGGAGACTGTTTAATCATGGAAATTTCAGACTTTGGGAGAAGCTAAAATAGATGATGTTTAGGGGCAGATATAGCCATATGCACCCATCAAATCACACTGTATATGAAGCAAGACAAGTGGACATGAACTCTAAACAGAAAACTGTTCAGGGCACAGATGTCTGTGGACATTTTTATTATATTGAAAGAGAGAGATAGGGCAGTAGGGGTAAAGTAGGAAAGGAGAGAGAGGAAGAGGATACTGATAATAAACAGTACAATATAGGAAATATGCACCTAGTAAATGACTTCTAAGTAGTGGGGGAACTACTGGGTTAAATTCATCTGGAAGTTTTTCTCTTCCCACGGAAAGCCAGGAGAGTCCACAAACCCATCCCATCATAGCAGGGCAAGTGGAAGAGGCATTCTCAGGAAGCTACAACAGACATTTTTAAGAACTACAGAAGAGCTATCCCTCTTGAAGATGAGAAGTGTGCCCGAATCTATGCAGTAGCACAAACAGAAATAGCTAGATATAGGGGAACATATTTAAAAATACTAAAAAAAAAAGAGAGAGAGAGATTTGAAAAACCTTCAACTGTAAACAAACGCACACACATTCTCTGAAATTTTATCTTCCCCCCTCATAAGGTTCTGACTTATTCAGCATGAATTATGGTGGGACATCGGAAAATATGGTCAAGTACAAATTAGAAAGGGGTCAGAAGACAATGCAGACTCAGATCCCCAGCCAAAACCAGAATCAAACCAGACCCTCAAGGCAATTTTGGCTAATTAGTTTTCTTACAAAGAATGTTTAAGAGTCTTTACTATGTTCCAGACGCTCTGTTTTATTCAGATGAATTCAATTTTACAAAACACTTCAAAGTAGGTACTATTTTTATCTCCATTTTATAGATAAGTCCTTTGTGACTAAGAAACAGATAAGATAATTAAATTGGATCAAAGTCATGCGACTAGGATGGCAGAGCTAGGATTCAAACCCAGAGAGTCTTAGCTCCAGAGTCAGTGCTCCACTGACAGCTACTAGTGACAACAGTTTATTCTATATCAATTAATCGACTGTGGAAAACAGGACTACATCCTAGTGTTCTAGGCCCCAAACACAGAAGCATGAAACTGATTATATATTCCTCCCACACCCTTCCCCAGAAGTCTCTTTCGTTGATGGACACTGACATCTTTACCCTTAGCCCAGCCCTTCTTGTGAATGGCCACAGTATTCCTTTCCTTGCCCTACTTCCTCAGTGGGGCATCTTTGTCCATGTACTTGGACATTTAATATTACTCTTCCTTCTGGAAATGCAGAGTCTATTCTGTCCTTTCACTTCTGGGACAGCCTCTCTTCTTTACTTTGCTCAAGATCAATGACTCATTTCTTGAATGCTTTCCTATATGTTTCTCCTCTACCAGGCAGCCACCAGCCTTCCAGGAAGCTAAGCAGTATTGAAAGGAAGTTGAAGAAGAGGAACCCAGAGTCTCCTTCCAATATCTGGAAGGTCAGGATCTTTCTAACAGGATGCATGGGAAGTACACCAGGCTATAACTCTATTATTTAGAGCTTGTTGTGTACTTAGTAAATTGTGGATAATTCATTTCACTGTATTGGCTCAACCACTCTCAGTTTTCCTTTTTGTTATTTTCACTGAGTTCCATGGAAGAACGTCTTCAGCTACAACAAAGGTAATAGATAGCTACTACAAAGGAGGTCCCCCCTCAACTCTTTTTTGCAATAAAAATTCTGGGGCCCAGAGTGTGCAGAGAAGATATACACCAGCATCCCTCCCCTGGAGTGGAACATCCCTACCCTGGAGTGGAATAACAGGCTTATTCCTAGTCAGATGCCCTATGCATCTATCACTTATGGAGCATATGACGAAGTAGGGCAGGACAAACCCTGTTACTGTTTCTTAAACCACTCTCACATCTCCACATCAGCAAGGTGTCCGAGTCTACTCAGGTAATGGTGTTTTGACTGAGGGGGCCTCAGTTTGTGCCCTGAGAATCCAAGAGGAATGGAGAACTTGGCCTAGCCTGTTGGGCTGACTGCCCTTACTTGCTAACTGACAAGGGAATGGGAGCAACATAGCAGAATATTTATCCTGGCTTCCACATATAAAGGCTGGTGTCCAGGGCCAATTGTTGGCAAAAGAGAGTAGTGGGAAGATGTTTCCCCCATCTAAGATTCTCAGCACCCTTATTCTAATCCCTTGTCCTCTTTATCCCACACCAAGTTCCCCAAGCCTTCTCTTTTTCCTTTACTTTATCCATATCTGAACTCCAAAAGGATCTGCGATCATTCACCATATAGCAGATGTGGCTGGCAATGTTATAAAAACAAACTGGGATCCGCTTGCCCGGCACAGCAAAGACAAACACTGACATCAGGATAGCAGCAAAAGAAAGCCAGGCATTTATTTGCAGGGCACCAAGCAATGAGGACCAGGCAGCTAACACTAAAATCCTGACCTCCCCAGTGGCTTGCAGGCAAGTGTTTTTCAAGGCAGGGGAAAATTTCAGGACAGCGGATGTTATAGGTAAAATCATAAATCAATACATGGAGGTTACACACTGGTTTTGGCCTAAAAGGGAGAGATTATCTTGAAGTGGGGCCTTGTGAGTCATGGGTAGATTCAAAGATTTTCTGATTTGCAATTGGTTAAGGAGGAGCTTTGTTTAAAAATTTAGGGTTGGCTGGGCGCGGTGGCTCACGTCCGTAATCCCAGCACTTTGGGAGGCCGAGGCGGGTGGATCACTTGAGATCAGGAGTTCGAGACCAGCCTGGCCAACATGGTGAAACCCTGTCTCTACTAAAAATATAAAAATTAGTTAGGCATGGTGGCAGATGTCCTTAATTCCAGCTACTCGGGAGGCTGAGGCAGGAGAATCACTTGAACCAGGGAGGCAGAGGTTGCAGTGAGCCAAGATACTGCCATTGCACTCCAGCCTGGGCCACAGAGCAAGACTCTGTCTAAATAAATAAATAAATAAATAAATAAATAAATAAATAACAAAAATTTAGGATTGGCAGAACAAATGTTAGCTCCCTGAGTGTGACTTTTCTCCAGGCCCCTCAGGAAGAAATTTAGGACGAAGAATGATAGGTAGAGTTCGGTATTCAGTTCCCCCTTATCTGAGGTCTATGTGCTGGAGGATCCATTTGGTGCAGGTCCAGGTTTCTAAAAAAACAACTCAGAGATATATGTTAAGATGTTGTCTTTAGTTTCTATAGGGGAACCAAACATCCTGTGAATCTAGCTTCCTTGGCTACTGTTTGTAGGCTACTATTACCTTCTAGCTTAACAAGTTGCTTATTTACTTCTCAGGGCTAGCTAGGTGCCTGGAATTTCCCTTGGAGAAGCTCAAGATTTTCCTCTATTTTTCTGCTTAGGGAGACCACAAGCCTCTTAGAGAGGGGTCCCTGCTCCAACTCAGCAATAGAGCAAATCTCCTATTTTCTTCCTGAAGGCTGTGATTCTCAGGCTGGCTAGAAAATGCAGATTCTGAGGTTGCAGCTCTTCTGCCTATCCCACTCCCCAGGAATCTAGCTGTGAAGAAGATCCCACAGAGGATTGTAATGTTGGGTGTTGCAGGGGAAAAACTGACTGAAGGTTAAAGGTAAAAAACCCTAAGGATATTACTGCAAAAAAGAGTGGTCGTGCCGGGCTTGCGGGGAGACCTGAGGAAGTTAGACCTCCGGAGTCCACCGCCCCCCTTTCACTACCTGTTATGGGTTTAAATTGTGTCCTCCCCCAGAAGATAGGCTGAACTCTTAACTTCTAGAACTTCTCAATATGACCTTATTTGGAAACAGGGTCTTTGCAGACATAATCAAGTCTAGATGAGGTCACACAGGAGTAGAGTGAGCCCTGATCCAGTATGACTGGTGTTCTTATAAGAAGAGAAGAGGCAAGTAGAGGGAAGGCAATGTGAAGACACACAGGGAGAGTGCCATGTGATGTCACAGGCAGCATGGAGTGCTGCACACAAATGACAGAAGGAAGGGTTTTCCCCTACAGGTTTCAGATGAGCACGGCCCTGCCAACACCTGGATTTCAGTCTTTCAGCCTCCAGAGCTGTGAGGCAATACATTTCTGCTGTTTTAAGCCATCTAGGTTGTGGTACTTTGTTGTGGTGGCCCTAGCAAAATAATATACTCTCTCTAAGTCCCACCCCCGCCCCCTTCCTCCCAGGTTGTAGGATGCAGGCAGCTGCCTCTCCCACACCTACTAATGCCAGCCTTGTTGGGGTGAGCACTACAGATTGTCTTCTTGGCTTCCTCATGCCTCAGTCCCCGGTCTGGCCTCCTGAGGGTCATGGAGTCCACGGGCTTCTGTTCCTTCTTGATCTTTCAGAGAAAGATGAACAGGATGTGGACTTATTAGGGCACTTTCAGGATGAAACCAAAGGCCCACTGGCTGTGAGGGGAACTGGAAGAGAAACCAAGTGAAGCTCCCACTTCAATCCTAAATTGTCTGTTTCTCTGGAGCTAGAGAAAATGAACTTTTTGAGTAAAAGCAGGACCCAGCCATGCTGTTGCATGTCTAGGAATTCCCTGTGGTTCTGAGCTTTCATTGCATTTGTTCCAGGGGTGTCTGCAATTTGTCACAGAGGTCCCTGACTTTCTAGGCAGAGGGAGAAAAGGAAAGCGAGTGGGGTGGTGACTGTGGAAGTGCTCTCTAAACATCTCCAGGGCCATGCAAACTGTCAACATTAAGGGAGGTGAGGTGGTGACCATAGTGGTTATTCCAGAATGCCTGTGGTCTGTCTCCTCTCACCTCACCCTCTGACACTCTTACTCTTGGAGTAGGTAGCTGTGTAGTGTCCTGGCAATAAGAATAACAGTCATGAAAACTGTCATTTATCAAATGCCATATGCTGGATGGCTATTATTTCATATCCTCATTGTAACTCTGCAAGACACAGGAAACCTCCATTTTACAGGTTAGGCTCAGACAGAGTACAGAATTTGTTCAAGTTCACAGAACTGTGGGTGGCTGAGCTAGCAATCAAGGCCAGGCACGACCATCTTTCCACTAGGCTGCACCACTTGTCCACAAAGACAAGCACACCTTCTGCTAGCCTCGGGCAACAGAATTCTTAGTCACATCATCCTTGTGTTAGGATAGCTATCTGGAGGCTTAGCCCTTTCTTTATTGCTCTCATAATCATTCTCAGTAGTCTGTACATTTTTGTGGAGAAATATGTACAGAGAAGAAAAGAAAGTAAATTAGTGCTTACCCACATTAAGCAGAAAGAACAAAAAGTTTTCTAATCACTTCATAGTTTTGCAATAGTTGCATTCATCAAAACCCAGTTTGCATTTTAGTGTGGAAGACCTTGCTATACCTGTGGTATCCCTGCCACACAGACTGCCCAAAGCATTTCTGAAAATTGACACAGTGTTCAGAATTTAGGGGAGCAGAAAAATGGGAATGATCTGAACCCCATGACGTATCTAGGTATGGCTCACTTCTTTAAATGTTCAAGGGCCTCTGGTTAAGGAGAAAATTAATTTTACTCCTAAGTTTTTGAATAATATGTGATTAACGTTTTAGCCTTCTTCATACATACTTTTAACCTGTGAACCTGTTTAACAATTAAGCACATGTGGGAACTGTAAATTTTGGTTGCAGGTAAAAGAGAGAAGGTTAAATCAAGGGGATTAGATAAACAAGGTTACCTCATTTTAAGAGTGGGTATTTAAGACTTCTCATACGAAGGTTATTTGTAGAGATGGCATTGTGGGTGGTTCTCTATTTTTCAGTGAGGCTCTAACTGAAGAGAATGACCCCACTTTGTTGTGCAAGATTTCAGCTAGTCATGAAATAGAGCAGTGGTCTGCCGGGCGCGGTGGCTCACGCCTGTAATCCCAGCATTTTGGGAGGCTGAGGCGGGCGGATCACGAGGTCAGGAGATCGAGACCATCCTGGCTAACACGGTGAAACCCCGTCTCTACTAAAAAATACAAAAAATTAGCCGGGCGTAGTGGCGGGCGCCTGTAGTCCCAGCTACTCGGAGGCTGAGGCAGGTGAATGGCGTGAACCCGGGAGGCGGAGCTTGCAGTGAGCCGAGATCGCGCCACTGCACTCCAGCCTGGGCGACAGAGCGAGACTCCGTCTCAAAAATAAAATAAAATAAAATAAATGAATAAAAACAAAAAAAAGAAATAGAGCAGTGGTCAGCAACCTTTTTCTGTAAAGGGCCAGAGAGTAAATATTTCAGCCTTTTTAACTCCTCAGCTCTGTCATCTTAGCCTGAAAGCAGGCATAAACACAAATCAATGCATGGCTGTGTTCCAGTAAAACTTTATTTGCAAAAACAGTCCGTGGTCTGGTTTCAGCCTGCCGGCTAGGGTTTGCTGACCACAGATATAGAGCATCCATAGGAAAACGTTATTTAAACATTGGAACCGTTGGCTGAAATGCTCTGCTGTTGGAGGTTTTTTTGTTTTTGTTTTTGTTTGAGACGGAGTCTTGCTCTGTCCCCCAGGCTGGAGTGCAGTGGCGCTATCTCGACTCACTGCAACCTCCGCCTCCCGGGTTCACGCCATTCTCCTGCCTCAGCCTCCCGAGTAGCTGGGACTACAGGCGCCCGCCACCATGCCCGGTTAATTTTTTTGTATTTTTAGTAGAGACGGAGTTTCACCGTGTTAGTCAGGATGGTCTCCATCTCCTGACCTCGTGATCCGCCCGCCTCGGCCTCCCAAAGTGCTGGGATTACAGGCGTGAGCCACCGCGCCCCGCCTGTTGGATGATTTTAAAAACAGATTGGGCAGTTACTTGTTTGGGTTGGCTTTCATATGCTAATTCCTCCTTTAACACATTGGTGCTTCTGACATGCAGAATCTTCTACTCAATATTGTCACAGGACTACCAGTCACCTAATCCTCTTTTTCTATGAACTTCACTTAAGTTACAGGGAAATTTTTCTCTACAGGTCTTGCCCAATGTCTTCTAAACAAAAGATTGTGTCTGAATGCTAAGAGGGTCATGGCCACAGAGAGTGGGAGGATTTGAGCCCTTCAAGCACTTGGGTAGGAAAAAAGGAAATTAACTCATCAAATCTTTTCTCTCAAATAGCAAAAATGCAGTAGATTCTTGCACAATGAAGAATCCTCTGCCAGTAGGCTAAAAGTCCACCTTCCTGTTTCCTTCTGTGTTCTATCTGATTCATGATCCAGAAGGGCTCATGCATTAATGTGATGTTCACAGCATTTCCACATGGTAGCTGAGAAACACTTTGCAATGCTAAAAAGTTTGAATTACTCTTAAATGTGTATATATGCATAAATGTATATATGTAGGTCTAGACATAACATGCAAGAATCAAGATACTGATTCTTAACATTGGCAACTAGATAAACATCAAATGTTAGAATTATGAATATTTTATTATACATGCATTTTTAAAAGGTAATTACATTTTAAAAATAAAGTAATAAATTTTAGTTTCATATACTTTTTAAATTTAAAATGTATTGTCATATAATTCATATTCTGCCTTTTAATTTTAATAGATAAAAATATATTTTTTGGGAAACGTAAAATTTTTTTATTTGCCAATATAAAGTTTTACATTAACTTTTTACATTTTTATTAATCTATATTGAAGATTTTAATCAATTAGTTCATTACTGTCAATCGTATAAATTTGATTATAACAACATAATTTGTATTTTTATATTGAGAAGAGAAATATTCAATTTTATGGAGCAAGCAAATAATAATTCATAAATTATATATGTCTTTATTTTATTACTCACCCTTTCAGGATACCCAGTCATATAAAAAAAATAAAATGCAGTCATCTTTTTAAAATTTCTCATTATGAAGGTATCCTTAAAAAGGTAGACAGACAGGACATATTTATTAAACAATTTGTTAGCATATGGTATGAGGGTCCCCATTTGAGACAGCCAAGTAAAAAGGGCTCACCGGAGAATCTCCTATTGGCCTGTGCTCTGGGAGGACGGGGTGGAACCTTGAGAAGTTCTCACCATTTGTAGAGGGGAGGTGCCTGGCCTCTCCTGTTCCTGGGTGGGGACCTGGGATTATATCGTTGAGGTGGAGAGACTGTTACTGGGACTGTATCTTATTTTGCTGAGTTGTTTCTCCTTTTTCCTTTCCACCCAAAAAATTTCACTCCTAACCCTTCTATGTGTCCATGAGCCTAATCTTTCCTGGTCATGTGACAAGAAACCATTTTTTTTCTACAACACATTACGTTCTTGCTCCAGCCCCCACAAATATTAGTGAAGAGCCTATCTCAAATGACTATCTTTCATAGAAATGAAGATGTTTTGACTGATGCACAATTTTTATTAATTGACACAAGACCCAAAACTCCTTTTAGGTTTAATTCTTTTGTTGAAATTTTTTTCAAACATAACTCAGTTTGACAACTTCTTACCTGAATTTTCAAAATCCCCAAATCTCTAGAAATAAAACTTTTCTCTTTTAAAAAATGTATTTTGTGCCATCGTCATTTGGTGGCAAAACCTAACTGGTTTGACAGGAGATTATGTATAGCCCTTATGCATACTATTTATATTCAAATATTCATTTAGAGATATTAATGAGTTTGATTATGGGATCTGTCCCAGATCCTGCTTGGGGGGTTATGTAATATACTATTCATGCATTATGTTACCTTTCAAAAATCTGAAAAAGTCTGGATTTCTAACACATCTTGTTTAAAGGTTTCCCTGCCTCAGTAAAAGAGCAAACTAGAAACAATGTCACGTTTTCTTTAATGACTCGGTAGATTACCTTAGAACAGAGGCACAGTATAATAATCAATAATTCCTATTGTACAAAGATTGTACAATAAGATATAGTTAAATGGCAGAGGACTTTTTGCTGAAAGTGTACTGACAACCATGATCATTTTTTTAAGGTAAGTCCTGAGTCAACTTGTTTCCATCTCGCTTGAGTTTCTAAATAGTAGCTAAGCTTGCAAAACAATTATAGTCAAATGATACTATTAATTAACTGATTTGAATTCACTCAATTTTCATCATTTTGAATTTATTTTTTAGGATTAGGTCATACTCTAGCTCATGGGTGTATAATTAAATGTGGGTGTACAATTTTAAAAATCCAGAAATCATTGCACCAAACCATAAGCTTATGGAGAAAAGAGAAGTACTTTTTGATCTTTCTTCCTTCATAATGCTTTGCCTACACATAGTAGTCATTCAGTTGGTGTGGAAATGAATATTTTAGCCTACTGTTATATTTTGAGAAAATGCCACTGAAATCTCCATCATCAGAAACAATTTAAAACTGCCAGAACTTTAGTGTCAACATTCCTCTTGCTCTAGACTGTGAGTGGCTACACATCTATCTCCACACATGAGCTTCTTTTCTGTTTTAAGCCTAAAAACAGCAGCCATATTTGACATTGAGTTTTTTCAATGTCATATAAAATAATCATGCTCACTTCAGCTCAGATTTTATTGAAGCCATTATTGAAGCTTAAGTCTTTTGTGGACTCACTTTTGAATTCAACATTTCTTCAAGTGTCTCACAGCCATTCGTTCCACACTGTTGGTCATCCGAGGAGAAGGAACAAACCCTGGGGACACTTTCCTCCTTTGAGACTAGTGGACCTTGAGGCAAAACGACACCCACAATTGTAGTCTGAGCACCGGGAATTCCATGTAAAGAACATTTTAAAAATATTTCAATGATGTCCTGATTAGCCTCATCCAAGTAACCAAAACAATTCTTTATACTCGCACTCCCTTCCACCCACCCTCCTCCCTCCACTAGCCACGGGCTGGGAGAAAATATTTGCAACACACATATCAGATATAGAATATGTATCTAGAATCAAAAACAAAACAAAACCCAAAACACTCCTTATAATTCCACCATGAAAAGATAAACAATCCAATTTACAAATAGACAACAGATACCTTAGTAAAAATAATCACACTCAGAACCTATTTCTATGTTTCTTTTAACATTCTCCAATAAAAGAACTGTGGCTCCTGAGACAAATGGCTGGTCTCAGGGCTGGGGCAAGGGCTATACTAGATGAGCCTGGCTTATCTTGTAGTTTCAGAATGTGAGGAAGGGCTCGAGAAAACACAATGATGGGGATATATCAGATGGATACAGGAACTAAGTAAAGAATCTCCCAATGGCCAAAGCTGAAACAATGTGAGCAACAAAATCAATAATGAAATATTGATTTATAATCCATCCAAAGTGGAAAATAAATACTGAATGCATACTCTCCATAGGATATAAAAAATCATTGGATTTTAAAAATCTGGTTAAATAGACCAACCTACAATACAGAAGTATTACAAATAATTTATTCATACATTCCATTTTGAGAAGGTGGAGTATTACTCCCCATCATGTAAGTGTGGGCACTGCATAGCGACTTCCTTCCAAAGAGTATGGTATGGGAAAGGAAAACACAAGAGTAACTTTAGAATGGAGAAGGCTGACAAACACAACCTTCGCTGTGTAATCAAGGTTAGCATCAGTAGTGATAAGTCATGCTGATAGCACATTGCCGAGACCAGCTCGGTCGGGGAGACCCTAACCCAGTGGCGCTAGAGGAATTAAAGACACACACACAGAAATACAGAAGTGTAAAGTGAGAAATCAGGAGTCTCACAGCCTTCAGAGCTGAGAGCCTTGAACAGAGAAATTTACCCACGTATTTATTAACAGCAAGCCAGTCATTAGCATTGTTTCTATAGATGTTAGATTTAAAGTATCCCTTATGGGAAACGAAGGGATGGGCTGAAATAAAAGGGGTGGGTCTGGCTAGCTATCTGCAGCAGGAACATGCCCTTAAGGCACGGATTGCTCATGCTATTTTTTGTGGTTTAAGAACGCCTTTAAATGGTTTTCCGCCCTGGACGGGCCAAGTGTTCCTTGCCCTCATTCCGGTAAACCTACAACCCTCCAGCGTGGGTGTTATGGCCATCACGAACATGTCACAGTGCTGCAGAGATTTTGTTTATGGCCAGTTTTGGGGCCAGTTTATGGCCAGATTTTGGGGGACCTGTTCCCAACAGTACATACCCTTGATATGATGGGAGGAGAATGGCACTTTACTTCTGTGGTCTTCTTCCACAAAACCCACAACCCTAGTAGAGTCACATGAAAGCTATCACAGACTCCAATTGAGGGACCTTCTATAAAATGCCTAGCCTGTATTTCTCAAAAGTGTCAAAGTCATCAAAAGCAAAGAAAGTCTGAGAAACAGATGTCTAAAGGAGCCTAAAAAGATATAGCAACCATTTTTAATGTACTGTCCTGGATGGGATCCTGGGAGAGGTAGGGAATGACACTAGGTAAGAAAGGAAAGGAAGACACAGAATATACTATGAACTTTAATAATAATATATCAGTATTGGCTTGTTCATTGTGACAAATGTACCATACTAATGTAAGATGTTAACAGTAGAAGAAACTGGGTGTGTGGCATATGGGAACTCTTTGCACAATCTTTGCAACTTTTCTGTAAATCAAAAACTCTTCTAAAATAAAAAGTTTATTTTAAAAAAAATGAACAACAGGTTTGAACAGACGCCCCACCAACAAACACATACAAGTGGCTAAGAAGCACTTTAAGGATGCTCGACGTAATTAATCATCAGGGGAATGAAATTAAAACCATAATGAGATTTACTATAAACCCACTAGACTAAAATTATAAAGACTGACAAAAACAAGTGTTGGCAAGGATGTGGAGGAACAGGAATTTTTATACACCTCCAATAGGGATAAAAAATAGTACAACTAACTACTTTGGAAAACAGTTTGGCAGTTTCATAAAGTTATATATACACTGTCATATGACCCAGTCACTCTAATCTTAGGTATTTACCCAATAGAAATTAAAGCACAAATCCACATAAATAAAGACTTGTACATAGATGTTTATAGCCCCCCCTCAGAAAAACAACCCAAATATCCATCAATCAGTGAATGGATAAACAAACTGTCACATATCCATATAATGGGACCCAACTTGACAATGAAATGTAACAAACTACAGCAACATCATGATAAAATCTCAGCAACATCATGCTTAGCCACATGCAAGAATGTACATGCTGTGTTATGCTACTTACATGCAATGCTAGCAAGTGTGCACTATATTTCAAGGGACAGAAAGAAGATCAGTGGTGCATAGGATAGGAGAGCCAGTATTGACTTGACAAGGGTAAGAGGGGACTTTGTGGACGGATAAAAATGTTCCATATCTTGATTGTGGTGCTTACATAAGCGTATGCATTTGTTAATGCTCATCAAACTGTACATTTATAATGGTGCATTTCATCTTATGTAATACAATTTAATATAGTTGATTTGTTTAAAAAAATAGAGGGAGTATTTGAAGGGATTCTGAGGGTGGCTCTCTGGGATCCCTCAGGGATGACAAATTGTCCTTCTCTGCTCCATGGTCCTTCCACCATCCCATGCCATCCCACTCCTCCCACCACCACCCCAGAAAGTAAGGGAGCTGTTTGACATGCATCTCTTTGACAGTGAAGGTTCCTGCTCCATGCAATTTCAGAAGGTAGAAGGCTTGATGGCATAATGTATGCCAGTGGGGCTTGAAGAGATCCTTTAGTGTGCCTGGAAGAGGAAGGAGGAAGGAGGAAGTGGACATGCCTTCCCCTGTTCTCTGTGACTTTCAGGCACAGAAGAGGACCCCGATGTCTGCTGGAAGCACAGAGCTTTGTAGAGAGATCACAGGTGTACAGCAACCTGAGTGGGGGCCGAAGGGACACGCAGCTGCCCCTCTAGGGCAAAAGCATCCCATGAGGGAGCTGGCATGAAGCTGAACATGGCCTCAGGAAACCATGCATACAGCTACAGCAAGATAGCAGATGCCACGGAACAAAGTGCCACCAGATCAGGACACAGGCACCTCCTACTACTGAGGCTGCTGCTCCCAGCCACAAGAAGAGGAGTTCTTTCTCCTCCCCGCTGGGGTTGGAGTCGGTGAAGCTGGGATAGACAGTATTAGTTCAGGGAGAAAAAGCTTGTACCTATGAGTAAGGACAGCTAATGATATTGAATTTTGACAGAATTGTCAACAGAGAAAGCCTAAGACTTTAACAAGAATAGATTACAAAAATCAGTGGACTAGACTAAGATTTAAACAAAAATAGGACAAAAAATAAGACATATGCTCTGGGTAGATTTTAAGGTTCAAAGAAGTTTTGAGAATATAGCAAGCTTCATTAAAAAAAAATTTGCATGGATCTACTTCAGTCCAACTGTTACACTTACATTCAAATAGGATTGTTATGATACACTCTTTTGCAACCTGCTATTTTCACTGGGTTATATATCGTGAACATTTGTCCATGTCAATATATAGTCTTCTACAACATGGTTTTTAATGTCTGTGCAGCATCTACCACATGAATGTATGTGTTTTATTTAAATGGTAGCTTATTGTTAAACACTAAGGCTGTTCCAATTTTTCAGTATTATAAATAAGTTTGATGTAGAATCTTACACATGTATCTTTTCACACATCTCTGATTGTGCCCATTAGATAAATTCACAGTTAAGGAATTGCTGGTGCATGGGGTATTTGTATTTTAAGGCTCTTAACACCCTGTAGAAGGTTTGTGTTGATTTACAATTCCACTAGAAATAATTTTAAAGGCTAATTTTCTATTTATCTGTATCTCATTCTGACTCAACAATAAATTGAACTGGCTGAAGGATGCTCATATATCCATCTTTCTTTCATTATTATGTTATACTTAGGGTGAGTGTAGAACTTAAAATTAGCAACACTAGCAGTGTTTTTTATCCTCAGTTTAGCCACAAAAATGGCCGTGTTGGTGTAATGAGAGTAATAATAATGGAGTTAACCTTTAAGGAGAACTTACTGTATGGCAAGTAGCATTCACAGTACTTTACAGGTATTAACAGTCCTATGATGTAAGTACTATTATCCTAGTCATTTTAAAGAAGAGGAAACTGAGTAACCAAAAGGGTAAGTGCCTTGATCAATGTAGCTTTTCAATATTAATATGAATCATTCTTATCTGGATTGTTTCAGTATTTCTGTACATGGTGATTCTTTAATTTGCATCAGGTCTTAAAGAATTAAGGTCTTTCTGTTATACAGACTAAACACCGACTCACCACGGACAAAGACACTTCTGCTCTGAATATGAAATCCTGTGGTTGGATGGTCTTGGGGCCCCCTGTGGCAAAATTCTATAGACCCTGTCCCACACTCTGTCGTGAAAATGGGACTATATTACAGTTCTAATTCCCAAGTACAGCACTGTCACATACTGCCCCAGTCAGTTGTAGAGTTTTCCACAAGTAATTTGTTATAAGTAATTAAGTTCTGAAGTTTGCAAATGGAGCATTTTTCATGTAAATTGGAGTGGATGTGAGATTATCCTTGCCTAAGGTCACCTCACTCCCACACATTTCCATGTGCTCTCAGAGTAGGAGAGAAGTGGGTGAAGCCTTTGCAAGGTTGTGGAGGAGTGTTACCAGCCTGCAGCCCATCCTGCCTCTGCACCCGGGGAGTGGGTGGCACATGCATATATGTGGATCTCTGCAGGAAAAGCATGGGGAACCACAACTCCAAATGGAAGGAATAAAAGGAGAGGAAACAATTAAAACAACTGAAGAGTAGGAAAAGGTGTTTCTGCCTCAACGCAACTGAAAACAAAAATTAGACATTTTCATTCCCAGTCTTCTTTCCTTGATTAGCATCAGGAAGACAGATTTAGTTTCCTACCACCACCAACAACAACAACAAAACAAAACAAACAAACAAAAAAGCTATGTGTGCCCAGTAGGGAGAGATGATGAAAGCACCATGTTTCTGTGTTTATGTTTCAGCATGTCAAAGGGTATCAAGATGGCCATGAAAAGAATGGAACCTCCTAAAATCTTTGTTGTTAAAGAAATGTTTTCCCTTCAATGAACAGCTTGCCAAGGCCAGATAAGCAGCATGAAAAGCAGAAAAAAAATGCTTCTGTTTGCTTATTTAGAGAGTTGTTCTTAAAAATTCATCTGCTTACAATCTCCAGAAAGAAATTGCCATCCCTTGCCCATTGGCTGATCGGGAAAGGTCTCTTACAGTGTTAAATTGTCCTTTTTCTTCATTAATCTTTGCACCTTATGTTAAGAATGTTCTTGCATGCGAGTGAGCAGTTAGGACCACTGTCTGCTAATGAGGTCAAGGTTAAGGACTATAAACCTAATTAGGATCATTAACTGATTGTATTTTATAGTTAGAAACTGGACACCTAATCCCAAATAGACATCTTCCAATTTAACGTCTATGTTCTGGGCCAGCACCAGCCTAGCCTCTTCTGGAGAAATAACTCAAAGCAGTGTCATTTTGGTGTATCTTGGTATGTGAATGGTAAATCACTGTTATTCTCCAATATCAAAGAATAAACATGTTTTTCCCATTTAAGGGCAGCCTCATCAATAGTATTTCCAACTCTTAAACTCTTCCTATGGTTTTCAGGGATGTCCAATCTTTTGGCTTCCTCGAGCCACATTGGAAGAAGAAGAATTGTCTTATGCCACACATAAAATACACTAACACTAACAATAGCTGATGAACTTTTTTAAAAATCGCGAAAAAATCTCATAATGTTTTAAGAAAGTTTACGAATTTGTGTTGGGCCCTATTCAAAGCCATCCTGGGCCACATGTGGCCCTTGGGCTGCAGGTTGGACAAGCTTGATTTATATGGCAGACCCTCCCTGCTTTTGCAGGCATCTTGCCCCCAATGACTTTTTTTGGGGATTAATATCAAAGGAGCATCTACCTTTTACTCAATAATCCTCTAAATTTTGAGGTGGTCTTTCCAATGCAGGATACATTTCAAAAAATGTTTCTGCTTTTTTTCCTCTTGAAAAAGGTAACATATTTGCATTATAGAAAACTTTAAAATGCAGAAAAATATAAATAAAAATATTAAATCTCCCATGGACAAGGTGGGAAGAATTCTTGAAAAGAACTATGACTGAATGATGAGGCAACTTTTTGCACTTAAGTAATTTGATTAAATTATTGACAGTCCCCAGTGCTTGAATTCTACACTGCAGGAATGACTCCTAACTATCTCTCTGTGCCATTGTTTTTACGTAGTTTTTTAATTTAAAAACTGTTTTGACTGTTTTCTGTTACATAAATGCCAATCTCTGCTGAGAAATGCCATCAGATGCTTTTCTGTAAATCATAGCACAGAATGTATCCTTCTTTCCAAAACTACTGCCATTAAATATTACTGTCCTTGTAATAGAAGAAAGAGAGGGTGATAATTCTAGAAATGAAATATTTCAGAATAATCATGAATGAATGAACAGTAGTATTTACTACTTGAAGAGACAAAAATAAATTAATGAATTTGGGGATATAGGACTGTTCGTATCTAACATCTAAGATCCATAACCTCCACAAATCATAGCTGTAGAAAACCTTATTTCAAAACGGTGTGATGGATAAATAGACTTAAACCATTTTCATCTTTCTTGATTTACCTTGGTAGTGGCAAAATTTAATTATGTTGCCACTCTTAATAAGTCAAAGTCCTGGGACAACTGATTTGATCTCATGTTTCTACACATATCAGGAAGAAGAAACAGACATTTCTATGACTCTAAAGCAGAGATGCTTCTTTAGTACAGAATAATGATTTCTAGTTCCACTCCAATTCTAAAATTTTCAAAGAATGGAAGGCGAGAAAAGGAATGAGCAAGAAGGAAAGGAGCAACCAGTCTTTATGATAACTTAGGAGAGCTCAGTAGGTAAAGGGTCTGATGCATAGCAGGTGATCAACTCTTCCTTCATTATTGGCAGGCTCCCACAGGCAAGAGCACATCCTACTGGACCTGAGGAAGAAAATGATCTGTCCATACCCACTGCCTGGAGAATGATCTGTTGCCAGAAGCTGGATGACTTCGGGCCTAGCCAAATGCCAAGCTATGCTAAGGGAAGTTGGGGTTCTTGTCCTGGAAAATTGCAGAATGGTGAGGAGAATGTATTGTCTAGACACTTGCATTTCTCAGAGGTTGAATGAAAGTGTATTCCCAGGTTTAATAATAGCCTGGCATCCTGTCCTTATGAATAAGGCATATGTGTCTAACAGAGAAAGTCTTAACCCTTGAGAGGCAGGGTGGCATAAGAAAGAACCAGAGACCTATTCGCTGACCCCCGCTTTTGTTCACTTACATACTTGCTGTGTGACCCTGGACAAATCACTTCATCTCTGTGTCTTTGGTTTCCTAATGAGTGTAATGAGATCCTTTCCAGTTCTAACTTTCTGTGATTCTCCTCATATGTAGGGCTATAAACCACAATGCTGCTTACCAGTCCTGCAAGTGACATACAGGTAAAGAGTTGCTGCTTGTTGTTTTTTTCAGTTTGGCCGCCACAGACTCCAGGTTTTGTAACAAAAGTATATTAGTCCTTTCTTGCACTACTATAGAGAAATACCTGAAACCGGGTAATTTATAAAGAAAAGAGATTTAATTGGCTCATGGTTCCACAGGCTCTACAGGAAGCATGGTGCTGCATCTGCTTCTGGGGAGGCCTCAGGAAGCTTTTACTCATGGTAGACAGCAAAGCCGGAGCGGGCATCTTACATGGTTAGGAGCAGGACCAAGTGTCGGGAGGAGATGCTACACATTTTCAAACAACCAGATCTCACAATAACTCACTCGCTCAGGATCAGGAGAACAGCGCTGGGGCGCTTGTGCTAAACCATTCATGAGAACTCTGTCCCCATGATCCCATCGCCTCCTACCAGGCCCCATTTCCAATATTGGGGATTACAACTGAACATGAGATTTGGGTAAGGACATAGATCCAAAACATATCAAAAAGCAAATACATATACCATAGCTTTCTTGTTTTCTTCTTCCACTTCACACATAGCAATACTAAAGCTGAGCTTTTTGACAGTGGTGGCAATGGTAAGAACAATGACAAATAGGTCACTTCAATAAAGAAATGATAATGAGGTGGGAGAGTTCTCTGGCCCCCCCTTGCAGGGTGTGTGACAAGGGGTGCAGCTCTCTGTTCGACCTCCATGAGCTCAAACCCCTTACGGGAGGGGGAGTATGCAGACAGGCAGGTGCAGGAATTGGGGCGAGCACTTTTGGGCTCTGGCCCCACAGCAGCGTCTAGGGGTGGGTGCCTGCAACCCTAGTGTTACAATGCTGTTTTAGCTCTGCCATCCACAGATGGCTTAAGTGTTAACCAGCTCATTGGCCCCTTGGTACCCAGGCATCCCAAAAGAATTGGGTCACACACAGACTTGAAGGATGAATGCAGGGGTTTTATTGAGTGGTAGAGGTGGCTCTCAGCAGGATGGATGGGGAGCTGAAAGTGGCAAGGGAATGGGAAGATGATCTTACCCTGGATTTTGGCCATCCAGTTGCCAAACTCCTCTCTGACTGTCCCCAGCCAAACTCCTCTCAGCCTTCAGATGCTCCTTCTCTTCTCTCTTTCTCTGCCTCACCTTTCCGCCATTCATCTGTGTGTCTCCTCATCTCCTAGTCTGCCTCTGGAGCCTGGGGTTTGGGGTTTATATGGGTACAGGTTAGGGGGTATGGTGGGCCAAAGGGCAACTTTTTGGGAGCAAAAACAAGAATGCCTGTCCTCATTTAGGGCCGTGGGTATCCAGGCTTGAGGGTGGGGCCTTTGCTGGGGAATCGCCCTCTTCTACCCAGTATTTCCCTGTCTTCTGTCCATATCAGCAACTCACTCAAACCTTACTTTTGAAGTCTCTTTTCTGACTGGATGGTCAGCAGCCTTCACTCTTCAAATAGGAAAGGCCCAAACCAAGGGTTCCCCAACTTGCTCCTCTTTTCATGTCATCTGGATTAGTAAATGATGCCTCATTCAATCCAGTGCCTCAAGCCAGAAACTGGGAGAGATCCTTGACCTTGCTCTGTCCATCAGTCATCCTGTCCAATCCATCACCAAACTGCAAATAGCTTATCCACTTCTCTCAATTTCCACTATGGCAGGCCTTGTCCAAACCTTTATCAATCCTCACTGAGCTAGTGCACAAACTTCCTGAAGTCTCTCCACACTCACTCCCTCATCCTACCTCCTATCCATTCTCCCCACTGCAAACAAAGCAATCTTTCTAAAATACAATTTGGATCGCTTTATTCTCATTCTTGAATCTCTTAAGGGGGTATTCCCATTGCATTTAACATGATGTCACCAATCTTTACTCTGGTTTATCAGATCCCACGTGAGCTCTCCAGCTTCCTCTCCCACTCATTCCCCAACACCATTTCCTCCTCAAGGCTTCCTCATATCTCTCCATATTATGCCCAGGCCCATCCTGGACCCGGCTAACCCTTACTCATGCTGTATCTGTCTGTGTAAATGGCATTTCCTCGGACAGGCTTTCTTGACTCCCTCCTCCGAAGTATACCAGGCCCCTTTGTAATCATCACAAATTACAATTATGTGTTTGATTGTTCACTTAGTTATAACCCCTTTCTCTCACGAGGTTCCATGAGGGGATAGAGCACTTCTGTCTTCTTCATTACCATAATTCAGTGCCAACCACAATGGCCAGTCCACTGTATGCAAATGTTTGTGGAATGAATAGCCAGGTGAGGTCCCCTTAATGGAAGTTTCCTTCTTCTGGTTTATTTCCATCCTATAAGCTATTATCAGGAGCAACACTGAGGATGATCATTTCTTTGTACGTTTTTCACTTTTGCAAGAGCTCTCCCTATGAAGAGCTTTTCCATTTCAGCCTAGATAGGCCTTATTTGAAAGTGGCCATCTCTCTTCACACGCACCCTCCTTTGCTTAGAGATGCAGAGAGTTTAAGACTTTGCCAAGGGAGGTATGTCGTCAAGACACTCGACATGGTGATGTGGAGCAAGGCTCTGGGTCAGTCTCTACTGAGGTTTGAATCTTGGTTTTGTCCCTTTCTAGCTAATCGACTTTGTGCAACTAACTTGCCTCAGTTTTTTTCAACTCTAAAATATGGATAATAATATAATCTAACCAATAGGTTGTCTTGAGGATTTAATGAAGTAACAAATATAAAACGGTTAGTACAATGCCTGGGACATAGCAAGTGCCTGATAAACATTGACTCCTATTAATATGTTTCACTGAATCCCAGAGGAAAGTTTGTTCACGTGCTGAGTTCTAGGGCTGGAGAATTTCAGGGAAGGCATCTTTCTTTGTCTTCTGTCTCCCTTTCCCTCTCATTTACTTTACCCTATACCCCCATCCTGATGTGCTGTGGTCCCAAAAGGCGGCAAGCAAAACTATGATAGACTGTAATTCCCTACCTTAATAATTTGAAGTCATAAGCAGATTTGAAATTTACAAGCCAGCAGTATAAAATTGCTGATGACCATTGCTTAAACTTTGGCAAGATGAATTATGTCTAGAAATAATTAGTAATATGTTAGTCAAGTCACTCCTAGATAATGTTGTTGCATTGCCATTTAGTGACAGTTCAGGAGAGCGCCCTTACAAGAGGCTCTGTAGGCAGAGAGTAGGTGACATTAACCTTCTAAACAGAAGCCGCTGCACACCGAGTGCCAGAGTACCAAGAAGAATTTAACATTCCACTCCTACCGCCGTCTCCCACTTCCCGGCTTCGGCAAGGTGGTTTTAAAATGAGAAGCACATCCCGAGTACTCTGTGTAGGTGGTGGAGTGGGAGGAGGTGAAATGCAAGCTTTATTTTCCCGGCTGCCTGTCATCCGATTCCCCGCTTTCCTCCGACTTTCATGAGTGATGAGGTCATCCCGGTGCAGGAAAATCAAACTCCTATTTTTCAAACCCAATAAAGGCCAGCATTGTACGTCTGCGTAAACAGAGAGGCCAGACGGGCAGGGTGGCGGGAGGACCAGTGGCCCGCCCTCTGGCGGCCGCGAGAGACAGCGTGCCCCGCGCTCCACCAAGCCGCGACAGGGAGGCGGGGAGGGTGCGTGCGAACATGTAAGTTAAAATTAGATCAATAGTCAGCTTAGCGGCCTCAATCAATGCTTCGCAGGGAGAGCATGCAACCATCTATTTATAAGCTAACACCGGCATTATCTTCCTCTTTTAGGACGCAGAGATCCATTACTGCGCGCGGCGGGGAAGAGGACGCCGCCGGGAGCTGGTGCGTGACACACTGCAGCCTCGCGGGCTGCCCGGGACTTCATCAAGCCCGGGTCGGCTCGGGGCGGGCAGGGGTAGGATCCATACCGCCGAACTGCGGCCCCGCTGCTCGCAGCCGCTCTTCCGGGAGCGCCCGCTTAGGACTCACTCCCGCCCATTCCTTACCTCGATGGAATCCTTAGCCCTTAGAGAGAGGGCTAAAAAACAAATAAACAAACAACAGACAAACAAAAAAAAAACCAAATTCCAAATGGCCCCCGGACCCTCCCGCAGATGCAGGGCGCACACTGGCCAGTTCTAACCATAGACTTGACTGCATGTTGACAAGGGTTTCCAACCTAGCTTCCCCGAGGTACTGCATGAATCAGTCCTTGCTCAGATGGTGGTTGCTGTAAATAGCTGCAATTTCCCTCCTTCCGTCTCAAAGCACGGATGGGAATGGATTTGCAGCAGGGACTCTGCATTATATTTAAGGTCTTGGTGAGATGGACACGGGCTCCATCAGCTCCAGACTTCCTGGGACATCTCGGCATTTCCAGGTCCGTTTGCCCCAATGGTGGAAGTCACCGCCCATATATGAGGAAATAAATGTCCACACCTAGCATTTGGGATAACGTGGCTAAATTGTTTTCAGTTTTTGAAAGACGCTGCAGAAAAAGAGGCAAAACCTGATACAGCACAGCAGCATGCCCCTCCCGCCCCCAAATACGAGATCGAATCACATTTTTAAGGGAAAAAATAGGCATTCTCATCTTAGATATGTATGTAGCATATTTTATAATATATATTTTTATCTAAAAATTATGCTTTTCTGTATTTTACAACTTTCTTTATTAAGCATTTTTATTTTGTGCTATTTTTTACAGTAAAAACTCTGAAGACCCAAAGAAATTTAATATTAGCTTAAATGTACATTAGATATATTTATAGAATCAATTTATTAGCTGCTATATTGTTTGACATAAAAGGCTTTTGAACTAAAGATAGAAATGGAAGCATTCTTCATTTAGAAACAACCTTTCTCCTCTTCTTCCAACTCTTGTTGGCTTACCTCCAAAATATATCCTGCATCTGTCTTTCTCACCACCTAGACTGCTCCTAGTTTAGTTACTGGTCACCCTTCATCATCATTCACCTGGATTGCAAAAATAGCCTCTTGTCTGGTTTTCCTGAATTCATTTTCTCCCCACTGCAGTCCTCACTTGCCACATAGCATTTTAAAAGATTGCTCTTTTAAAATGGAAATCAAATCCTATCTCTTCTCTTTTTAGAACCTTCAGTGCCTTCCCATGGCACCTTGATTAGACCCCAAGTTCTTCACCATAGCCAAAATGTAATGTGCCATCTGCCCCATCCACCCTCGCTCATCGCTCCTCATCTCATATCACTTTTTCACTTGTCACAGCATGCTTTTACATATCCCTTCTTTCAGATCCAAAGCCCCACAAGCTTATTTCTGTCTCCTAATCCCAGCTCTTGCTATTCATTCAGTGTGGAAGATCTCCTTCATAAATTCTTCGCAAATCTACTTCATTCTTATTCCAGCCTCAGCTCAGGTATCAGAGCTGACCACCTTCTGTCCCAACCCTCAACTGTACTCATTATCACATTACCCTATTCCATTTCAACACAGTAATTAATTGACATTATTTTATATATCCATGGCATTACCAGGGTGTTCTCTGTCTCCACACACTAGAATGTAAGCCCCATGAAAACAGGCTCCTTGTCTTTCTTGTACACCGTGATCTCTCTGGGTTCTAGAATAGTGCCTGGTCCATAGTTGGAAATCAGTAAGTATTGATTAAATAAATTATTGAGTGTGATTTCCTAGTGTCTTGTTTGTAAAATGCCACTAATAGCATTCTGCATACTCTGCCATGAGTTTTATAGTTATTTTTATGCCCATATGCTTCCTCCTCTCTAGTGTGAACTCTACGAGGCAGGATCATATTTAGTTCATTTTATTCTCCATGTCCTTATGGAGTCTGGCACATTACAGATGTTTAATACATTTTCTGGACTGAGTTGCAATGAGTAAATGGGTAATAAGATGATATAGTATGACTTTACACCAAGTCTAACCTTTCACCTGGGGACATGCAAAATTATTATGTATCCAGAGGAACAGGTTGTTGCTTTGACCCCTGTAACATCGCATACACATACACATGGACACACATACACTTGTTCTCGATATTTTCAAAGACTGTTCATATCCATTATTTTATTTGATCTCCAAGCTGGTATGTATAAGCAGAAGCTCAGGGGCATTAATTGACCTGCTCAAGCTTACATAGCTAATATAAAGCAGAGACAGGGATAGAGCTTACTACTTTCAAACACCCACAAATATGCACACATAAAAACACACACACACATTTCCACATTTGCCATTGTGGCTTAGTTCAAATGGGATCATAAATGCAAAGTACTTTGAATGGAATCTGGTATGACAGCCTTCCAATACACAGCCATTCCTTTCTCTTGGCCATGCTACAGTTGCCATAATCTTCCTATTCCTAGAAAGAAGAATTCTTCTATCTTCACTTTGTTCTTTTTCTTACTAGTCTGATCTCCAGGGTCATCCTTATTGTGAAATTTTAATGCATAATATTAATTGGACATGTTCACAAACATGAGCAATAGTAAATGGATTTTTGCTAACTAGCAACCTATTGCTCTTCTAACTTTTATTCTGAATACAAACCAAAGAGAAACAGTTGTGAATACCTACTAGCACACAGCTTAGCTTAAGTCATATAGTGCAGTGTCAATGAGGAAAGCTTATCATCCACAAACAAACACTAAACATAGCACAGCCAGCGGGGACAAACAATGTGCAAAATTAGTTTTATTATAGGCAAAAAAAAAGAATGCGAGCGCATTTTGATCATTCATTCATTGTTGCATTCATTTTATGTGCCAAGCACACTGTACAAAATTTGGGAACAGAGCGGCAAGCAAAAATAAATGAGGTCTCTACTGATACGGGTCTTGTGGAAAAGAAAGACTTAAACCAAAGAATCACAAAACAGAGATCAATGCTGTGAGTGGGTAAAACAGGAGGAATGGACATAGTCAGAGAATTCAGGGGAGAAGTCCTTGAGGAAGTGACGACTAGGCTTAGCTATGTTTTGAATTCAGTTATGGCCCAATGTCTCCAATGGTTACTAAAGAAAGAAGAAATGACCAAAGAAATAAATAATAATGGTGACTACCTTTAAAATTCTTTCATTTAATAAATACTTCTTGAGTACCTACTATCTACCAGGTAGTCGTCAAAGTGCTAGGAGTTTTAACAGTGATCAGAGACAAAAATTCCTGCCCTTATGGCTTTACACTGTTATGGAGGACGGCACACAGTAAACTCACACATAATTTTCATGGAAAAGAATGTTAACTGTTGATTTCCCCTAAGCAGAAAAATAAACTGAGGAAGTAAGATAGGGAAGTGGAGTTGGTGGGGCAGTGAGATACCATTTTATTTAGGAAAGTCCTGTATGCCCTCACTGAATAATACATTTGAGCAAGACCCAACAGTGCTAAAGCAGCAAGCTATGTTGATCTGAGGGGCAGGTGTGGGTGGTCACAGAGGGAAGAACCTTAATGAAAGCTTCAAGGGCAATGACCCTGAGATTACAGCATGACTGACTTGCCATGAATCTGAAGGAAGTGCAAGGAGGCCAGTATGTCTAAAGTAACTGGAATAAGCAAGGGGGTGACTAGTTACATGAGTAAAGAGAGGTAACTAGGACATGAGTTCAAAGAGGCAATAGATCTTGAAGTATCTTGTAGGTATGTGTAAAGATTTTCACTTTTCCTGTAAGTACAATGGAACTTTAGAAACTTTAGTAAAATGGAACAATAGAAACTTTTGAACAAATAATTGACAGGATCTTATTTATTTATTTATTTTTGAGACAGAGTTTCACTCTTGTTGCCCAGGCTAGAGTGCAATGGTATGATCTCAGCTCACTGCAACCTCCGCCTCCCAGGTTCAAGCAATTCTCCTGCCTCAGCCTCCTGAGTAGCCGGGATTACAGGTGCCCACCACCATGCCCAGCTAATTTTTGCATTTTTAGTAGAGAGGGGGTTTTACCATGTTGGCCAGGCTGGTCTCAAACTCCTGACCTCAGGTGATCTGCCCACTTCAGCCTCCCAAAGTGCTGGGATTACAAGAGTGAGCCACTGCGGCTGGCCCTGACTTATGTTTTAATAGGTACTCTGGCTACCATGTAGAGGGTACTCATTATGTTCCAGGAAATGTACTAAGTGTCTTAACAGAGGACCTCATTTTACTTTCATAATTCTGAGAAGTACTCATTTTACAGGTGAGAAAACCAAGGTGTAGGGAGTTTTAACAACTTACTCAAGGTTGCATGGCTAGTAACTGATAGAGATGGAATTAAAAGTCAAGTAATGTAATTCTATCACCCTGGTTATTAATCAAAATGTAAGAGTGCCTCCCTAAGAGAGACTGGGATGAGGAGGTGTTGGTGCTGAGAGTGAAAATAATATCTATCATTTATTGAGGGTCTACCAGTCACTGCCCTAGATTTTCTCATTAATTTTATTTCATTCTGACATCAACCCTATTAGATACATATTATTGTTCTTTCATTATAGATGAGGAAACTAAAACTCAGAGAAGTTATGTAACTAACTAAAGTTTGAACAGTTAATAATTAGAAGTTAAAATTCAAACCCAGAGTGCTTCATCGCCAAAGCTATGGCTTATTGCTTCTCAGATAAGAATGTTAAACTTCAAAATATATTTCTTATAAAGAACCTTTAATTGAGTCTTCTGTTTTTAAAATATCTACTATATCTTTCTTTTTGGAGTGCTTAGTGTACTTACGTATATAATGACTGAAATAGTTGCTTTAATTCTACCTACCTGCTATTTTTTTTCTATTTATCGTATCTGTTCTTCGTTCCTTTATTCCTCCTTCTCTACTTGGTTTTGAATTAAGTATATTGTATTCATTCCACTTATCTCCTCTATTAGTTTTATATTCCTGACATTATTAGCTCTTATGTGGGAAATTAATATGCCTTCCTAGCTTCTCAATATATATATTTTAAATTCATATTTTACGCTTCACAAACAATGCAAAAAGCTTACCACAGTTTAACCTCATTAAGGCCCTCCAGTTTGTTTGTGATATTGTTAGTTTTATTTCCACATTGTTATGTTCCTCCAACTCTTTCCTTATTTTTGTTTTAAAAAGTCAGTATCCTTTTAATATTTACACACAGACTTTTCCTTTACTGTGCCCTTTGTTCTTTCCTAAAGTTTAATATATCCACCTGGGATTATTTTCCTTCAGCCTGAAACATTTCCTTGAGTAAAACTTATAGTGCCATTCTCTAGATACTCTAAACTTGGGAGCTCATTGGATGAGTTTAAGAGCATGTGGGACACAACTTATTAACTCAAAGACGAGATCATTTTTTAAAAATGCCTGAACTGAAACACAAAAGTGGAAAAAAGTTTAAACTTGCTCAAGGTTTATTTGTCTGAAAATATATTTATTTTGACTTAACTTTTGAGTATATTTTTACTTGGTATAAAATTCTAAGTTGGCAATATTTTTCTTTTATCTCTTTAAAGATGTTAAGACATTGTCTTCTGGCTTCCATAGTTTCTACTGAAAAATCATCCATCAATTTTGTTGTTACTTTGAAAGTAATGTGTCCCCCTTCCTCCACCTCTGCTTTGATTTGTCTCATATTTTTTCTTTGTCTTTAATTTTTAGCACTTTGAATATTATGTGCCTAAATAGGGTTTTCATTGTTTTTATTCTTATTGATATTCCCTGTTCTTGGATCTGTGGGTTGATATCCTCGATTTGTTTTGGAAAATTCTGTTGTTTTCTCTGCAACAATTTCTTCTATAGTCCCTCTTTTCTCTCGTTCTGGGACTTCGGTTATGCATGTATTAGATCTTCTGACTGTGTAGTCAATGTCTGTAATGTTTTTTTCCATTCTTTCTATTCTATCTTAGTTCTCACATTTGTATTTCAGTTTGGTCATTTTTAAAAACTGATCTTGTCTTTGAGTTAAATATGCTATGTCCCACATGCTATTAAATTCATGCAATAAGTTCCTAAGTTTAGATATTATATTTTCCAAATTCCATAATAACCATATGGCTTTCTTAGCCATTTTTATTCTCTTTGAAACTCTTAACCTTTAATACATACCTAGTTCCTTTGTATCCATTAACATAATAATCTTTATTATTTTAAAGTCATTTTCTGCTAATTTTTATATTTGTGAGTCTGCTTCTATTGTTTGATTTTTTTCTCTTGATTATAAATCATACCTTCAATTTTCTTTTCATGTTAGTAATTTTTAGTTATCTTACAGATATTGGGTATTAAAAATAACCCCAAACAAAACAAAATAATGACAACAACAAAACAAAATGTTCAGATGAAATGTCTACCAGCAAGGGTTCCTCCTATCCTCTGATGGGCAGACAGGCAGAGATTGTGCTGGATAGGAGGTTGAGTTGCAATTTTTAGCAAATCCCAGCTCACCTTTTATTTGTCCCTGATTTTTGCAGAGGTCAATTTTGGGCTTTTGATGAGAAGCCTAGCAGCTACCTGTCTCCACAGTTCTAAATAGTTTGCTCTTCAGAGGTTTAGAGGCTGTATCTTAGATATCCATGCCACAAAGGTTCAAATCTGGCAAATGGTTTATGAGGAAAAATTGTTGGACATTTATTGTAAACCCGTATTTCTAACAAGATGTTGTTTCTCAAGCACTGCAGACTACAGCAGATTTTATTTTCTCTTTCTGGTTCTGCCCCTTTAAGACTTCCCCACCATTCCAAAACATATGGAAATGAGCCTTGCATTTTGCACTCTTCTATTTTCCCATCTATTATGCCAATCCCATTCATTCACCAAAACTTCTGCTGATTTTTCTTTTACCCAGTAAAGTCCTTCTCTTTGGCCGAAATCTCATCTTCAGCCTTTACCTGCAATGAACAAATGCTCCTTGGGAAGCAAACAGCTGGTGATTATAAGCTCATGTAGGAACTTGAGTTTATCTAGTTCCTGTTGCTTCCAACAAGATAGTGTCTTTAATGACGCTTTCAGTTTACCTGTTTTTTTTTTCTTATTGCAACAGTGTGTGTGTTAGCCTGCTGTGACCATCTACTTCTTTTTTTTTAAATTAAAAAAATTTTTTTTTGTATTTTTAGTAGAGATGGGGTTTCACCATGTTAGCCAGGATGGTCTCCATCTCCTGACCTCGTGATCTGCCCGCCTCAGCCTCCCAAAGTGCTGGGATTATAGGCTTCAGCCACCGGGCCCAGCCCATCTACTTCTTATCTAGAAATGAAAGTCCCTCTCAGATGTATAAGGGGGCAGAAATTTTGGAGCTTGAACGGACTTTGGCATGTGCTCAGAATTGTAAAGTGATGTATTCAAGACAAAAAACAAACAAACAAATCCAAAAAAACGATAAAGCTAGAAATTGGACCTGAGGTAAACTTGAGGGAGGTCTTCTGATCCCATCTATTATTCAAGAGGACAGGGAGCAGAGAAAGAGAGGAAGAGAGAAGATATTGTGGAAGGCTCTACCTGAAACAGAGAGCAATTCTGAAGTTTTTGCTCCAATTCTGGAATTCAGAAGTGACCTACCCTCAGAAACACTGGAAAACACACTTAGGTCTTTTGAGCCAATTATTACATCTAACATTTGCCTATTATTATTGTTGTTGTTGTTCTACCTGGTTTGAAAACAGGATTTAAAATAATTTGCCAATGATGAGAGCTCCTCTGGGGAAGGTTACAGATGAGGCAAATAGGATGATAATATAGAGGGTAAGAAAGGCTGTTATTAGAAAGCTGAGAATATTACTTTTGGCAGGGGTACATTGGTAGTTGAAGGAATTTCAGGACTAGGTGATGTGGGCTCATGAATTACTCCACTCAACAGAGCAAATGAGACAAGACTGGGTTCCTGTCCTTTGAAAACATAAAAAGGAAATGTTTCGATCCTTTTCTACAGGGAAAGTTGATCACTGTCACTTTTCCCCCCTCTATGATTGTTGAGCTAGTCCAGAGTGCCAAAGTAAGGGAAGAAAAAGTACAAGATTAATGACGAGATGGGATTCTGGAACTGAGAGCAGAGAGACCCATCCCTTCCCGAGATGCTCCTCACCCTTCCACTCACACGCTGAGCTACTGAAGCCAAACTTCACCTCTTATATGGGGAAGGAAAAACATTTGAATTTGCAGAAAGTCAAAGTCATGAGAAGATAAAAGAAATGTGATTAAAAATAAATGTGATTTTTATGTTTTATCTTTAATGTGGCAGTAGTATATTTATTTAAGTTTTGTGGTATTTTGTCCTGCTCTTGATTGAAATTGTATGTCTCTAGTCAAGCCTAAAAAAGAGGTTGCTAAGCAATTTAACAATGTAAACAAGTAAGAGGGGGAGAAATGTTCAGGATCAACGGGAAGCAGTGTGTTTTTATTTTCTTAGAAGAACAAACTGAACAAACTGTATTTAAGAATATTATCACACTATTGTCTACATGCAAATGTGTGCTGCTATTTGTAAACGAATCACATCCCTTTATTAAGGAAGGATGTCTATTTGTCATCTTTGCAGCAATTCCAGTAATAAAAAAATGCCCATTTCTTTAAAATTATGCGCTATTGATGGCAGCTAACATTTCTGGAGTACTTATTATGAACCAGGATGCTAAACAAGGATCACTTCATACAAGCTATTGCATTTAATCTTCACAATTGTTTTATGAGGTAATTACTAATATTATCCTCCTTTTTAACACGTAAGAAAATGGAGACTTAGCAAGGTTAAGTAACTTGCCCAAGGACATATAATAAAGGGCAGAGCCCAGTTCAATTTGATTCAAAAGCCTATGTGCTAATCATTTTGCAATAATCAGAATGGTCTTTCAATAGCTGCAAACCTGTGGTGCAAAACTTTCCATTGGAATGATGGCCAATCCAGTGGCTTGGTTTCTAAACAACTCCATTCCTCCTTTCTGTTCTACTCAGCCAATCACCTTGATGACCACTCTTCTCTCTCAGTCCACAGTGGTCAAGTTGTGTTGCCTAAAGCATGAAAAAGGGAAATGAACAGTATGAGAAAGCAAGATTGACTTGGTATCTTCTTATTGCTACCCTCTTGCTGGGTCCCAGCATATCACCTTACTAATTGTATAGCCTATGGCAATAAACTTTATAATTCTCACCTCTGAAATTAGGATTATATTACCAATCTTGCAAAATTGCTATAGGAAAATGAAATACTGCATGAAAAGTGCCTAATTCAATGCAGACACATGATAATGTTTGTCATATATGAGTTTTCTTCCCCTTCCTAATTCTATCTTTAATGCATCCTTATGCTATATCTTTCTTCAAAGTCAGAACCTTGTCTAGGAGATTTTTAAGCACTGTGTTGTTATCTAGACTTTGCATATAACTCACAGAAGATTGTGAGATGACTAATGTGAAGACATCTTTGGACAAGCAATTATCAACTTCCTACCTGATATATTCTCATAATGTGAATACTTGCTTTAAAAGTACTTCTCCAAGGTGTGTATGTGTCACATTTTCTTAATCCAGTCTATCATTGATGGACATTTGGGTTGGTTCCAAGTCTTTGCTATTGTGAATAGTGCTGCAATAAATATATGTCATGGAATACTATGCAGCCATAAAAAAGGATGAGTTCATGTCCTTGATAGGGACATGGATGAAGCTGGAAACCATCATTCTCAGCAAACTATCGCAAGGACAAAAAACCAAACACCACATGTTCTCACTCATAGGTGGGAATTGAACAATGAGAACACATGGACACAGGAAGGGGAACATCACACACCAGGGCCTGTCGTGGGGTGGGGGGAGGGGGGAGGGATAGCATTAGGAGATATACCTAATGTAAAAGTTAATGGGTGCAGCACACCAACATGGCACATGTATACATATGTAACAAACCTGCACGTTGTGCACATGTACCCTAGAACTTAAAGTATAATAAAATAAATAAAATCAATACATAAAATTAAAAAAATAAAAGTACTTCTCCACTTTAAACACTACTCAATTATCTATTGGCATAAAGATTGCCCGCCCTCTACTCCACACCACAACAAATAAATCCCATGATAACATACCCAAGAAGCAGAATTCAGGATCCCTTCTCTTCATTTGGAGTCTTCTGGAGTTGAACAGCTCTTGAGTAGGGGGCACTTTTTTGCTGTAATAAATTTGTCTTTGTGACAAACTGAAGCCACTGGCCTCCAGGTGGAGCTGCATGAAAGAAAGAGAGAAGTGAAAAGAGGGAAAAATAGGTTGGTGTTCCAGAGAAGTAGATAGCCTGAGAAAGACTCAATAAAACCAAGATGGTACATGGTCCTCAGGGGATTTTCTAGGAAAAGAAGTGACATGCAAACTGATTCAGCCAGTTTAATTCCACAAGAATTTGAAGAGACTGCCAATGTGCTCAGCCAGCCCCAGTGTCTGATGCAAGAAAAATGAGACATGGTCCCCAGGAAGCTGGCAGTCTTTGGGAGTGGCAGCACATAGGCATGGAAGAAGAACATCAGGAGACCATGTGTAATTCAATGGTAAAACGGTCATGCAGCTTAGGACATGGTTTCAGAGGTGAGAGAAAAGCTATTTTGTGTGTGTGTGTGTGTGTGTGTGTGTGTGTGTGTGCGCGCGCTACTACGTTCCAGGCACTAAATTTGATGGGTTACATAAATTATCTCATTTAATTAATCCTAAAAACAAACCTTTGACATGAGCCCATTTTAATGGCAAGGAAATGGAAGCAAAAAGATTAAATAACCTGCCCAGGAGCCAACAGCAAGCGAGCTGTAGGATTAAAAGTTAAACCTGTCTGAATTCAACACCTATGGTCTTGAAAGGCCTGAGCCATTTGCTAGCCATATAACTAAACCCTCCTGACTCTTCTGTGCCTGTTTTTTTAATGGGACAAATGGATATCATATTGCTGTATTTGAATTGTTTGGGGGTAATCCTTTGCTTCTGCCCTCTTCTTCAGCAATATGACCTTCACTTTGGCCCTGATAATTGGACACCTCTTGCTTTAACCATGTGATCCTGCCTCCAAATGGAGGCTGCTGAGACCAAGGTAGGCACTTGACTCAAGGGAGGTGTGGTGGAAGGAGAGAACCATGGCAACTTTGTCTGTCCTGAAGCCTGATGGTTCAGTCAGCTTTTCCTAGATTCTGTGAGACTACGCTATAACTGTACAGTCATCTCCCCAACCCCTATTCTTCTGTTTTCTTGAGCTGAATTGAGCTTCTGTTACCACAACCAACAGATCCCTGACTAGAACAAATACTTTCCATGGAGTTATTGTGAGGAATCCATGAGATAAGGTAAATTAGAAAGGACAAGATCAAGGAGACCATAGCTATTTATCTTAGTGAGTAAAATAGCAATTTGGCCTTTATAATTGGATCCCAAGATTTTCAGTTTATGAAATGTTTCATTACGTCAAAAGCAGGATATGCGCAATTTTCATTTTTACTTTTCCTGCCAGGAGAAATCAAAGTGGCTGATAGTCATGTTAAACTAAAGACGCAGCCCCAAGGTTCTCTGTATTTTGGACAGAGAGGCCCCAGGCTGGTCATCTGGTAACCACTTTAAATTGGGTTTCCACTGGAGCCACACTGTACCCTGAGGACTCTTCCATAGGAGATGTAGATATCCTGACTGAATGATGGACTGCCTGACTGGCTGGCCAGCCATACTGCAATCTTCACCTGTGTGAAGGTTCTGAGAGAAGTGCGCCACTCAGATCCAACAAGCTGTTTGACCAAGGACACTTCTTATTTGATTTGGTTCAATTGCATCGACTGCCCGTGTCACTGAAAATGATCAAAGCAATTGCATATAGACACAGCCTGAGAATACAAAGCTGCTTCTTTAAAACAAAAAAGCAAACAAACTTCACACTGGACATTTTAAGACTGGGTTATTTAGTATCATGGACGCTTTGCCTTTGGGATGTTGATTTAGTAGGTTTGAAAAGATGGCCAGAGACAGCATACTTTTTGCTGGCATCTGATTTGTCACATGGTTCATGTTGCTTTATTTATCATGGACCACAGGGTGCCAAGGCTTTCTTTGCTTCTTGATAATTTCAGTACTTCTCAGGTTAAAGTGGAGCCTTTGGATCTGGCTCTCCTCCCTAACCCCTTCCTTATGCACCGCACATTCTCTTACTTTCTCTGGGGATCACACGGCTTCTTGCATTCTCCAACTGCAGTCAGGCAGCAGAGGAAGCAACATTTTTGTTAGTGAGTTTTTCCCCCGTGGCTGCTTTATTACTTAGACCATGTAAATCTCAGTTGGAGGGTGGCCTTTGTGTGAACCTCATTCTGAATCTCAATTGACTCGTGCAAAGACAGTCCGTATATTTTCCTGCTACTTTTTCACTACTTTCATCTTTCTCAGCTTTTGCGTATTAGGATCAGTTATGGTTTTTTTTTAAATAAAGTATCTTTTGTTGACAGTATTAGAGCTTCCCACTCCAAGACACTGCAGGTTAGGGCTTGCTTCCTGCAGGAGAATTTTGGAAGAGGTTCATGGGAAAGGATCAGATGCCATATAGATACTGTGATGCCTTTAATCCATATGATTTTTTGGGAGAGAATGCTGAATCATGATGGGTGTTTGGTGTCCTTTAATTACCAAAGTTATCAGGAAAAGAAAGTGTACCACAATCTCATACTGATGGATTACATTGCAGGCACTGGAAAGAAATCTTTTTCTAGAACAGCCTTTGTCATGGTGGAGGTGGGGGTAGGGGGCTGGCACTTCCCATTTGCCCATTCTGTGTACTAGAATCTTAGCGGCAAAGGTCAGGTAGGGTTTAGCCAAGTCCGATATCTATCTACAATTATATCTGGATTCGTTAACCTAGGACTTGATGAATTTAACAATAAATGTCCATTAAACCTGTATATGATAAATACATCAAGTATAAAACAATGGCAAACATTTTTCAAGTACTTACCACATGCCAGGCAAGAATTCTATCTCATCTTTTCCTCTAAGCAACTCTACGAGGTCATAATAACAGCTAAGATTTATTCAGCTCTCACTCTGTGCCAGGAACTATTCCAACTGCCATGCATGCCCTTATTTACTTATTTCATTCTCCCAGTAATACTGTGGGTTATTTAGTATCATGTGGTATGGGCACGAGTTTTCAACCCATTTTATAAATAAGGAAACTGAAGTACACGCAGAGAGGTTAGGGAACTTGCCCCAGGTTGTAAAGCTGACAATGAGTGAAGCTGGGATTCACACCCAGCTGTCTGATTTCGAATCCCATGTGATAAATGATAACCATCCCTCAAAAAATACATGGTGAATGTGGACTAGTGAAAAGCTCCAGTTTCTTCTGTGACTAAAGGAGTCATTGCTGCTTATAAATGAGCAGGACTTGTCCACTATCAGATTCTGCTGGTCCTTGTGGCTCCTCCGCTGTTTTGGTGATGGGCAGCCAGTGCTAGAATGGTGGCAGCTCTTTGTGGAACTTTGATGCTATCTGGAGCTTATTCTCCATCTCTGCTATTTCTTAGATTTTGCTTTAAATACATTCTTTGTCTGTTGATTTCTATAGAGATTGGCTCCCGCCAATACTTTCTGCAAAATAACCTGCCTCTAATTGCCCAGAAATGCCTCTCTCTGGGTTTGTTTACATGGCACTGTGACTCTGTCTGCTCAGAACTGTGCCCTCCATGCCCTGTCTGTGTTTCTCTCCTCTATTAGCATTCTCTGCCATATTAAGGCTGTGAAGAGAGCCACATTTCCCTGCCTTTGCTAAAAAGAAACGTTAATATTGGGATTTCAGCTAAAAAGTGAATATTCCATTGGATACCTCTATGATACAATTAAAGAGATTTAACCCCAGTAATAATACCTCCAGAGTGTTCTGGTTTGTTTTAAGCATTTTATACCCACTATCAAGTTGGTTACATAAGACAGAGTTAAGACAGAGTAGGAAAGAGGAATGAGCATGGGCTTTGAAGTCAAGCAAGTCTGGGTGTACAACCCAGTTCCAGCACACACTGACTGTGTGGCCTTACGCACTGGACCTCTCTGAGCTTTATTCTTCCAGAAAACAGAGATAATAACTTATAGAACTTTCTGAGGCTCACAAATGATGCAGATGTGATATTCCTGGTATAGACTAGGTCTCCAAAAGTTTTTCTTTCCTTTCATCAAATTTCCTGTTCTGCCAATGTTTGGCTTTTACATTTGACGTCTCTGGAACTCATTTTCCTAATTTTCAAAATGAGGTGTGAAGATCATTCGATTGTCAGGACCTCTTCTAGGTCAAAGTGTTTCCTACATCAACCTTTGTAAATGTGCGAAGTGCTTTCCTTACATTATCTCATTTGATCCTCTGAACAACCCTTTAGGTTAAGTTCTGTTATGATTCATATTTTACAGAGGAAACAGACTCAGAGAATGAGTAACTGGCTACTCCCTGATCTAATTTCCCACCTCTCACACGTCGTGGGTTTAGAAACCACCTAAACAAACTCGTTAGAACTATGCCTCAAATAAGAGTAGGTATGCACTGAGGAGGGCTTGAGCCGCTCTAGCTCTTGGAGAAGCATGAGGGCTTGGAGACTGTGACAATTCAGTTTCATCAGAGAGAAGGAAAAGCCATTCAAAATAATTCGAAGCCCATCAAATGTTTATACTAATTTGCACACGTAAATACATAAATGTTTGTGTTTGCTACACCCACATTGTGCTTAAATGTTCTGTTCCTTAGATTTACCAATTTCCACTGCAAATTCAAATACAAGTTGTAGCAACATTCAACTTTCCTACGTAAATTGCCTAAAACACCAGGGAATCCTGGTGATTCTACTGCCATACCTCTCAGGAACCCACAATCGTCGTTACTATTATCTGTTGATAGAAAGCTGATACCCATTTTTCTGGGCTTTGTAACCTTTTTTCTTCTGCAGATATGTTGGGTTATAGTTTAACAATATCACAGATGCACTCAGGTGCTTAAGTGAATCTCATGCTATAGTTTCCTTAACTTATTAAATAAAAAGTCATCCATCAGCAGTGTTTCAGATCCAATTGAATTTTATTTCACTTTAAAACCTCAATAAACACTAGGAAATTGTGCTGTAAGACTCTGAGTGACAGCCAACACCTTTCATCGAATAAATTCTACTACTTTCCAAACATGAATTAAACCGTACCACGTTGTAGCCTAGACATAGGCTAAATTTTTTCTTTTCTTCTTCTTCTTTTTTTTTTTTTTAATCAATACAAGCAAGTAGGTGACAGATGCACAAGGCAGGGGAAAATGAAAACTTTGGAAAGAAACAGATTTGAGTTCTCAAGTACCAAGGGCATCTACTCTCCCTTAATAAAATGATATTGCCAGTTCCTGATCACATTCAGCTGCTCATATTCTTACGTAGAGAGCTGTTGATCAAATCTTCCTTTGTAAAAGTTATATTCTCTTGGCGCAGAAACATTTGCTTCTTGGTTTTATTGCAATCAGATGTGGTAAGGTTGTGGCCTGCAGGGAAACTTTCACAGTTTCCAAGATGACAAAAAAGTTGGAAACTCTCCTGGGGTCAGACCTTGTATACAACAAGGTCAGCTGGGAACAGAATTCTAAGCCAGGCTGAGTCCCTTGGAAATAGCAGGATCTGTGGAATCAGAGTTAGAGAGCTAAGGCCTGGCTCAGAGCTTTGAGTTGCACCTGAAGGTTGTGCAAGGAACCATGTCATGCCAGGACCCTATTAATTTCAGAGGGATGGTACCATGTTTGAGAGGCCAAAGAAGAGACCTAGAGCCAGCAAACAAGATACAGGGTTTATGGAGGGGACTTAGATACAGGGCAACTGAGTGGCAGTGGGCCGGACAGAATCACAACCACTTGTAAAAAACATGCAGCTTATTTTCACTTAACATCCTTCCCCTAGCAGCCTTTGCTGGCAAATTTTAACCCAGAACAAAGGGCCTCAATCCCCTGCACGCCCTGTGTTCCATGGGGTGGGCTGAGGGTTCAGATGTTCCTCATTGATGAGGAATGAATCTCTGGGTTGGCCACTCCCAGATTCCTTAGCTGAGAACTCCGAACACATATTCTTCTTAAGCCATAGGGTCACTCTCAGAGTATGCTTAAGTTATCGCTGTTGGGTGCATCTGCCATATAAACCAAGAGGAACCTGGCACAGATAGGGGATGGGATACAGGCAAACATGGGCTTTCCCAGCCCCTCCCATGATTGCTTACTTCTCCAACCCTCCTCCAGAAAGAGAGCAAAATTGCTAAGCTTCAAACTGCAGAGTTCTTTCCCCCAAAGTCCTCTGACTCACCCAAGCTGCAGCAACCTTAATGCAGAAGTTGGCTGCCAGTTTGCTAGAACTTTTGACTAGCCTTGAGTCTGGTTTTATCGTTCCAATCCTCATTTCTCTACACACACCAAATCATGCCTCTTGGTGTCTTACAGTTTCCATGCATATTGGACTCAGTATTTTGAAAATGTCTTCCCCACCAATTATTATTTTTTGCATGGAGCCTAATACTACCATATAAATTAGTTGCTGCAATTGTTGTTATTATTATTATAGATGTCCTTGAAACTACAGTAGTTTATCAGCCATCTTAAAGAATTAGGCACCATATACAACAATAATAAAAATACCCTTCATTTTAAAGACACTTTTACAACCATTATCATCTCATGTCTTGGATTCATTTCTTTATTTGCTCATTTATTCACTCATTCAAGAAAGAGACTTCATGGTCTCACTGAGGATAAAATGATTATAAAATATGCTTCCTGGTTTCAAGGAGCTGACAGTGCAGAGGGGAGAGAGTAGGCATGTAAACAGATGTTGAGAAGACAAGCACTGTGCTACACTCGATCCTCACATTGTTTTATTTACCCACAAGAAAAAAAAAAAAAAGACCAAAAAAGACCTTCTCAAGGTCACACAGCTTGATGAATAAAAGCTAAAATGCAGACCTCTTGTTATTAAGCCAATAGATTTTGGCCAGTTCTGTTATTATGTTTCCTTTGGAGCAGAAGCTCTCAAAAGTGTGGTCCAAAGACCCGTTGTCAATACCTGGGAACCTCCTGGGAACTTGTTAGAAATGCAAATTCTCAGAGTCTACCTCAGACCTGCTGGATCAGAAATGATGAGGGTGGGCCCAGCAACCTGTGGTTTAACAAGCCCTCCAGGGGATTCTGAGACTCACTAAAGTTTGATAAACCATCACTTGGGGAACTTGTTAAAATGCAGATTTTCATTCAGTAGGTCTGGGGAAGGTTTTCTGAGTCTACATTTCTAACAAGCTCCCTGGCTAGGCTTGTGCTTCCAGGCCTTGGGTCCTTGCATAGTAGCAAGAATATAGAGGGAATTCACACCAACAGAGACCACTGGTTAAGCCCAGCTAATGAGTAATGCTGGGATGTCAAGTGAATTCAATAAAATTGTTCCCTGTCATTTAAGAGCTTAAATGCTAACACAGATAATGCTCATATAGGTAAATTTTTAAGGACACAAAAACTATCAAATAACTCCTGATTATATGTGTATGTCTGTGTGTGTGTGTGTGTGTGCGCATATGCATGAGCATGTACAGGCATGCATACACACAAACAGAATGGGCAAATATTGAAAGAGACAAATTGTATAGCTGTACCTCTCTGATTAAGAGATCACTTGAATATACAAGTACTACAACCAAACACAATCCAGAACCAGGAGCCCAGAAACATTTCTGTGATGGAGCAGTCAAAATAAATGTTACCAAGTCCATCATTTTTACTAATAAATTAGTCCTTCAAATCATTCTTTAGAGTCATTTTTTATTTTAGACAAAATTCTAACATAGGCATATTAAAAACAGATTAGCAGCAGTAAATTGTATAGACAAAGGTCAAGATGTTGTTGACAGGCATTCTGACAGTAAAGCAGTGCCAGCTGGCAAGAAGAGAAAGTGTGTGTGTGTGTGTGTGTGTGTGTGTGTGTACACATGCTTATATGCATACTGATATATTCATTTATATATTCCAAAAACTGTGTGGATTGGAAAAATGTAATACAGGGGAAACACATCAGTAAGTATCAATAAAGAGCATTGTATAGGAAGCACAAGGTAGTAATCACAGCAACATGCAGAAAATATAAAAACTATAAAATGTTCAAGGTAACGATAAAGCATGGAAAACATTTTAGATGTTTCCAAACAAAATGGGGTTCCTAGATTTAGCAAATGAAAATGTTTTATCTGGCAACCCTAAAAATGGTTAAAAATCAGAGGGCTTTGATAATCTCCAGGAATTTCATTTACATGGATTACCAGTGTCTCGGACAACGCCTGCCAAACATTCATGTAAGGGAAGGTGATGGAGTGGTTTTGATGGTTAATTTGATGTCAAACTGGACTATAGGGGGCCCAGATATTTGGCCAAAGATTATTCTGGGTATGTTTGTGTATTAGTCCATTCTCATGGACTGGGAAGACCTCAGAAACTTGCAATCATGGCAGAAGGGGAAGAGGCACGTCTTACATGGTGGCAGGTGATAAAGAGAGAGAGCACGCAACAGCGGGGTGCACTGCCTTATAAAACCGTCAGATCTTGGGAGAACTCATTATCATGAGAACAGTACAGGGAAAGACGCCCTCATGATCCAATCACCTCCCACCTTGTCCCTCCCTTGACACTTGGGGACTGTGGGGATTACAATTCGAGATGAGATTTGGATGGGAAAACAGAGCCAACCATAGCAGTTTGTGTGGGTGTTTCTAATTGAGATTAATATTTGAATTGGAAGACTGAGTAAAGCAGATGTCCTCTAATGTGAGTGGGCCTCATCCAATCAACTGAAGACCTGAATAGGCCAAAATGTTGAGTAAGAGGAAACTCCCCCTACCTGTATGAGCTGGGACATCAGTCTTTTCCTTTTTTTTTGGGCTGGGACTGCTGCATCCCCTGGACTGGTTCTCAGGCCTTCAGACTTGGACTGGCTACATCACTGGCTCTCCTAGGTCTACAGCTTTCTGAATGCAGATCTTAAGACTTCTAAGCTTCCATAATTGCATGAGTCAATTCCTTAAAAATATGTATTTTTTAAACAACATAAAATTAAAAATGTTCATATATATATTTTTTTCTATTTCTCTGGAGAATCCTGACTAATATAGGTGGAGAGTGAAATAGGAGTTATTGGAGTTGTATGTTTGGACAGGGAAAATCCCAGACAAATTTACTATGAGCCTCTCAATTGATTATGAAGGGTGTATCAGTCAGGATTGTTTATAGCTGCAAGCAACAAAACCCAAAAAAGAGTGGCTTAAATGGAAAGGAGTTTACTAGTCCCATGTCACAGAAGATTAGAGTTAGGCAGTCTAAGACTAGTGGGGTGAATCTGCAATGTCATCAAAAGTCCAAATTCCTTTAATCTTACAATTTAATTATCCTTAGTTTACAGTTCTTAACATTGCAAAATGGCTGCTATACTTCCAAATGCTAAGTCCAGGTCCCAGACAAGAAGATGGAAAAAGGTAAAGACCAAGATTAAAGGGCAAAAGAGCATGCCAGATGAATTGTTCTTTAAAAAAAAAAAAGTTTTTGTAAATTCTGCCCAGTAAATCTCATTTTCATCACTTTGGCCAAAACTGGGTCATATGGTCATTGCTGGGGGTCTGGAAAATTATTTTAAATTGGACACTTGTACCTTGAATAAATTAGTAAGAAAAAGGGGGTGAATGAATGAATATTGAATGGGCAATTATCAGCATGTCTTAAGGTATTCATGGAGGAGGTGGCATTTCAACAGAGAGAGAGGGATGAGAGAAAAACAGAAAGAATGAGTGGATCATTGAGCAATCCCAAAGAGACTTGGAAGCATGAATGAAGAGATTATACTAGATTGGATGTTTGTGGAAACCATTCTATGGCCTTAAGGAGGGCTAGATTTGCCCAATTCAAATTAAAACTCCATTTTGAGATCTGGAACATTCCATTTTGCCT